>NC_000004.12:719679-1074518 GCF_000001405.40 Homo sapiens
GGGCAGGACGGTGCAGGGCGGTGCAGGCAGGGTGTTTGGGGTCAGGCCAGCTGTGGAAAGGCCACAGGTGAACCAGGTGCGGAGACAAAGAGCTGGAGGCATCCGGTGGTCTGGCTGGGCCTCATCCGTGTCCTGCCGCTGCTGCAGTGATGCCAGGGGCATGGAAGGGACCCTAGCCCAGCTCCTCCCTTGGCAGTCGGAGCGTCGGGGCCGCATTATAGAGGGAGGGACTCTCCGGACGATGGGAACGAGAGTCCATTGGGATCGTAGCTGTGGTGCGGTTCACAGCGTTGTGAACAGCTAATGTTGGGCTGGGGGCATCTGTGGGGCCAGTTGCAGCAGTTTGGTCATTTTTGTGTGAAAATAAATGAAAACAGGTTTTGCAGAGCCCGTTGGTGAAGGCAGGGGTGCCTCTGGCATCGACTGGATGGCCTTTCCCTCCTGAGTGACAGCCCTGGACGTGCTGTCGCCTCATGAGGACGCCGATGTGGCCCTGCTGCCGGAGTATGCCAAGCACGAGGGGCCAGGTGGCACACAGCACCTGTGTGCCGCTGGGGAGGGTGACCGCGGGAGGAGCGCCCGTGCATCGCTGCAGAGGGTGACTGCGGGAGGAGTGCCCGCCCATGCATCGCTGGGGAGGGTGACTGCGGGAGGAGCGCCTGTGCATCGCTGTGGAGGGTGACTGTGCAGGAGGACAGAGTGCCACAAGGGAGAGCAGCAGAGTGGTTTCAGCTCCGGGAGGTGGGGCTGCCCGTCCAGAGAGGTGCAGGGTCTCTTGTCAGGTGGACAGGGGCTGGCCCACCCGTGAGTGGGTAGGGCCTCCTGCCAGGGAGCCTTGTGCATGGCTGGGAGGACGGCAAGGCTGATGTGGACGCAGCCCCGACGTGAACAGGACCCCACGTGGACGGGCAGTGACGTGCGTGTGGACCCGGGGTGGACGGGCGGTGACGTGCGTGTGGACCCGGGGTGGACGGGCGGTGACGTGCGTGTGGACCCGGGGTGGACGGGCGGTGACGTGCGTGTGGACCCGGCGTGGACGGGCGGTGACGTGCGTGTGGACCCGGCGTGGACGCAGCCCCGACGTGAATGGATGTGGTTCCGACGTGACTGCGCTGGCATGGGAAGCAGAGGGTGAGGCTCGGCTCTGCTGTCAGGAGGACATGTCAGACTTCTGTCTCTAAGATACTGCTCAGACTTGTGTGGAGGGTGAATTAGTGCGAGGGCGGCTTGGAGAAGCCTGTCCTGGGCGGGTTTCACCACTTGGACGGGAGCTCTGGCATGGTCCAGGGAGTGGCCGAGGACAGCAAGGAGGAGATGACCCCATGGGCAAGCAGGAGCTCAGATGGGAGGCATGGAGCAGACGGGACTCCACGTGGCACCACCCCTCCCACCTGGGCTGGGCACCCATGAGGCTGAGGACCCTGGGGAGGGAACGCTGCTTGTCGGGCGGTGGTGACGATTTCATGGATGTTTGTGAAACCAACCTCACTGCCCCATTACAACAGTGCGGGCCCTGATTCTCATGGTTCCCCAGTGAGGCTGTTCCACGGTGGCACAGGACACGCCTGCAGCTTTGTGCCTGTGAATCTCAGGAGCTGTTTTCTGGAAAGTTCCATAACTCAGCAAAACTGACTCACAAACAACAGAAACTTCAAGGCTGTCCTAAGATATGGGTGGCAGAAGAAAATGTGCCCCAGGCATGGGCTTGTGATGCCGGCTCTTCCTCCTGGCAGAGCTCCCCAGAGGAAGGCTGGGCTGGGCAGTCAGCCAGACGGGAAAGGGGGCTGAGGCGTCCAGGCTGCAGAGGGTGCCGGGGTGGAGAGCGGAAGAGAGAGGGAGTCGGTGCCTTAGGAGGCTGCGGGCGAGGCGAGGGCAGAGTGCACTCGCTGGGGGTCACCCTGCCCCCCAGGACTCCTTTCACAGGACAGAGAAGCTCCTGGTGAGCGGGGCTGCTGAACGCAGGCCCCAGGGCCTGTAGGACCCTTAGGGAGACGGGTGGCTCTGCGTGTGGGTGTGGAGAGAGGCCTGTGGGAGACGGATGGATGGGTGTCTCTGTGTATGGGCATGGGGAGGGGCCTGTGGGAGGTGGATGGGTTGGGTGGCTCTGTGTATGGGCATGGGGAGGGGCCTGTGGGAGGTGGGTGGATGGGTGTCTCTGCATGTGGGTGTGGAAAGAGGCCTGTGGGAGACTGGTGGATGGGTGGCTCTGCGTGTGGGCGTGGAGAGAGGCCTGTGGGAGGTGGGTGGACATGTGTCGCTGCATGTGGGTGTGGGGAGAGGCCTGTGGGAGGTGGATGGGTTGGGTGGCTCTGTGTGTGGGCGTGGAGAGGCCCGTGGCAGCTCCTTCGTTGCAGAAACCGCATCGGAGCACATCGCGTAGTGCAGGACACACGGGGCGTGGGACGGTGTCTGTGTGAGAGCAGCATCTGTGTGTATGCAGTGTTATCTAAGGACACACCCACAGACACGGACACGTCCTTACGCAGAGAACAGCCGCTGCCTCTTAGTGTTCAGGATGATACGTTTTTCCTTAATATCATCCTTCGCTTTGCACATCATACTGAATACGTGTGTATGTGACTTTTACTGCAAAACAAAACAAAAAGCAGAAGCTACTGTGTTATCCAGACGGCTGTGTGCTGCAGGCGCGACTCAGAACAGCAGCTCCTCCCAGCATCCCGCAGCTAAATGACAGGAGCTGGAGGCTGCCCCAGGCAGCGGCGTGGCTGGCGTGCGGAGTGTTTTGGGGGTGTCTGAGCTGGGTGGAGAGGAAGGCATATGTCACACTGAGGCATCAGAGACACATCCATTCACGTCGGGGCTGTGTCCGCGCCGGGTCCACACTCAGTCATCGCCCGTCCGCGCCGGGTCCACACTCAGTCATCGCCCGTCCGCGCCGGGTCCACACTCGCGTCATCGCCCGTCCGCGCCGGGTCCACACTCAGTCATCGCCGTCCGCGCCGGGTCCACACTCGCGTCATCACCTGTCTGCGCTGGGTCCACACTCGCGTCATCACCTGTCTGCGCTGGGTCCACACTCGCGTCATCGCCCACCCACGCCGGGTCCACACTCGCGACATCGCCATCCACGCCGGGTCCACACTCGCGTCATCGCCATCCACGCCGGGTCCACACTCGCGACATCGCCATCCACGCCGGGTCCACACTCGCGACATCGCCATCCACGCCGGGTCCACACTCGCGTCATCGCCATCCACGCCGGGTCCACACTCGCGTCATCGCCATCCACGCCGGGTCCACACTCGCGACATCGCCCGCCCGCGCCGGGTCCACACTCAGTCATCGCCCGTCCGTGCCGGGTCCACATTCGCGTCATCGCCATCCACGCCGGGTCCACACTCACGTCATCGCCATCCACGCCGGGTCCACACTCGCGTCATCGCCCACCCGCGCCGGGTCCACACTCGCGTCATCGCCGTCCGTGCCGGGTCCACACTCAGTCATCGCCGTCCGCGCCGGGTCCACACTCGGTCATCGCCATCCGCGCGGGGATGTGTCTGAAAAGTGTGGTGAGAGCTGTGTTCCCTGCGCATTTCTGAAGGCTCCTAGCCGCTGCAGTTGCCGGGAGCCATGGAGCCACGTGACCTTGAGGTCCACCGGGGAGAGGAGGGTGCATTTCGGAGGCTAGAAGTGGCACCTGGAGGGGCTGGCCCTGGGTGTGATCATTGAGAGGAGGGAGGTGGAAAAAGATCTGGAAGATGCCCTTGGGAAGCAGAAGAAGGTGGGTGACCAGAGTGGGGTGCCCAGAGGGTAGGGCAGGGCAGACCAGAGGAGGGGGTGGGCTTGGCACCCCCGGGAAGGAGGGATGGGGCTCTGTGAAAGTGAGAGCTGTGTGGACGTGGAGCTTGTGAGTCTGACCAGGAAAGACAGAGGGTTCCAGACGGTGCGGGGGCCCCTTCAGTCTGGTTGTGTGGGGCAGGGTCCTCACCCCCAGGTGAGGGGGCCTTGTAGGGCAGATTCCTGGAAGACCCTCAAGACGCAGGAGCGGAGGCTGCTGGCTGGATGGGGATGGAGCCGAGAGCTGAGCGGGCAGCCCAGGCCTGAAGGACAGCACAGGGGCCTCTGTGAGGCCAGGAGGGGCTGGAGTGCAACACCCCCTGTGACCCAGGTCTGGTGTGTGACGCGTCAGGCCCCACGGCACCGCAGGCTGGCTGGCTCCCCAGAAGGCCTGTGGTCTCCATGGCCGCAGCGCATTCCGGGGACAGGGCAGAGTGGAGTCAGCAGAGGGAGGAGGCGTGTGGGGCGTCCAGGGATCAAGGGGTCTCTGGGCCTTGCTCCCTTCCCCAGCAGCTGTGAGGATGGTGGGGGCTGCTGTCTGCCCAGGACTGCAAGCGTCAGGCACAGCAGCTGCTGTTAACAGTCAAGGAATGTTCGGGTCAGTTTGAGAACTTCAGGGCCCAATGGCAGAGCCCCGGCAGAAAGACTCAGGGCAGATGGTGGTTGTCAGCCGGGAGGGGGCACGGAGCCCTGGGGGTGGTCAGGCCCACGTGGCCTTGGGACGAGAGCGAAGAGGTGGGATCGGCTGCGGGAGACAGGGAAGTGGGTGACAAGGAGGCTCAGGGGCTACAGCAAAGGCCCCGGAGGCTTTTCCACACCCGAGTCCGTCCTCGGCCATGCCAGCCAGGTCAGGGGCTCAGTCCTGTGGGCCACCACAGCCGGCCGCACAGGCAGGGAAGGTGAAGCTCCACGGAGCACCCTGGTGGACAGCGGTGCTGTGGGGGCCATGGACCAGAAGGCGGAGCCCATGCTGTGGGCTGGGTGGGGTGGCAGCTGCCAGTTCAAAGTCTGTCTTTTGTTTATTTACTTCATAAAATACTCCAGGTGTTTTGTTAGAAATTATTCTTGGCCGGGCACGGTGGCTCACATCTGTAATCCCAGCACTTTGGGAGGCCTAGGTGGGCAGATCCTGAGGTCAGGAGTCGAGACCAGCCTGGCCAACGTGGTGAAACCCCCGTCTCTACTAAAAATACAAAAAATTAGCTGGGTACTCAGGAGGCTGAGGCAGGAGAATGGTGTGAACCCGGGAGGCGGAGCTTGCAGTGAGCCGAGATCACGCCACTGCACTCCAGCCTGGGCGACAGAGCGAGATTCCGTCTCACACACACACACAAAAAATTAGTTGGGTGTGGTGGTGCACGCCTGTAGTCCCAGCTACATGGGAGGCTGAGACAGAATTGCTTGAATCCAGGAGGCAGAAGTTGCAGTGAGCTGAGATCACACCACTGCACTCCAGCCTGGTGACAGAGCAAGACTTTTTCTCAAAAAAAAAAAAGCAAAGAAAAGAAATTACTGTCTTAGTGTTGATAAATCTGCCTTTATACATACCAATAGTTGTGCACACTGAGAGAAGTAGGCAGTTTTGGATCTGAAACTGGCCTGGTGACACCGCGGGTGCAGCAGGCGGGCAGATGCGGGCACAGGAGGGAGCTTCCCACACTGTTCAGGTCACCAGAGCCTGCGCTTCTGTGGTTGGTTTTGATGAGGACTCGTATTTCAGCTCCTGTCTCTCCTTGTCAGAGGCCGTGTGAGGTGCGTATTGCGGACCGCCGGCCGCGCTGTGAGGGGTGTACATGTGGAGCCGTGACAATCGTGGGAAGTTCTGTTTCCAGCTTTAAGCTTTCGTTTATATTTCTGCATATTAAGAAATGATAAATTAAGACCTAATGAGAAGTTGTGGACTAGACGTGGGGTGTGTAGGCTGCTGGGAGGAGGGGCAGCGGCCCTGAGGGGTTGTGGGGCCCATGGGACCATCTGACCCAGTGCATGGCGGAGCCGTGTCCACGTGAGGAGGGAGTAGGAACGGGCTCTGCGCTGTGGCTCCGTGGGCTGCCGAGGGCTGCTGTGGGCTCTGCGCTGTGGCTCCGTGGGCTGCCGAAGGCTGCTGTGGGCTCTGCGCTGTGGCTGTGTGGGCTGCCGAGGGCTGCTGTGGGCTCTGCGCTGTGGCTGTGTGGGCTGCCGAGGGCTGCTGTGGGCTCTGCGCTGTGGCTGTGTGGGCTGCCGAGGGCTGCTGTGGGCTCTGTGCTGTGGCTGTGTGGGCTGCAGAGGGCTGCTGTGGGTTCTGCTCTTATTTGCCCAGGGGAAACCCGAGTCGCTGCCCCTCCTGTCCAGCCTCAGCGCTCGTCCCCGGGTCCCCCAGCAGGTGACCACAGATGATGACGGAGCCTCCTGGAACCGCCTCAGTTTCCCCAGCTGGCCCCTCACTGGCCTCCCCATTTCAGGAGCCCCAGGGCCACTCTCCGCCAGGCTCTCTGTGTCTCCGATTAACCCTCAGGTCGTCCCAGCCTCTTCCGAGCCATGGTTAGGATCGGCCCCGTCCACCGTGTGTCCATGGAAGTGAAACAGGCCACCAGCAGTGGGCAGCCGCGGGCGGGATGGGCTGTGGGGCAGAGGCTGGCGGGCAGGAATGGTCTCGTGGGTGCGCACCTGGCCTGTGTGGCGCTGCGGCCGTGGCTTCTGCATGCCAGGGTCAGCAGCCATCTTGTCGGGTTTTTAATGTGCATTTCCCAGTTCACTGATACAGTTGAGCATTTAAAACATGCTTGTTTGAAATTTCTCTTTTGTGAAGCTCTCTGTTGGCTAGAGTGGGGCTGGCAAACCCTGTGAGGGAGCAGATGGTGAATATCGTGCGGCCCCAGGCCTCCCTCCAACGAGCAGCGCTGTGTGCTGGGAGCAGGCCCTGCGGGGGCCAGCAAACCCGCTCACACAGCCCACGGGGCACAGCCGGGCCACGATGGCCAGGCCCTGGTCTAGGTTGTGGCCCTGGAGGCACTGCCGAAATTTCCCTCAGGCCTTGGCTTTTTTTCTCCATGGTGCTTTTGAATAACTCAGGGTGCTTATCTTTGACTTTGTCATTTCCTTCATGGTCAGTTTTGTTTTCTGTCTCGTAAATCTTCTCCTCATCCACGATCATGACGATACCCTCCTTAGCAACCTCCAAAGGTTCACGGTCGCCTTTTCCATTGTCCTCACCCACCCGGCCCTGGTTATTTTTGGGGTGGGATGGTGCAATACAAGCTGACAGTTTGGCTTTTTTTTTTCTAATTTCACCACAGGAATGATGTTTATGGTGTATGTTTTTAATTCTAAGATACACACTAAAATTCACCAGTTTTATTGTGCAGTTTGGGGACTTTTCACCCCCTGTCCAGTTTCATGGACTTGCCGGCAGTGCTGGCCCAGAGCTCGGTCCCCGCAGGCCTCCCTCAGGTCCCTCTGTGGCCAGTCCCTGCCTTGCCTGGACTGTGTGTGCCTGTGTCCTCCCACCAGACTTGCCGTTGTTCTGGAATTGAGTGGCGTGTGGGAACGTGTGTGCGCTCCTGCGTCTGCCCCTCTCCCCTGTGGGATCGTGGGCACCTGCGTTGCTCACTCTCACTGCCGAGCCGCATCTGCGTGGGGAGGGGTTACGCTGTGTTTATCATCCGCCTTCTGATGGACTAACTAGGTGGTTGTTTCCAGTTTGGGGCTGTTAGGAAAAGGGCTGCTTTGAACATTGTTGTATAAGACTTTGAGAGGATGTGTGTGTTAGCGAGCGTCTTTTTTTTTTTTTTTTTTTTTTTTTGAGATGGAGTTTCAGTCTTATTCCCCAGGCTGGAGTGCAAGGCGCGATCTCGGCTCACTGCAACCTCCGCCTCCCGGGTTCAGGCGATTCTCCTGCCTCAGCCTCTCGAACAGCTGGGAGTACAGGCACCTGCCATTACACCTGGCTAATTTTTTGTATTTTTAGTAGAGACAGAGCTTCACCATGTTAGCCAGGATGGTCTCCATCTCCTGACCTCATGATCTGCCAGCCTCGGCCTCTCAAAGTGCTGGGATTACAAGCATGAGCCACTATGCTTGGCTGAGTTTTGTTTTTTTTAAATCATGAATGGACAATTATTTTGTCAAATGATTTTTATGCACCTGCTGGGAAGATCATGTGATTTTTCTCCTTGTATCTTTTGTCATAAATTGTATCTTTTTCCCATAGGCATTAAGCCCACGTTGTTTTCTAGGACTCTGAGTTTGTCAAGAATGATTATCTTTTTGTATATTGCTTAAAAAGGATGACTAACCGTTTTCTTTGGATTTTCACCTCTGTGTTTCCTGGTGAGGTTAACGTTGAGTTCTTTCCGTCTGCCATGGTCAGTGCCTGGTTTTGTCAGGCTCATAGTGTGAGTTGGAAAAAGGCTCCTTTTAGTTCTCTGAGAAGAGTATGAGACTGAATTATTTGTGCCCTGAGCGTCTGGTGAAACCACCTGCATCCCTCCGGGGCCTGATGCTGTCTTGGAAGGGACTTTCTGACCATTGACCTGGCTCCCTGTAGGTTCTGGAACTTCCTGGGTTTTCTCTGCTAGTCTCAATGCTGGTGAATTACTGTTCTAGGAACTTAGCAGTTTCACGTAAACTTTCCATTTTATTAGGGTCAAGTTCATCATATCTTGTCCGTGCTCGGACGTCACCTGCTTTAGGTGCACCCGGTTTAATAGTGCACGGCCAGCTCCCCCGAATCCATGGGTCCAGTCAACACAGATTGAAAATGTTTGGGAACCAAAACAATAACAAATAACAGTACAACAATAACAATAATGCACATCTTAAAAATACAGTAGAACAACCATTGACATAGTGTTTACAGCATGTTAAGTGTCGTAAGTAATCTGGGGATGGCGTAGAGTGCGTGGGGGGTGGCGTGCACAGCGTGTTAAGTGTCGTAAGTAATCTGGGGATGGCGTAGAGTGCGTGGGGGGTGGCGTGCACAGCGTGTTAAGTGTCGTAAGTAATCTGGGGATGGCGTAGAGCGCGTTGGGGGGCAGCGTGCATAGCTTCTGTGCAGACTCGACACCACTTCATGTCCGGGACTTGAGCACCTGTGGATTTTGGTATCAGCGGCGTCCTGGAACTAGTCCCCCACGGATACCAAGGGATGGCTGTGTGTCACCTTCTAACATAGTAAATAATTGACCTGTTTGTTAGTTATTGTCTGTCTTCCTTCATTAGAATGCTGGCTCCAAGGTCTGTGTCTGTGTTTTCACTGAAGTCTGAGAACTCCTGTCAGGAGCCGCCAGCTGTACCAGCCAACACAGGAGCCACTGGCCACAGTTTAACTAAAATTAAATACAATTAAAAATTCGTTCGGTTGGCCGGGTGTGGTGGCTCACGCCTGTATTCCCAGCACTCTGGGAGGCCGAGGTGGGTGAATCACTGGAGGCCAGGAGTTCGAGACCAGCCTGGGCAACATGGTGAAACCCCATCTCTACTAAAAATATAAAAGTTAACTGGGCGTGGTGGCGGACGTCTATAATCCCAGCTACTCGTGAGGCTGAGGCACAAGAATTGCTTGAATCTGGAAAGTGGAGGTTACAGTGAGCCGAGATTGCACCACTGCACTCCGGCCTGGGTGACAGAGCGAGACTCCATCTCAAAAAAAAAAAAAAAAAAAAAAAAAAAAAACTGGGCTGGGCACGGTGGCTCACACCTGTAATCTCAGCACTTTGGGAGGCTGAGGCGGGAGGATCACTTGACCCCAGTAGTTCACGGCCAGCCTGGATAACAGACTGAGACCCTGTCTCTACTAAAAATACAAAAATTAGCCAGGTGTGGTGGTGCATGCTTGTAATCCAAGCTACTCAGGAGGCTGAAGTGGGAGGATTGCTCAAGCCCAGGAGGTCAAGGCTGTAGTGAGCCAAGATCGTGCCACTGCACTGCAGCCTGGGTGGCAGAGCAAGATCCTGTCTCAAAAAAAAAAAAAGAAATAATAATAATTATAATGAGATCCTTCAGTCCCACAAGCCACAGTTCAGGTGCTCCACGCCATGTGTGGTCAGCAGCTGTGCTGTTGGGTAGTGGAGATGTGGAAGCCCCCAGTGTTGCAGAATATTCCGGAAGCCTGGCTTTGAGCCTGGCTTCATTCTCTTCATCTTGTTTCTCTTCTCCCTAACTCAAGTGCCTCAGACATGCCTGCTGATCTCCCCTTATATTTGCCTGGGAAGACTAACTCTACTCTTTCCCTTCTTCCTCCCTTTTTATGTAAAAGTTAACTGAGCTTCAAAGATTAGTTAATAAAAAGTGCAGTTATGGGAAACCGGAAGAGTAGAAATGATACAAACGGGGTAGAAAATGAAGAGCATGAAAGTATTTAATCTCTGTCACTAAGCCACAGACACTGTACGTCATCCCAGGCCCCCACTTTCCCCAGTCTGACTCCAGCCACCTGTTTCCCCAACTCACACAGGAACGTGTGGGAGGCCACCGAGGTTCCCGGGGAAGCACTCCCAGCATGGCAGCCACCCTGATGCCCCATCCCAGACGCAGGGTCCCTACGTGGTCCCCTGGTCCCGGGTGGGGACTGTGTCCCTCCCCTGCCCCTCCCTCCCTGTCTGAGGCCCCAGGTGCCCTCCCTGTCCTCATCCCCACTGAGCCCAACACCAGGCTCAGTGCCCACGCCGGGGCCCTTGGTGCACGTCTGGTAGGCGCAGGCAGGTCTGTGACTGGGAGAGAACATGGTGCCCTGTGCACAGCAGCAGAATTGCGGGCATCTCTTGGCTGCGTCGTGGAGCCAGCCGTCACTGCCTTGCCTCTGAGGTCTTGCATTTGCCCAGATCACCCCTGAAATTCACCCCTCCTCTGGGGGGCTCCACAGACTCACATCCTGCCTTCTTGGGCCCAAAACAGCATGATGGGGCCCCCAGCTGCCCCCCCACCCCCGTGGGCCACGTGCCCACTCCTGCTGTCTCCGATGCCTTGGGCCTGGGCTCAGAGACGCCCGACAGGCACCGAGACCAGCCCGTGTCTCCCGGGTAGAGCCTGTTCTTCACGGTCCCTGTGAAGAACTTTTGGTTATTTTAAGCAAGGAACAGAGCAGTGTAACCGAGCCAGGCTTGGCACCGCGGGTGGGGTGGGGGTCGTCCGCCTCCGGCCCACGGGTAACCCTGTTGTGCTTTTTCTCCGCAGGCGTCACAATGTAGCAGGGACCCCAGGCGTCGTGCTCAGGTAAGTGCGCGTAGGCCGACTGCCCTCTTCTTTCCGCACCTGTGAACTGCCGGACTCCGCCGGGACCACGCTTTGTGCATGTGGTCGGCGTTCCTTGCAGTGCCTCTGAAACGCAGGCTCTGAGGACAGGCTGGAGCCATGCGTGGGTCCTTAGCTTTTCTCCCGGTCAGTACTTCTGATTGACCCCATTCCGCCCTTTGCTCGGTAGGGCTTGGTTGCAAGTTCCAGTAGGAATGGCGGAGTTGTGGCAGTCACACATCCATGACGCGAAGTGAACTAACAGGTGCCGTTTCTGTGCTAGAAAATGGAAAAAGAGCCAGGGCCGGAAGGAGGGTGCAGAAGCGAGTCCGCGTGCGGAGCCAGGAGGCAGCGTCGCGTGGGAGTGCTGGCCTGAAGCCTCCATGCCCCGGCAGAGGGACGGACACGCGGACGTCTAGCGGAGGTGAGGCCCACGCCCCCCGACCCCGGGGGTCCTGCTGACTCCTTGCCCTGCCCTGTTGCTGGTTGTGGCGAGGGCCGGCGATCATTAGGAGCCAGCTGGTCAGGACACGATGCAGTGTTCACGGTTCACTGCCGAGTTTTCCTGGCCCCTCCTGTGAGAGTCCAAGGTCCAGCCAGCTGTGGGGGTCCCAGGCCTCGATGGCAGTGCGGGGTGCAGAGGGCTGGTCTCCTTCCGTCACTGGTTCACTTGGGTTCCCGGCGTGTCGCTGAGGAGCAGTGCTGCTTGGGGGCCGAGCCTGGGGCCTCAGCCCAGTGAGTTGTGAGGCGGTCGGCTAGCATCCTGCAGGGAGGTCCTCAGGGGCGCAGGGCAGGGCTATCTCTCCCCTCCCGGGTGCTCTGTCCCCTCGTGGGTGGGCGTGGCCCTCAGGGGTGTAGGGCGGGGCTCCCCCTCCCGTCGTGGGTGGGCGTGGTCCTCGGGCATAGGGCGGGGCTCCCCTCCCCTCGTGGGTGGGCGTGGTCCTCAGGGGCGTAGGGCGGGGCTCCCCCGCCCCTCGTGGGTGGGCGTGGTCCTCAGGGGCGTAGGGCGGGGCTCCCCCTCCCCTCGTGGGTGGGCGTGGTCCTCAGGGGCGTAGGGCGGGGCTCCCCTCCCCTCGTGGGTGGGCGTGGTCCTCAGGGGCGTAGGGCGGGGCTCCCCTCCCCTCGTGGGTGGGCGTGGTCCTCAGGGGCGTAGGGCGGGGCTCCCCTCCCCTCGTGGGTGGGCGTGGTCCTCAGGGGCGTAGGGCGGGGCTCCCCCTCCCCTCGTGGGTGGGCGTGGTCCTCAGGGGCGTAGGGCGGGGCTCCCCCTCCCCTCGTGGGTGGGCGTGGTCCTCAGGGGCGTAGGGCGGGGCTCCCCTCCCCTCGTGGGTGGGCGTGGTCCTCAGGGGCGTAGGGCGGGGCTCTCCTCCCCTCGTGGGTGGGCGTGGTCCTCAGGGGCGTAGGGCGGGGCTCCCCTCCCCTCGTGGGTGGGCGTGGTCCTCAGGGGCGTAGGGCGGGGCTCCCCTCCCCTCGTGAGTGGGCGTGGTCCTCAGGTTGGTAAGGCGGGGCTCCCCTCCCCTCGTGGGTGGGCGTGGTCCTTAGGGGCGTAGGGTGGGGCTCCCCCTCCCCTCCCGAGTGGGCGTGGTCGTCAGGGCGCGGGGTGGGGCTCCCCCTCACCTCCCTTCCCTCCCTACCCTCCCCTCCCCTTCCCTCCTCCCCTCCCTTCCCTTCCCCTCCCCTCCCTTCTCCTTCCCCTCCCTCTCCCTTCCTGGGCAGGCTCCCGTGTCCTCAGTATGCATCAGGTCTCCCGAACCTCACAGCCCCGCAGGGAGGAGGAGAAGGGGAGGATTTGACTTTGGAAGTCTCTGTGACCAGGTGAGGACCGCAAGCGTAAAGGTGGTGGCAGAGTGGTCGGGGACAGGCCTCACCCACAAACATGTGGCCCCTGGATGAGCCCAGCTCTCAGCTGCTTCGTGGGACTGCAGCTGGACGCCCAGGCCCGCGCCTGCAGCAGGCGATGTGGGGCTCAGCAGAGAGCTCCAGGCTGGGCCTCTTGGTGGCGGTGATGACGGAAGTGGTGTCACGCATGCAGCAGTTTGGGTCGCGGCTTTCCGTCCCCACTGAGGGAAACTCGTGCCTGCTGCTCCCCTGGTGAAAGGTGTGGGGAGCGAAGTCCCAGTAGTGGGGTGCACCTGGCCACCCTGAGTCCCCACCAGCCTCCGCACGCGGAGCGGCCCTGCTCTCTTGCCTCAAGCACAGAAGCAAATCACCAGGCTCTGCCTGCCGTCGTGCGGTGACATCGGGGGTCACCTCCCCGAAGGCGCAGGTCTGGTGGGCGAGCAGAGCGGCTGCGGCAGCTGTCAAGGCAGGGCCTCTGCCAGCCACTGTGGCCTGGCATTGTGCCCACCCTGTGAGGGTAGGGTGGGGCCCCTGCCGCGTGCTGCCTCCGCCCCTGCCCCGTGCTGCCTCCGCCCCTGCCCCGTGCTGCCTCAGGCTCTGGGAGACACAGCCTCAGGAGACACCGTGGAAGCCGCGCCGGCCCCACAAGTGAATGGGGAGGAAGGGGTGTGAGCATACAGCCCAGACTCTAAACTGGGCCCAAGGGTCGCGCTGTGAGCCGCAGAGGGTCCAGGTGCCCAGAGCCTGCCCATCCTCATCCCACCCGGCAGCTCTGCCTTCGCGGGCTCCTCCTGCTCCTTCCGCTTTCACAGAAGACAGACAGCTCGGGGATCCTGCCTCTCTGCAGCTTTATGGACCCTCCTCAGTCCTCACTGCAGGAGGAGAGGAGGGGGTGTTGGGCACAGAGAGAAGCCAGTGCGGGGGAGCCGGGGGCTTTTGAAAAGGTGGGCTTGTCCCAGTGCACGCAGACACTGGATTGCTGACCGTGCCCTGCACATGGGAGCCTGGGACCCCGTGAGCCCAAGAGGCTCCTGCCACCCAGGCCTCAGGGCCTGCACTGTCCTCCCTGGGGGCGGCTGTCAGAGCTCAGCCAAGGATGAAAGGCATGGAAGAGTTTCAGGTGTTAATTAATCGCGTTTTCTCTTGTAGAAGCCAAAGATGTTGACCAGGAAGATCAAGCTGTGGGACATCAACGCCCACATCACCTGCCGCCTGTGCAGCGGGTACCTCATCGACGCCACCACGGTGACCGAGTGTCTGCACACCTGTACGTGCCCTGCCCGCGCCACCCAGGGAGGGCGCGCCCTTCCCAGCTCTGTGCTCTTCAGAACCTTGGCTTTTGTGTTACCACACGCTTTTAGCTCAAGCCCGACAAAAGCAGGAACCAGGACCAGGGGCAGAGACGATCTTGAAGATAAGTCAGAAAAGTCATTTCACGCTAAAGGTCCTGTGGGTGGTGTCAGAGCAGATGAGGCCTCGCTTAGGAGAGCGAAACACAGGAGAGACCCCACATTCCTCCCACGGAGCAGCAAGGCCAGTAGCCGCTGTGACAGTGCTCACTGCTGGCAGTTTCCAAATCTCCAGAGGAGTTCCTTAGATCCTTCAAAGGGGAACCTTCCAGTGTGTTCTTCACACCTGATGTGCGTCCTCACACCTGATGAGTCTGTGCTTTGGTGTTAGAGGACTCACACCTGGGGCTGGACCTGAGTGTTTTTCTAAGTGTGGCTACCGCTGACGGGCAGGTGCCATCCATCAGGCTGAGGCTCGGCTCTTATGCTAACCTGAGGCCCCATGGCTGGCGGCCCTGCTGGTGTGGACGACCGCTGTGTGCGTCTCTTGATGGCTGGGGAGCATTTTGTTTAAACAGGATCTTTAAAATGAAGTGTACGCTTATAATACAAGTGATGCTTGTGTATTTCTCACTTTAGGAAATAAAATATTTGCCAATTTGATAGAATTTTGACTTTAACGTTAATCGTATTTTTAGATATTGGTTAGCATATTTTATGTTAGGTTATTTTCATTTGATTTTATCTAGTTGTACGTAGAAGATACTGTCATCTTTTAGGACAAAGTATTGTAAAATTATCTGTTTTAGCCCATGTTCTGATGACCCACAGCTCTGTCACCTTTGAGCATCATCTCCCCATTCTAAGTTTTTTTCCCACTTAATTCCTAACCCTGCCTCTTTGAGGAAGCCCATTGACGGGGCAATTAAAACCTTCTCATTGCTCCTGAGACCAGAACGGCAAGATGTTTCCTTTCAGAAGCTGAGAGCCACAAGGAGGACAGCAGTGAGCATCTGCACAGAAACGAGCTCAGAGACGCCCGTGTTCAGTGGAGCACGCCGATGGGGTGGGCGCCCTGGCTCTAGACGCTCTCCTAACACACCTGTGCTTTGATGACAGTCTGCAGGAGCTGCCTGGTGAAGTACCTGGAGGAGAACAACACCTGCCCCACCTGCAGGATTGTGATCCACCAGAGCCACCCCCTGCAGTACATCGGGTGAGTGTGGGCCTTCCCAGGCCACAGTACGTGGGGTGAGTGCCCCTGGGCGTCTCTGTGTGTGGGCCTTCCCAGGCCATTAGCGCTGTACTCCCATCCTGCCTTGGCAGCAGCCTCTCCTGACCAAGGGCACCCCAGGAGCTGCACACGAAGAACCTGGGTCCAGCGCTCACCAGGCCATCCTGCCAGGCCTGCCCAGGCTGTGCCTGCACATACATTTCCATCAATACTTAGGTAGGCCGGGCGCAGGGGCTCATGCCTATAATCCCAGCACTTTGGGAGGCCGACACAGGCAGATCACCTGAGGTCAGGAGTTTGAGACCAGCCTGACCAACGTGGAGAAACCCCATCTCTACTAAAAGTACAAAATTAGCTGGGTATGGTGGTGCATGCCTATAATCCCATCTACTCAGGAGGCTGAGGCAGGAGAATCACTTGAACCCAGGAGGCCGAGGTTGCAGTAAGCGGAGATTGCGCCGTTGCACTCCAGCCTGGCGACAGAGCGAGACTCTGTCTCAAAGAGAAAGAAAAAATACTTAGTCAAGTTAAATTGTTGGAGAGCCCTCAAGACCAAGTTGAATCTCATGAGTTTTACGCAGAATTTGCTGAAGTTAAATTTGATGTGAGCCGGCCCTTGGATACCCCTTTCACCTTTCTGCCATGGAGCAGATGGTCCTGGGGCCCTGGCCCTGCTGCCCCTGACACATGGCCAAGGTCTTTCTCCCTGCGCTGTGCTCTTCTGCCCAGGGTCACAGCGAGCCTGGACTCACCCCTGGGCCAGCCACCATTTCTGGAGAAGGCAACTCTTGCCTGGACGTCAGCAGGAGGCCAAGGGGCCAGCCAGGTGGAGCGTGTGGTTCTCACACAGATTTGGGAGGTCGTTCAGATTTGGGGGGTTGCTCCAAAGGAAGGGAAATGCTCCCCGTACCATGAGGGTAGTAGAGATAATTCTGAAGACACATTTTGAAGGAGGAAAGGCAGATGTGTTTGTTTTTCCCTTTTATTATTATTATTTTTCTTAATTTTATTTATTTTTCTTGAGATGGAGTCTTGCTCTGTCGCCAGGCTGGAGTGCAATGGCGCCATCTCAGCTCACCGCAACCTCCACCTCCCGGGTTCAAGTGATTCTCCTGCCTCAGCCTCCCGAGTAGCTGGAATTACAGGCGCATGTCACCACGCCCAGCTAATTTTTGTATTTTTAGTAGAGATAGGGTTTCACCATGTTGGCCAGGCTGGTTTCAAACTCCTGATCTCAGGTCATCTGCCCGCCTCAGTCTCCCCAAATGCTAGGATTACAGGTGTGAGCCACCACACCCGGCCCTCACAGACTTTTCTTTACATTATTTGGAAACATTCTAGAAAAGCCTCTGTTCATTGGAAATCCCACAAAGACCAGGAGACCCCAGGAAGCACTTGGTGGGAGGGGCAGGGACAGTGTCCCCTGAGCGCATAGGATGCAGGGAACCCGGGGTGTCCGCAGGGACGGTGTCCCCTGAGCGCATAGGATGCAGGGAACCTGGGGTGTCCGCAGGGACGGTGTCCCCTGAGCGCACAGGATGCAGGGAACCTGGGGTGTCCGCAGGGACGGTGTCCCCTGAGCACACAGGATGCAGGGAACCCGTGGTGTCCACAGGGACGGTGTCTCCTGAGCGCACAGGATGCAGGGAACCCGGGGTGTCCGCAGGGACGGTGTCCCCTGAGCGCACGGGACGCGGGGAACCCGGGGTGTCCGCAGGGACGGTGTCCCCTGAGCGCACGGGACGCGGGAAACCTGGGGTGTCTGCAGGGACAGTGTCGCGGGGAACCTGGGGTGTCTGCAGGGGCGGTGTCCCCTGAGCGCACGGGACGCGGGGAACCTGGGGTGTCTGCAGGGACGGTGTCCCCTGAGCGCACGGGACGCGGGGAACCTGGGGTGTCTGCAGGGACGGTGTCCCCTGAGCGCACGGGACGCGGGGAACCTGGGGTGTCTGCAGGGACGGTGTCCCCTGAGCGCACGGGACGCGGGGAACCTGGGGTGTCTGCAGGGACGGTGTCCCCTGAGCGCACGGGACGCGGGGAACCTGGGGTGTCTGCAGGGACGGTGTCCCCTGAGCGCACGGGACGCGGGGAACCTGGGGTGTCTGCAGGGACGGTGTCCCCTGAGCGCACGGGACGTGGGGAATCTGGGGTGTCCGGCAGACAGAAGCACGGGTTCCCAGAAGAGCCTTCTCTGTCATTATTTGAAATGTTTGAAGCAGCCAGAGCCCAAGTTAAATGACGCGTTAATTCAGCTCATACATGGCTTTTGGTGACACATTTTTTCATGTGTAAACTAGAAGTAAAATTCCAACAAAGCTCCAGACTGGTGATTCTGAACTTTGATATTGTTAAATGGAAAGTGTACAAGAATTATAGAATTAACATTTCCAGCTAACTCCACCTTTCTGTTCTTTTGCCAGTCATGACAGAACCATGCAAGATATTGTTTACAAATTGGTACCAGGCCTCCAAGAAGGTGAGTGTCTGACTGTCTTGCTGATCCCTGAGGTCCCAGCCTGGCCTCTGCAGCCCCTGCTCTCCTGGAAGTTTGGTTCTCGGATGGGAGGCCCCTTTCCTTTTGGCCGAATCACCGTCTTCTCATCCCTGCTCTCAGCCCAACTTCATCTCCTTGGCTGGTCTCTTCTTTCGTCTAAGATGCGTAGACATCTTTTTACCCCTTATGTGTATTCATTCAGCAAGTATGGATCGCATGTTTAGCACATGGGACCCCCAGGGCTCAACGCAGCTCCTGCCCCTCCCAGGACCCTGCCTTCTTCCTGGGCCCCACCTCCTGTCCCAGGCCTGCCTCCCCTCATCCCACAGCGCCAGCTTCCCCACAACAGAGGAGCAGCACGTTGGCATAGCGGGTAGCTGGTGTTTCTAGAAAAACTTCACCATAAAGTCAAATTTCATTTAGAATTAAAAGAAATACCAAGTAGTACAAATACCCTGAAAGTGGAAATCGGTTGCTTGGGGATCGCTCAGCTGAAAGCTCCCCAGCTCCCGACACTCTCACGGTGGTGGCCCTCCGCTGGCGACCGGCAAGGAGGCCAAGGAGGGGCCAGGTCAGCGCCAGGTGGGCTGTCCTGGTATTCTGCTCATCAGACCTTTCAAAGGCAGATAGAGAAGCTGAGAATTCACTTGGGCTGGTTCTCACTGTATCTCAGAAGAGGGTTGGAATTCAAAACACAGCTGAATATGCCAGATCCGTAGAAACCGTATCTCGCCTTTAATGCGTGACCCAGAGAATCATACTGTTAGAGGCTTCTTCCCTACTCACAGAGTTCATTCATGCAGGAAGAATTTAGATTTCCTGAGTAAACGTAGATAGAAACAATTAGTCTTTTAATATCTGAAAGTTTTTTAGTCCTGAGAAAAGGCAAAGGATACATTCGAGTTAAATGCTGACACCTTAAGAAACGTTTGCACCGAGTGTTTCAGACGCGTAGCAGTGGGCGGGATCGGGGCGGGACCCCAAGTTTTGTGACCCCCGCCAGTGCTGACACTTTAAGAAACGTTTGTGGCCGGGTGCAGTGGCTCACGCCTGTAATCCCAGCACTTTGGGAGGCCGAGGCGGGTGGATCATCAGGTCAAGAGTTTGAGACCAGCCAGACCAACATAGTGAAACCCTGTCTCTACCAAAAATACAAAAAAAAAAAAAAAATTAGTCGGGCGTGGTGTCAGGTGCCTGTAATCCCAGCTACTCAGCAGGCTGAGGCAGGAGAATCGCTTGAACCCGGGAGGCAGAGGTTGCAGTGAGCTGAGATCGCGCCACTGCACTCCAGGCTGGGCGACAGAGCAAGACTCCGTCTCAAAAAAATAAATAAATAAATAAAGTGTGCACTGGAGCGTTTCAAACGCTTAGCAGTGGGCGGGATCGGGGCAGGAACCTCGAGTTTTGTGACCACCACCCCCCGCCAGCAGTTTCTAGGCGTGGCCGTCCTTGCTGCACCTGCTGCTCCCTCAGCCTCACCCCGTGGCCTTTGATCTGTAAAGGCTGCAGTACGTATCCCCAAAAGATAAGGGTTCTTCTTAAAGCTCATAACCACAATACCTTGATAATGTTTAGGAAAATAGTAGAGATTCCTTAATACCAAATAGCCACTCAGTGCTGACATTTCTAGTTGTCTCATAAATGCGGTGCTTTTTGGTTGTTGTTTATTTCTTTATTTATTTTGAGACCTGGTCTCTGCTGCCCAGGCTGGAGTTCAGTGGTGCTATCACAGCTCACTGTAGCCTCAACCTCCCGGGCTCCAGTGATTCTCCCACCTCAGCCTGCCAGGTAGCTGGAACTACAGGCAAGCACCTCCATCCTGGCTAATTTTTTGTAGGGATAGGGTTTTGCTGTGTTGCCCAGGCTGGTCTTGAACTCCTGGGCTCAAGCAGTCCTCCTGCCTTGGCCTCCCAAAGTGCTGGGATTACAGGTGTGAGCCCCCACACCCAGCCTGTTTTTGTTTATTCCAATCAGGATCCAGAGAATACCACTGACTCACGGGCCTCCTTCTGGTTCCTGCCTCTGCCTTCCCATTGTCCTGGGTTGTCCTGCGGCAGTGGACCTGGGTGCGTTCCACCCGTGTTTTTGGGAAGCCCGCTTCTGGGCATCCATCAGGGCAGGTGTCGTCCATGTGCTGAGCCGGGTGGCACTGAGATCTGCATGCCACCTCCGTTCCATCGCTCGTCTCCACGTGTTAGTTGGAGTGTGCGTCCAGCCTGGAGCAGGTTGTATGTTCTCGTCCACCTCAGCACGCTCTTGTCCGGTGTGGACGCTGCCAACTCCACTCTACGTTGAAGAAGTCGAGAGGCAAGAGGTTCCGGAGTGCTCCAGATTGACACCCCCAGGGCACGGTGGCCCCGAGCCGCCTCCCTGACCAGCTCCTGTCTCTGGCCACCATATTTTCCGTTGAGTCAATATTCTTTTTCTTGTTGTTTCTCAAGCTTTCAGTCATTTGTGGCTCTTTAGCAGGAGGATTCTAACTTTAAAACTATTAGCAGTGCACCTATTTTCTTGATGGAGGCTACTTGCAATTTGTTTAGTTTTATCTGTGGTGCAGACAATTGCAAACCTCATTTCTCCGACCAGAGGCCTCTTCCTGAAACGCGCGTTAGCTGCGAGGATGCAGTGGTGAGGCGAGGTGTCAGCCCTTGAGGGTCCAGGTGTCTGTTTTGGAGGAGACGCCAACACGGTCCTGCCCCTCCCACCTGGACTCCGGGCAGGCCCTCAACGCTGTCCCCGCACCCCCACATGGTGGGGGCTTGCTGGAAGAGAGTTCCCTGCTAGATCAGAGGTGGGGTTAGGTTTTTAGTGGTTTGTTGTTTCTTTTTGTTTTTATAAATTATTTTAGAAACCTGTCTTCGTAGAGGCAACATGTTTAAAACATTTATCAAAGTGTCCATTCTCAGTCTCAGCCCACTCTGGGCTCTTTCACTCGGTGGGCGTGTCATGGTCTTTGGTGTGCCAGGCTCCTGTCCGTTCCTGGTGAGGGCTGTGGGGCTCACGCACTCACCAGTCCTCTTTCCATGGATCCTGAACATGCCTGTCACCTCTTGCTTTAGAAACGTGGGGGCCGGACACAGTGTCTCATGCCTGTAACCCTAGCACTGTGGGAGGCCGAGGCAGGAGGATCCCATGAGCTAAGAATGTTTCTTTACATTTTTAAATAGTTGGAAAAAATCAAAAGCAGCGTATTTTATGATGTGATAATTTAAGAATTGAAATTTCATGGTGCGTAGCCTGGTTGGAACCAGCCCCACTGGCTCAGCTGTGGTCGCCTTCACCCGTAAGCCCGTCCGTGGTGCAGCTGAGTGTGTGCCAGGAGTGTGCTGCCTGCCTGCCGGTGGCTTTGGGCAGCCCTCTGCACCGTGGCTGGAACTCATCGTCACTGCATTGGGACGTTTTCATGACGACGTCAGAACGAGGAAAGGAGAAAAGGGGACTTTCAGGGCTGCACTTCGAAGCCGCAGTGAACTCTGGATTATTTTGTTGTTGAACTGTCATTGTTGATGGCAAAGCACCGACTTTCTCATCCGTCATACTGTAGCTATGCTGAGAGCAAACAGCCGACGATGGAGTCACTGACTCAACACCAGCAATATCCCCACTCACAGGAAAGCAGTATTTAGACACCAGCAATATTCCCTACTCACAGGAAAGCAGTGTTTACAAAATGCTGAAAATTTAAAATGGAATGTCTCATCACAGCAGAATTTCTTCTCAGAAGTGAAAATGAAGATATGGCTGTAGTCAGAATAAGCTTCCAATTGGCTGATTCGTTAGCGTTATGCCAACAGTGAGCTCCTCAGATCAGGCTGGACTGCCGCAGCTCAAGAGCAATGTCCAGAGACAGTGAGCTCTTATTTATTTATTTATTCAATCATTTTTGAGACGGAGTTTTGCTCTTGTTGCCCAGGCTGAGTGCAGTGGCACGATCTCAGCTCACTGCAACCTCCGCCTCCCAGGTTCACACAGTTGTCCTGTCTCAGCCTCCTGAGTAGCTGGGATTACAGGCAGGTGCCACCATGCCTGGCTAATTTTTTGTATTTTTAGTAGAGACGGGGGTTTCACCATGTTGGCCAGGCTGGTCTCGAACTCCTGACCTCATGATCCGCCCGCCTCAGCCTCCCACAGTGCTGGGATGACAGGTGTGAGCCACCGCGCCCGGCCCCAATAAATGTTTCAGTGCCTGTATACACCTGACACTGAGTGCTGCTATTTTTAATCCTTCTTTATTCTTACAGGTGAAAATTAAAGAAATGGGAACTAGAGCCAAGGGTCAGGGTCTGAAGCTGAGTTGCTTTCCACTGTGTCCGTGGGGCTCTCTCCTTTGCACGGACCTATGTGGCCTGTTGTTCCCGTCACGGCTCTTCTGCAGACTGATGGGAACAGCCTCCTGCTGTCAGCCCCTGTCTTGCAGGCCTCCATTCCAGCTGCTGGGATGTGATTATTTAAGGGAAACATTTTCTTTCAAGCTGCTCTCAGATTCTCCAGGCTAATCTTTCAGCATTTCCCTTGTGAGGCTCCAGCACTCCATCCACCTGCGGCCGGCCCCACCTATCCCCTTGGCTCTCAGGGTCCCCTCCTCTCTCTGCCCAGGCTCTCGGGGTCCCCTCCTCTCTCTCTCCCCAGGCTCTCGGGGTCCCCTCCTCTCTCTGCCCAGGCTCTCAGGGTCCCCTCCTCTCTCCCCAGGCTCTCGGGGTCCCCTCCTCTCTCTGCCCAGGCTCACGGGGCATCCTCCTCTCTGTCCAAGCTCGTTGCCTCACGCGGGCATTGGTCCCTGCACGGTTGGTGTTTGTGAGGCAGCTGTGTAGGTTGGGGTATGCCCAGAGCGTTTCCCTGGCCTGGCCGAGCTCATGGTATGTAGGGAGGAAATCGTGGATAAAAAGTTTGGTGAAGAATTCCTTGGTCACGTAGCACATACGTTACTTTTCAGAGTGATGTCTGGGTTGCGGTTTGAGCAGCTTTTTTCTAACCTTTCTTTGCTACCTACTGTGTGTTCCCGAGCAGTGACCCACGTCGTCCACTGTGTCCCCTGGGTGTGAACTAAGGTCACCCTTAGGGGGCCTTTGCCGAGAGTCTGTTTGCTTTTCCCTGGAACCTGCGAGGTTCTGGCCAGCTCTTGCTGGCCATCCCTGGAGGGTCAGGCCTCCTCTGGTCCGGCCAGAGGTGACCCAATGGCAGGTGTGGGTGAGGATGCTGCGGCCCGTCTGCCGCCGGGCAGTCTCCTCCCTGGAATTTGTGCCTGTGGCTGTGGCCACAGACACCAGGGGGCGCTCTTAACCCACTGCCAGGCAACGGGGTGCCAGAGCTCATAGCTGTGAGCAGCCCTCCCTGCAGGCTGTGGACTCAGGCGCCTGGGACACATGGTCCCCGGGGCTCTCGGGCCCTCGAGGGCTCTCTTGGGGTTCCTCAGTGGTGGCCTTGGGTACCTGTGAGCCGGCAGGATCTGCCACTGCGCAGGAGCGTGGGGGGAACCCAGTGGCAGGTTCATCTCTGAGCTGCGGGTGTCCAGGCAGTCCACTGGCTCAGCCGTGAGGTCAGCAATGATGTCTGGCATGGCACTGCTGTGGCCACAGTGTTTATCAACCCCTGGTGACGGGTGGTTCTGCGCCATTGGACACTCACAGGCAGTGGCTGAGGTGGGGATGACAGTCCCGCACCTGGGTTTCCCAGGCCCCGTGCCTGTCCTAGGCCTGGAGCAGCCGGTCTGCGACTCAACGTCCCACGTGGGTTGGTGGGGCGGGTGCCCGGGGGGTGCGCTTCCCGCTGTGCTGAGCCCCCAAAACATCTCAGTCTTAATTTGCTGCTTTCTTATTAGTAGCCTTCAAACTTCATAATGCAAATCCCTAATTTTCTTTATGTGATGTTTATGAACAGAAGTTTAATAGAATCCACTGCCTGTGAGATGAAAGACTGTGTGTTGATTTTCCGCAGCGGAAATGAGAAAGCAGAGGGAGTTCTATCACAAATTGGGCATGGAGGTGCCGGGAGACATCAAGGGGGAGACCTGCTCTGCAAAACAGCACTTAGATTCCCATCGGAATGGTGAGTGCCCTGCGTGCCCATCCAGAAGCCCCGGGAATCCCCTGCATGAGGCCTTTTCTTAAAGAGCTGGCGCTGTCTGCCGGCCCCTCCCACACGCACTCACGGGAGAACGTGGGGGAACCTGAGGGTGTGGGGCGGTTAGGGTTCAAGGCGTTCCTCCTCACTCCTGGTACCAGTGGGAACGTGGGCAGAGGGGAAAAGCCAGCAGGGGAGAGCAGGAGGGCCCCCCGAGAGTGTCTGGGGGGCAGAGGTCAGGGTTCAGAAGGCCTGTGGAAAGAGTAGTGGAAGGTGAACTTCCTGAGACTTCACTTGGCTTGCTTTACTGTAAAATGGCAAAATAATGGTTTGGTTTCTGTGTAAAGGGAATGGTATGTTGAAATCTGAGGGTATCACAACAAACGTTCATGTCTTGAGGACATTTTATTTTCCTAATGGACCACACCAACTCTTAGGAAATGTTTAGGCTCCTCCGGGCGTCTGTGACAGTTGGAGGGTGGGAGGGGCCTGGCTCTGTCACCCCCACGGCTTTGCGGGTCCCAGGAAGCACAGCCATGAGGCGTGGTTAGGAAGCGAGTCTGGGAACCAAGCAGTCCTGTCAGAACCCTTTTACCTGAGGGGAAGTTTTCATTTTAAAAGCGGTGTTGAAACAGTGGATTTTTAGGAGAAGGCTTTCAGATCGAGGGGCTGATGTGGTCAGCACTGAGCAGCTCCGGGCGGGCCTGGCCATGTGGCCAGTGCGGAGCGTGTCTGTGTCCCACGCCGGCTCCGGCTGCCCCGTCTCTGTCTCCTGTGCTCCCCACGCCTGCACCCCACAGGCCCACACGCCCGTTCTGCATCCTGGGGAGACCCCTGCAGACACTTTGCGGACGGCTTTCCTTTGACGCTTACTCCGCTCCGGGGGTCCAGAGTCTCTTAATGGAGTGAATTTTTGACGGCATTTGGAGTACAGTGTAGTTTTTTAAATGGCTTGACAGTTTGGATTTCATGGTGCGCTATGTTCTGTTTGTGCTAAAAGGTGAAACCAAAGCAGACGACAGTTCAAACAAAGAGGCCGCGGAGGAGAAGCCGGAGGAGGACAACGACTACCACCGCAGCGACGAGCAGGTGGGCGGGGCCCGGGGGTCGCTGCAGTGTTAGTGTTCGCCGTGGAGGCGTGAGCAGGTGGGCGGGGCCCGGGGGTCGCTGCAGTGTTAGTGTTCGCCGTGGAGGCGTGAGCAGGTGGGCGGGGCCCGGGGGTCGCTGCAGTGTTAGTGTTCGCCGTGGAGGCGTGAGCAGGTGGGCGGGGCCCCGGGGTCGCTGCAGTGTTAGTGCTCGCCGTGGAGGCGTGAGCAGGTGGGCGGGGCCCGGGGGTCGCTGCAGTGTTAGTGCTCTCCGTGGAGGCGTGAGCAGGTGGGCGGGGCCCGGGGGTCGCTGCAGTGTTAGTGCTCTCCGTGGAGGCGTGAGCAGGTGGGCGGGGCCCCGGGGGTCGCTGCAGTGTTAGTGCTCGCCGTGGAGGCGTGAGCAGGTGGGCGGGGCCCCGGGGTCGCTGCAGTGTTAGTGCTCGCCGTGGAGGCGTGAGCAGGTGGGCGGGGCCCGGGGTCGCTGCAGTGTTAGTGCTCGCCGTGGAGGCGTGAGCAGGTGGGCGGGGCCCGGGGTCGCTGCAGTGTTAGTGCTCGCCGTGGAGGCGTGAGCAGGTGGGCGGGGCCCGGGGGTCGCTGCAGTGTTAGTGTTCGCCGTGGAGGCGTGAGCAGGTGGGCGGGGCCCGGGGGTCGCTGCAGTGTTAGTGCTCGCCGTGGAGGCGTGAGCAGGTGGGCGGGGCCCGGGGGTCGCTGCAGTGTTAGTGCTCTCCGTGGAGGCGTGAGCAGGTGGGCGGGGCCCGGGGGTCGCTGCAGTGTTAGTGCTCTCCGTGGAGGCGTGAGCAGGTGGGCGGGGCCCCGGGGTCGCTGCAGTGTTAGTGCTCGCCGTGGAGGCGTGAGCAGGTGGGCGGGGCCCGGGGGTCGCTGCAGTGTTAGTGCTCTCCGTGGAGGCGTGAGCAGGTGGGCGGGGCCCGGGGGTCGCTGCAGTGTTAGTGCTCTCCGTGGAGGCGTGAGCAGGTGGGCGGGGCCCGGGGGTCGCTGCAGTGTTAGTGCTCTCCGTGGAGGCGTGAGCAGGTGGGCGGGGCCCGGGGGTCGCTGCAGTGTTAGTGCTCGCCGTGGAGGCGTGAGCAGGTGGGCGGGGCCCCGGGGTCGCTGCAGTGTTAGTGTTCGCCGTGGAGGCGTGAGCAGGTGGGCGGGGCCCGGGGGTCGCTGCAGTGTTAGTGCTCTCCGTGGAGGCGTGAGCAGGTGGGCGGGGCCCGGGGGTCGCTGCAGTGTTAGTGCTCGCCGTGGAGGCGTGAGCAGGTGGGCGGGGCCCCGGGGTCGCTGCAGTGTTAGTGCTCGCCGTGGAGGCGTGAGCAGGTGGGCGGGGCCCGGGGGTCGCTGCAGTGTTAGTGCTCTCCGTGGAGGCGTGAGCAGGTGGGCGGGGCCCCGGGGTCGCTGCAGTGTTAGTGCTCTCCGTGGAGGCGTGAGCAGGTGGGCGGGGCCCGGGGGTCGCTGCAGTGTTAGTGCTCCCGTGGAGGCGTGAGCAGGTGGGCGGGGCCCGGGGGTCGCTGCAGTGTTAGTGCTCTCCGTGGAGGCGTGAGCAGGTGGGCGGGGCCCGGGGGTCGCTGCAGTGTTAGTGCTCTCCGTGGAGGCGTGAGCAGGTGGGCGGGGCCCGGGGGTCGCTGCAGTGTTAGTGCTCTCCGTGGAGGCGTGAGCAGGTGGGCGGGGCCCCGGGGGTCGCTGCAGTGTTAGTGCTCGCCGTGGAGGCGTGAGCAGGTGGGCGGGGCCCCGGGGTCGCTGCAGTGTTAGTGCTCGCCGTGGAGGCGTGAGCAGGTGGGCGGGGCCCGGGGTCGCTGCAGTGTTAGTGCTCGCCGTGGAGGCGTGAGCAGGTGGGCGGGGCCCGGGGTCGCTGCAGTGTTAGTGCTCGCCGTGGAGGCGTGAGCAGGTGGGCGGGGCCCGGGGGTCGCTGCAGTGTTAGTGCTCGCCGTGGAGGCGTGAGCAGGTGGGCGGGGCCCGGGGGTCGCTGCAGTGTTAGTGCTCGCCGTGGAGGCGTGAGCAGGTGGGCGGGGCCCGGGGGTCGCTGCAGTGTTAGTGCTCGCCGTGGAGGCGTGAGCAGGTGGGCGGGGCCCGGGGGTCGCTGCAGTGTTAGTGCTCGCCGTGGAGGCGTGAGCAGGTGGGCGGGGCCCGGGGGTCGCTGCAGTGTTAGTGCTCGCCGTGGAGGCGTGAGCAGGTGGGCGGGGCCCCGGGGGTCGCTGCAGTGTTAGTGTTCGCCGTGGAGGCGTGAGCAGGTGGGCGGGGCCCGGGGGTCGCTGCAGTGTTAGTGCTCGCCGTGGAGGCGTGAGCAGGTGGGCGGGGCCCGGGGTCGCTGCAGTGTTAGTGTTCGCCGTGGAGGCGTGAGCAGGTGGGCGGGGCCCGGGGGTCGCTGCAGTGTTAGTGCTCGCCGTGGAGGCGTGAGCAGGTGGGCGGGGCCCCGGGGTCGCTGCAGTGTTAGTGCTCGCCGTGGAGGCGTGAGCAGGTGGGCGGGGCCCCGGGGTCGCTGCAGTGTTAGTGCTCGCCGTGGAGGCGTGAGCAGGTGGGCGGGGCCCGGGGGTCGCTGCAGTGTTAGTGCTCGCCGTGGAGGCGTGAGCAGGTGGGCGGGGCCCCGGGGTCGCTGCAGTGTTAGTGCTCGCCGTGGAGGCGTGAGCAGGTGGGCGGGGCCCGGGGGTCGCTGCAGTGTTAGTGCTCTCCGTGGAGGCGTGAGCAGGTGGGCGGGGCCCGGGGGTCGCTGCAGTGTTAGTGCTCGCCGTGGAGGCGTGAGCAGGTGGGCGGGGCCCCGGGGGTCGCTGCAGTGTTAGTGTTCGCCGTGGAGGCGTGAGCAGGTGGGCGGGGCCCGGGGGTCGCTGCAGTGTTAGTGCTCGCCGTGGAGGCGTGAGCAGGTGGGCGGGGCCCGGGGTCGCTGCAGTGTTAGTGTTCGCCGTGGAGGCGTGAGCAGGTGGGCGGGGCCCGGGGGTCGCTGCAGTGTTAGTGCTCGCCGTGGAGGCGTGAGCAGGTGGGCGGGGCCCCGGGGTCGCTGCAGTGTTAGTGCTCGCCGTGGAGGCGTGAGCAGGTGGGCGGGGCCCCGGGCCTCCGGGACACTCCTGTATTAGTGCTCCTGTAATAGTGCAGTCCTGGGAGCACCGAGGGAGGGCTCACACCAGAAACCTTCCCTGGGGATGAAGGGAAGCAGTGACAGCCAGCACCCAAGGGCTGCTGTTTTCTTCCTCCCGACTTCTTCCTTTTTCTTTTTTTTTTTAATTACCAGAGGAACACGTGCTTAGGGTAAAGCATGGCAGATATAAAACATGGCAGGTCAGTGGCCGGCTCTGGCCTCAGCCCCATGGCCCACGTTTTGTGCCTTTTCCTCCGGGCGCGTCTCTGTGCTCCGTGAATGTTACGTGAAAGAAAGTAAAGCCTGGCAGTGTGTTGAAAGGAAAGTGAGAGTGAACGTCGAGGGCCTCTTCGTGTGTCATTTACTGTATTACCAGATGAAGACAGAAAAACTACACGGTCACAGAGATGCAGTAAAAGAATTTGATGAAATTCCATACCCACGTCTAGAGAACTTTTTTTTTTTTTTGAGATGGAGTTTTGCTCTTGTCTGCCAGGCTGGAATGCGGTGGCACCATCCCGGCTCACTGCAGCCTCTGCCTCCTGGGTTCAAGCGATTCTCCTGCCTCAGCCTCCCGAGTAGCTGGGACTACAGGCACCTGCCGCTCCGTCTGGTTAACTTTTGTATTTTTAGTAGTGACAGGGTTTCACCACGTTGGCCAGGCTGGTCTCGAACTTCTGGCCCGCCTCAGCCTCCCAAAGTGCTGGGGTTACAGGCATGAGCCACCGCGCCCAGCCAAGTAACGGAACCTTAATTTTTTAGTTTACATTTACACGTTGTTTAAAACGTTCAGTGAGCATTACAGAAATAGACACGTGTGTCCAACGTGGGATGTGATGG
Source organism: Homo sapiens (assembly GCF_000001405.40). Taxonomy (NCBI): domain Eukaryota; kingdom Metazoa; phylum Chordata; class Mammalia; order Primates; family Hominidae; genus Homo; species Homo sapiens. Next base: position 748,589 of record NC_000004.12, read on the forward strand.
CGTTGCCTTGTGGGTCAGTAGAGAAGAGCGGCCAGTTCAGAGAAGGGGTCCGGAGGGGCAGGAAGCGAGGAAATCACCTTCTTCTTTCATGACCCCGGTTTCACTGCCATGCCTGGTTTCCGATGTTGACGTACCTGGTGCTTCCTCTGTTGGTGGCTTGGCGGCTCTCCTGGAACCACGCTGTTTTTCTGTCTCTGGTGTTGGTCTCGTCTGCGCGGAGGCCCCTGGGTCTTTCCTGGTTGGCCTTTGTTAGGTACTTGTCCTTACAGCAGTTCCCCAGTGGTGAGGAACCCCCTGGGATCTCGTGGAAATTCAGTTTTGGGGTCTGCTGGGTGGGCTGGTGTTCCAGAGGGGTGCAGGCTGCTGCTCCCCTTTACTCTGGTGTGGTTTTCCATGGATCGATGTAAAGCTGTGTGTGATGTCCTCCTCCAGTTTAATCTCTGTTTTGCAGTTTTAAATTTATATCAGTGTTTACTTTTACTAATATTTACCTTTTCTTTTGATCCTTGACGTGCTAAAGATTTATTTGTTGCTTTCAAAAGGGCCAATTTTTTTAAATTGATCAAATATTGAATTTTGTTTTTTTCTTTTTTGAGATGAAGTTTTGCTCTTGTTGCCCAGGCTGGAGTGCAATGGCACGATCTCGGCTCACTGCAACCTCTGCCTCCCATGTTCAAGCGATTATCCTGCCTCAGCCTCCCAAGTAGCTGGGATTACAGGCATGCGCCACCACGCCTGGCTAATTTTGAATTTTTAGTAGAGATGGGGTTTCTCCATGTTGGTCAGGCTGATCTTGAACTCTTGACCTCGGGTGATCCACCCACCTCAGCCTCCCAAAGTTCTAGAATTACAGGCATGAGCCACCATGCCCTGCTGAATTTTCTTTCCTTTTTTTTTTTTTTTTTTTTTTTTGAGACAGTCTCACTTTGTCGCCAGGCTGGAGTGTGGAGTGCAGTGGCACAATCTTGGCTCACTGCAACCTCTGCCTCCTGGGTTCAAGCGATTCTCCTGCTTCAGCCTCCTAAGTAGCTGGGATTACAGGCACACCCCACCACACCCGGCTAATTTTTATATTTTTAGTAGAAATGGGGTTTCACCATGTTGGCCAGGCTGGTCTTGAACTCCTGACCTCGTGATCCACCTGCCTCGGCTTCCCAAAGTGTGAGTCACTGCACCCAGCCTTGCTGAATTTTCTTAAAACTTTTTTTTTTCTGACATCTTGAGTTAAAAGTCTTTTGTTATTCTTTGAGACGGGATCTGGCTCTCTCACCCAACCTGGAGTGCAATGGTGCAATCACAGCTCCCTGTACCCTCTGCCTCCTGGGCTCCTGCCCAAGCCTCCAGAGTAGCAGACACTGTTGGCAGATCACACCAGTTAACTTTTTTAATTTTTTGTAGAGATGGATGGAGTCTTGCTGTGTTGCCTAGGCCGGTCTGAACTCCTGGGCTGAAGCAGTCCACCTGCCTCAGTCTCCCAAAGTGCCAGGATTCCAGGCGTGAGCCCACGTGCCCGCCAAGTCTTTGTAAGCGCATTTCCGGCTGTGTTTCCTGTGTGCTCCTGGCTGCTCCCTGCGGACTTTGATGAATAATATTTTCACTGGCATTCATTTCTAAAGAAGCTGTAATTTCATCAGAGTTCCTTTTTAATCGAGAAGTTTGTTCTGAAACATTTGAGTAACGTGGCCTTTTTGGGTTCCATCCACTCCTCTTTCTAGTCTCCTTCCCGGGCGGTCAGGGAGTGTTGTCTACACGGATCTCTGCCTTGGGGGATTGAGATCTTCTTGCTTGTTCACTTGGGTGCAGATTTTCCAGGGGTCCTGGGGTGATTTTCCTTTGGCTGAGTTTGCTGGTTGGTGTGGTGGGTAAACAAGCGGACCCCGGGGGCCAGTTGCCCACGTCCTGCTCTGCCTTTAGCCAGGGTGTGGCCCTTCACAAGTGACCTACCTCTGCCTCAGTTTCTCTGTCTGTGGCGTGAGGTGGTGGTGAGATTGCCTCGAGGTTTTTATGAAGATTAAATGATTTCCTATTTGTGAGGCACTTTGAGGTGTTAAGTTGAATGAATGAGAAACAAGCAGGCAGCCTGGGAGATTGTGAACTCCGACATCCAAGTCCGGTCGTTTTTCTTGTGGATTCTTGTTTTCTCCGTGTCTCTGTAACCTCGCGGTGTTGCTTAGGAGCCGTGCTGCTGGCTATGCAGGCTGATGGTTCTTACGTAGTTTTGATGACTTGCACCTTTTGCCAGTGTGGATTCTTTTTTTTTCTTTTTTCCTGTTCAGTGTGTTTTCGCTCTAACCCCCGATTCTCTTGTACTAACATCGCTACAGTTGCTGTTGGTCTCTGCTTCCACCCTCCCTGTCATTTGTTTCAGCTGTGTTACGGAGGCCTTTGCTTTGCTTTTTTGCACACATCTCAGGTTCTCTTTGATAGGAGAGTTTAACCCGTTGTCTTTGTTGTGAGAATACATTTTTTCCCCTCTCCATGAGGGCTTGGATCCGGTTTTGGTGTCTTCTTTCTCTGCTCTAATGGTTTGGGAATTTTGCATTCTCTTTCTGTTCTTCTTGTGGCTGCCCTTAAACTTGGATTCCGTGTCCGTTTGTGGGATTATCCGCGTCTATAACTTCGTGATGAGTTCCTGATCTCCGTCTTCCAAAACTTGGGAAGTCATCCGAGGGTTTGTTCCAGATTGTTTTGGGTAATTTTAAAATTTTATTTCACACTAATTTTATTCTAGGAATCGCTTCTTCATCTTACTGAAGTTTTGATGCGACGTTATAGTTATTTAGGCTTAACGGGAGGTTGCATGGGTTTTGTGGCCGTTTCTGGTGTCTTCCTGGTGTGTTTGGATTTGTGCTTCGCCACGTCCGCACGTCACTTCTGAGCCCAGTGCGGTGGCCCCTGAGCTCCTGCCGGTCACGGGCTGTGTGTTGTCCCCCTCACACCAGAGACAGTCGTTTCTTCTCTTAACTCTTAAGCCCTCCTCAGTCACTCGGATGAACTGATTAAATTCTGTGCTTTTAATACTAAGCATTAAAAAAAAAAAAACATATGAGGGAAGCACCTGCCACCCAGGCCCATGTTTCTGCTCTCAGCCTTGTGCCCTCCCCCGGTGGCCCCTCCAAAGGGCATGAAGCTGTGGATGCTGTGCCTGTGCCTGGAGGCTCTGGCCCTCCCACCCCTGGCTGGGCTCCAGCTCTAGGTTTGTTCAGCAGCCAACTCAGAGCAGCCGAGGCTCAGGGTGGCATCAGCCGGCCGCGCTGGCTTCACAGCCGACCTCTTCTCCATCATCTGACGGGCGCAGGCCCCCTCGCTGCCACCCCCACTGGTGGGCACTCAGCCTCAAGGCACAGGCCTCCTGGGACTGGTGGCTCCTCTGAATCTTCCTGAGAGAGGCAAGTTTAGTCATCGCTGAGCAACGCAAAAGCGTGTCGGGTTTATTTACTCACAACGATGTCTTCTAAACCAAAAATACTTGACGGGGCCTTTCTTTCTGTTTTCCGAGGGAGGGGATGGGGATCCTCCTGGAAGATGGTGCCCCCTGCACAGGTGAATGGCGTTTCCCACACTTGACCTTGGGAGTTTGGAAACTGGCGAAGCCGCCTCTTCCACTGCCCTTGCTGTTCCCTCCTGAGGTCCCTGGTCGTTCTTTCTCCTCTCAGTTCTGCCTCCCGCAGTCCCTGCATCTGCCACCTTCTCTGTGTGACCCCATTCCTTTCACAGCCAGAAGCCTCTTGGTTAGCCTCAGGTGACTCATTTGCTTCACAGCTGTTTTTTGCTCTCATCTTTTTTTAAGTATAAGCCATCGGTCTGTTTAATTCCAGAACTCTCCTTTCTGGAGCCTGACTTCTTTGGGAGCAGCCGGCGGGTTTCATGGATGCACGGCCACAGCTGTTCCGCTCTTTTCCCCCAGCTGCTGCTTCCAGAGCCTGGCTTTGCGTGGGCATCCTGAGGCCTCCGGGGACCGGGCGGGCAAGGGTGGGGTTTGTGGATAAGGAGTGAGGTGGGGGACGGGCCTGCTGCCCTGAGCTGGGGTCCTGAGTGTCCGCTGGGACTCGGGGGTGGGGGGCCATGCAGTCTTGGGGATACAGGGGCTCTACATGGACTTCGACCCCTGTGTGTGCAGCCTCCTCCGGTTCCAGGCCCCCGGGGTCTTCCCACCAGACTGAGGCTGGGCAGACGGGAGGGGCCTGCGCGTGGCTGTGACCCCGCCAGGGCAACCCCAGAGATTCCCGCCGCCTTCAGGCCCCTGTCAGATCCAAACACTCGGCCTCCGCCCATCTTCGTTTTCAGAGCCTCGGGATTGCCAGTGCCCTCCTGGTGCCCGTCTGTCCAGGGCTCTTCTGAACACGTCCCTGATGAAACTCTTCTCTCACTTCAGTAGGCTTTGTCCTCTGTCGAACCACAAAGGTTTGTGTTTGAGATTAGCTCCATTACCTGGATAGTGGGAGACAGATCCCGGCCCTCACTGGAGGCCCCTCTGGGTGCTGATGGCTCACACACCTGAGCTGCCAGGTGGCCCAGGAGAGGGCATGGGCACCTTCTCTCCCAGAGCTGACAAGCCCCGGAGCAAATGGCAAGGAAGTTAGAACAGAACTTTAGAGCTTTTTTATTTTTCTGAGACAGGATCTTACTTTCTTGCCTAGGCTGGAGTATAGTGGTGCAATCTCAGCTCCCTGCAGCCTCGACCTCTTGGGCTCAAGTGCTTCTCCCAACTCAGCCTCCCGAGTAGGGACCACAGGTGTGAGCCACTGTACCTGGCCTAGAACTTAATGTTTAAGAAGACTCTTGGCCGGGTGCGGTGGCTCACGCCCGTAATCCCAGCATATTGGGAGGCCGAGGCAGGCGGATCACAAGGTCAGGAGATCAAGACCATCCTGGCTAGCACAGTGAAACCCCATCTCTACTAAAAATACAAAAAATTAGCTGGGCGTGGTCGTGGGCACCTGTACTCGGAGGCTGAGGCAGGATAATGGCGTAAACCCGGGAGGCAGAGCTTGCAGTGAGCCGAGATCACGCCACTGCACTCCAGCCTGGGCGACAGAGCGAGAGTCCGGTCTCAAAAAAAAAAAAAAGAAGACTGGACCAGGCACGGTGGCTCACGCCTGTAATCCCAGTACTTTGGGAGGCTGAGGCGGGCAGATTGCCTAAGCTCAGGAGTGCGAGACCAGCCTGGGCAACAAGGTGAAACCCCGTCTCTACTAAAATACAAAAAATTAGCCGGGCATGGTGGTGGGTGCCTGTAATCCCAGCTACTCGGAGGCTGAGGCATGAGAATCGCTTGAACTTGCAGTGAGCTGAGATCGAGGCACTGCACTCCAGCCTGGGTAACAAGAGCGAGACTCTGACCTTCTACGAACCCTACATTCAGCTTCCCTTGGAGCGAGCAGCTGCCCAGTGGACTTCAGGGGCGTTCTGGGTCCTGGCAGGAGTCGCCTCCGTCTTTGGTGGTCCTGGCACCCACAGACCCAGTGGGACTGCAGGGCTGGTGTGGTCTCTGCTCATCTTCGCTCGTGCAGAGTTAGGAAACCCTTACCGGGCCTGTTGACTTGGTGGGTGTGATGTCCCAGCACCAGAAACAGGGGAAATGGCTCCTATACCCTGAGCAGGCTGGGGGTTCTGGTGTGGGGTCCCTGCCGCCCTCCAGAGGCTCCAATGGCTCTTGTGTCTGGAGCTGGAAATGTGGTTTGTTTTCACTCCTCCGAGTTGTGCCTCCCTGGCCCACTGGCTCCTGTCCGCACCCTCGGGCACGCGCTGTGCTCTTGGGACTTCACACCCGAGAGCCGGTCACCTGCTCCTGCTGCACGCCTGCTGGAAGTGGGCTCTGCCTGCAAGGGCCTCGCAGCCGGCGTGGTGAGGGTTGGCTGGTGGGGAGCGGAGAGCCCACCCATCCAGGCCAGAGCCCCTGGAGGTAGAAGGGGCGGAGGGTAGAAAGAGCCTCTCCTGGACTGTAGAGGTGAGGCAGGAGGTAGTGAGCTGGGACCTGGTGCCAGGCTGCCCCACGTGCCGTGGGTGGTGAGTCCGGGGCAGAGTGAACGGGTAAGGCTGGAGGTGAGGTTGGGGACCTTGGGGGCCTGTGGCGAGAACTTGCTGTTCACCCAGAGGAGGGAGATGAGGCAGTTGGGATGTGAGATCGGGGTGTGCTGTGGGATGCAGCCTGGCGTGGCTTTATCCCCAGAGGGTTGCCACTTAGCGCAGCTGCTCTGCAGTGAGCTGCCTGCACGGCCAGGGTGGCCATGCGGAGACCAGGCAGGCGTCTGAGCCAGAGGCCCAGGCAGGTGGCGGTGCGGGTGCAGCACTGGGTTTGGGGCATATTTAAAAGGGAGGGAGCCTGCAGGATTCGCTGGTGATCCAGATGCAGATGGCAGATCTTGGGCTCTTTTTCACTTCCAGGTGGACAAGGAGCTCAGTGTTCCCAGGCAGGCCGATGTGTAGCCATAGACAGCGACAGGTCTTTCTGCAGTGCCCTCTTTACAATCAGAGTTGCATTTCGAGGTGTGTAACGTACCCGCTTGATGGTGACTGCTGTGTGCACACAGGCCCGCGTGGTGTCGCAGAGCACACGGCGTTGTGTGCGTGGCACGTGTTGTTACGCTGTGACTTTTTTACACTTAATTTCCCATCTAATACTGGAGACTTTTAGGTGGTGACCAGCCCATCACTCTTCTAAGACATTGCACTTGTCCCCCTGGGCAGGTGTGTTCCACGGTATCTGTGTTATTTCTGATTCCAGTCTCCTGTGTGTGGGGTGTCCAGCGACTCATCGCACGTCTCTGGGCTCCTCTGCGTGTGAGTTGCTTACTTGTTCTTTGCCCATCTCTGTCCTGGGAAGACTGACTTTTCCTTATGTGAGCTGCAGGGCTACCTCCTCCCTCGCCGCCCCACGCTCACTGCAGGGATCGTCTTTCCTTCTGCGGCTGTCGGCTTTCTTCGACCTATCATCATCCACAGTTTTAAAATTTGACATAATTAAATGTATCGGTATTTTCTTCTGAATCTTAAAAATGTTTCCCCATTCTAAGGTCATAAATACATTCTCTTACATTGTCTTGTAAAATATTTTAAAGGTTTGCTTTTTAGTTGGGTTGTAAGCCCCTGCAGTTGACCTTGTGTGTAGAATGGACAAGGTGGAGTTCAACTTTGCCAAGTTTCCACACTCTCAGGTCCCCCTGGGCTCTCTGCTCTGTTCCGCTGGTCTCTTGTCTCCCATTGTGCCAAAACAACAAGGAACTTACTGAATTGCAATGATTTATTTTACCATTAAGTTGTGGTCTTCTGGGAGAGTACATACCCCTCCTCATTTTTCTTCTTCAGAATTGTCCTTTTTTTTTTTTTTTTTTTTTTTTTTTTGGAGATGGAGTTTCCCTCTTGCCCAGGCTGGAGTGCAAGGCCTGATCTTGGCTCACCGCAACCTCCACCTCCCGGGTTCAAGCGATTCTTCTGTCTCAGCCTTACAGAGTAGCTGGGATTATAGGCACATGCCACCATACCCAGCTAATTTTTTGTATTTTTAGTAGAGACGGGGTTTCTCCATGTTGATCAGGCTGGTCTTGAACTCTTAACCTCAGGTGATTCACCCGCCTCAGCCTCCCAAAATGCTGGGATTACAGACGTGAGCCACCGCCGCACTTGGCTTTTTTTTTTTTGAGATGTAGTCTTATACTCTGTCGCCCAGGCTGGAGTGTGGGGGTGCAATCTCGGCTCACTGCAACCTCTACCTCCCTGGTTGAAGTGAGTCTCCCACCTCCGCCTCCTGAGTAGCTGGGATTACAGGCACGCACCACCATGCCCAGCTAATTTTTGTATTTTTATTACAGACGGGGTTTCACTATGTTGGCCCGTCTGGCCTCGAACTCCTGACCTCAAATGATCCACCCGCCTCAGCCTCCCAAAGTGCTGGGATTACAGGTGTAAGCCACTGCACCCGGCTCTTTTCTAAACTCTAGAGTTGAACATTCCTTTAGTTTCCAGCTTCATAATTTGGTTCTTATTAAAATAATTCTAGAATTTTCATGTTTTTTTTAACCAGCTTTCTAAATTGTGTTACATGCACATAAAATATGCCATTTTAACCATTTTCAGGTGTGTGGTTCAGTGGCCTTGGGTACAGACCCAGTGTTACACAGCCACCACCACCACCATCATCTCCAGAGCCTTTTTATCTTCCCAAACTGAAGCTCTGCCCCCATTAAACACTCACTCCCCACCCCGCTCCCCCAGCAGGGTTAGATCGCAGAGGGGCCTGCCGGGGGCTCTGAGGTGATGGAAACCATCTGAGACTGCCATGGCGATGATCGAGAAAGTCTGTGAATTTACGGAAAATTATTGCATTATATACATAAAAGAGGTGTGTGTAAACTGTGCCATAATAAAGCCTAAAAATTAGAAGCATGCTTGTAACTTAGTGTATTTAAATAGGTAATTCGTTCAGTCCTGAGGTTAGTATTATTGAAAAGGTTTAATTTTGTTCTCATCTCTGCCGCTGTCTGTAGTGACCTATAGAGAACCACTGTGATCACCTCCTGTATGTATGCAAATCTGAGCAAACGTAAACATATTTTCTTCTTGTTTTCCTTCCACAATCCCCCCCACTCCCACCCCCGCCCATGTGTGTCTGCGTTTTCCCGCAGGTGCATGCAGGCCCGCGTTCATCTGTGCAGCCCTTCCTGCTGCCCTGCGGGCCCCATGCACTGCAGACCCCGCTGCCTCAGACCTGTGCCTGCGTGGCTGGCACACCTGTTCCCTGAGTCGGAGACGGCGGCTGCCTGTTGAGGGCAGGGTGCGTCCGCTGCTTATAGAGACGTGAAGCCCACCATGGCCATTCTGTTGGCGTGCGTTTGTCACCAGCTGTGTTCCCGTATAGAAACGTTTCTCGTCTTTGGGGGGCTTCTTCCTCATTAAGCTCTATTTCTTAAAGTCCCATGACATACTAATCTAGCTATGCCAGCTTTCTGTTGGTGAATACTTGTGTGATATTTCTGTTCTTAAAATGTCTTAAATGTGACACTGTTTACAACGTAGAGCTAGGTTTTTTAAAAAAATCAAACTTTTTTAGCTGGCACGTTACCTTACACATTCCACGATTTTCCATGGAGGATGTGAGTTGGTTCCTGCTTTATTTTTTTATTTTGCTCTTTTCGTCAGTTTTTTCCTAATGCTTCCTTCCTCCCTGTTGTCTAGTGAATTAGTAACTTTCTTTAATCTCTTTCTTTCTTCCTCTGGTTTGCAAGGTATAAGCTCTACTTCTGTTATACTAGTGGTTACAAAATGTATAAACTATTTACATTTTTAGAAATCCAAAGTTGGCCCGGCGCGGTGGCTCACGCCTGTAATCCTAGCACTTTGGGAAGCCGAGGTGGGCAGATCACGAGGTCAGGAGATCAAGACCATTCTGGCCAACTTGGTGAAACCCCGTCTCTACTAAAATACAAAAAAATTAGCCGGGCATGATGGTGCGCGCCTGTAGTCCCAGCTACTCGGGAGGCTGAGGCAGCGGAATCGCTTGAACCCAGGAGGCGGAGGTTGCAGTGAGCCGAGATCGTGCCACGGCATCCAGCCTGGCTACAGAGGGAGACTCTGTCTCAAAAAAAAAAAAAAAAAAAAAAAAAAAGTCCAAAGTCACTGTAAGTCTGTGCCCCTCCCTGCACAAGCACCCCCACCGCGGCTCTCACCGGGCACCCCCTTTCTCCCTGCTTCTCACTTCTTCCGCCAAACTCCAGGTCTTTCTCCCCGCGCGGCCCCTCTCCCGAGTTCTTCTCGCTCCGGACTCCAGGTCTTTCTCCCCTCGAGGCCCCTCTCCGGAGTTCTTCTCCTTCCGGACTCCGGGTCTTTCTCCCCGCGCGGCCCCTCTCCCGAGTTCTTCTCCTTCCGGACTCCGGGTCTTTCTTCCCGTGCGGCCCCTCTCCCGAGCTCTTCTCGCTCCGGACTCTGGGTCTTTCTCCCCACGCGGCCCCTCTCCCGAGTTCTCCCTCCAGACTCCGGGTCTTTCCCCGCACGGCCCCTCCCCCGAGTTCTTCTCCATCCCGACTCCAGTTCTTTCTCCCCGCGCGGCCCCTCTCCCGAGTTCTTCTCCTTCCGGACTCCAGGTCTTTCTCCCCGCGCGGCCCCTCTCCCGAGTTCTTCTCCTTCCGGACTCCGGGTCTTTCTCCCCTCGCGGCCCCTCTCCCGAGCTCTTCTTGCTCCGGACTCCGGGTCTTTCTCCCCGCGCGGCCCCTCTCCCGAGCTCTTCTTGCTCCGGACTCCGGGTCTTTCTCCCCGCGCGGCCCCTCTCCCGAGTTCTTCTCCTTCCGGACTCCGGGTCTTTCTCCCCGCGCGGCCCCTCTCCCGAGTTGTTCTCCTTCCGGACTCCGGGTCTTTCTCCCCGCGCGGCCCCTCTCCCGAGCTCTTCTCGCTCCGGACTCCGGGTCTTTCTCCCCGCGCGGCCCCTCTCCCGAGTTGTTCTCCTTCCGGACTCCGGGTCTTTCTCCCCGCGCGGCCCCTCTCCCGAGTTGTTCTCCTTCCGGACTCCGGGTCTTTCTCCCCGCGCGGCCCCTCTCCCGAGTTCTTCTCCTTCCGGACTCCGGGTCTTTCTCCCCGCGCGGCCCCTCTCCCGAGTTCTTCTCCTTCCGGACTCCGGGTCTTTCTCCCCGCGCGGCCCCTCTCCCGAGTTGTTCTCCTTCCGGACTCCGGGTCTTTCTCCCCGCGCGGCCCCTCTCCCGAGCTCTTCTCGCTCCGGACTCCGGGTCTTTCTCCCCGCGCGGCCCCTCTCCCGAGTTGTTCTCCTTCCGGACTCCGGGTCTTTCTCCCCGCGCGGCCCCTCTCCCGAGTTGTTCTCCTTCCGGACTCCGGGTCTTTCTCCCCGCGCGGCCCCTCTCCCGAGTTCTTCTCCTTCCGGACTCCGGGTCTTTCTCCCCGCGCGGCCCCTCTCCCGAGTTCTTCTCCTTCCGGACTCCGGGTCTTTCTCCCCGCGCGGCCCCTCTCCCGAGTTGTTCTCCTTCCGGACTCCGGGTCTTTCTCCCCGCGCGGCCCCTCTCCCGAGTTCTTCTCCTTCCGGACTCCGGGTCTTTCTCCCCGCGCGGCCCCTCTCCCGAGTTCTTCTCCTTCCGGACTCCGGGTCTTTCTCCCCGCGCGGCCCCTCTCCCGAGTTCTTCTCCTTCCGGACTCTGGGTCTTTCTCCCCGCGCGGCCCCTCTCCCGAGTTCTTCTCCTTCCGGACTCCGGGTCTTTCTCCCCGCGCGGCCCCTCTCCCGAGTTGTTCTCCTTCCGGACTCCGGGTCTTTCTCCCCGCGCGGCCCCTCTCCCGAGTTGTTCTCCTTCCGGACTCCGGGTCTTTCTCCCCGCGCGGCCCCTCTCCCGAGTTCTTCTCCTTCCGGACTCCGGGTCTTTCTCCCCACGGCCTCTCTCCCGAGTTCTCTCTCCAGACTCCCGGATCTTCTTCCCGCTCACATTGTCCCTCTCCTGTGATGCTTGCAGGCGGCCTCGCTCCATCCCACCCCGGAGCAAGGATGTCTCTTGCTTTTTGCACAGAATCCACTTATCTCCCCAGTGGCTCTTGCGGGGCCTTTAATGGGCTGTGCTCAGTGACTGCACCGTGTCGGAGTGGGTATTTCTTGTATTTTGGATTCTTTTGCTTCCTGAATCTGAGGACTGCCCTTCACTGTTGTGGGAGATCCTTAGTCACTGTTTCTTAACACTTCCTTTCCTTTCTGTTCTTCCCTTTGGGGCTCCCGTCTTCTCCCCTTTCTCTTAGCCTTCCTTTTATTGTTTGAATTGGTGTGTTTATCTCTACTCCTGATGGGTAACTTCCTCAAGTGAATTTTTTTTTAGGACATTAATCTGTCCTCGGCTGAGAAGAATCTGTGGTTCAGCCATCCACTGAGATGTTAGTTTCCGTGAGTGTTTTTATTTTTAGAAATTGTATCTGATTACCTTCAATACTTGCCCGTCTGTACCCCTGGTGTCCTCCCTTTTGTATCTTTTGTAATTTTAGACATACATGTTTCAGTTAACCCCCTGTCCATTCTTCCACTGCATTTTTAGGCCCTAACTGTGCCGTTTGTTGCGGCTCCACCTGTAGAAGCGTTTGCCGTGAGCGTCGCCCTTCCTTGTCAGGCACATCTTGGGGGCCAAGCCGGCCGGGCCCTTGGGTGAAGCCTCGTCCTGGGCAGATTCCTTTTCGCACCGGGCAGGGAGCCCGTGGCTGCTGGGACTCCACAGTCCCCTTAACAGTCACTTTTTATCCTGCGGCCAAACTGCTGGTCACCTGGAAGGCAGCTGTGACCTTCCGCCTGTGGCCCTGCTCAAGGCTTCTCCCTACTGTCTTCCTGCAGTCGCTGCTGTCTCCCCGAGTGCATTCGCAGACACGGGGCCGCCCACTCCCCTTTGCGCCATGTTTGTCCGGACAGGCTTAGCTGGAGACCAAGAACCCAGTGCCTGCGATGGATAAGTAACTGTGGGATTAACTCTCAACTATTATGTTAATAACACAGAATTAACAGGGTGAGGTTATAGTTCACAAAATGGCAAGCAGACGATAAACAGGTTTTCAGATAAGGTATGTAAGATTCTTTTTCTGCAGTGTTGAAGTCAAAGCAGATGTCTGATCTCAAAAAGGTCAGCAGTCCTAGATTGAGGAATTAGTGAAATATGTCTAAGGAAGCCTCCAGAACCGTCCGGGGGAACCCTCCTGCTGCGCTCTCACCAGCGTCCTTTCCCGCAGGTGAGCATCTGCCTGGAGTGTAACAGCAGCAAACTGCGCGGGCTGAAGCGGAAGTGGATCCGCTGCTCAGCCCAGGCGACCGTCTTGCATCTGAAGAAGTTCATCGCCAAAAAACTCAACCTTTCATCCTTTAACGAGGTAACAGTTGATCCCTAAGTAGAAACCATAACAAGTCCTCTCTTATTTCTAAAGGTAACTCCAAGATTCTTTGCTTAGTTTTGTTTTGTTTTTAACAATTTTGGAGATTTTAACCAGAAAAAAATCCGTTTTGCCTGCTTCACCGGGGAGCGGGATAGGAGACAGCCCTAAGGGTTGTAGGATGCCCAGAGACAGGGAACGTGGAATGCTACTGTGAGTGGAAGAGAGAACTAGGGCGGGGATGATGAGACTGTTTTAAAATAGGATAAAGGTTTTCCTCAAAACGAGAAATTCTGTGCTTTAATTTCACAAGGGGAGACATGGGCGGATGCAGAGAGGGAGGACCCTTCCAGGCTGTGGTGTGTAAGGAGACGAAGGAGTGCTGGCATGAGGCGGCCTTGGCAGCGGGCGCACCATGAACATGCCAGTGTGGGTCCCTGTGAGCCCCCAAGGCAGTGACACCATGGGGATGCAGGCGCCAGCAGGGTCCAGCTTTGCATGGAGACAGAAGGCGCTGGCGGCTGTGGGCAGGAGCATGGGTCTGGTGTCGTTTTTGAAAATCGCTCAGGCTGTGCAGAAATGGACGCAGGAGAGGCCAGCGCCAGGAGTTGCAGGAGAGGCGGACTGTGGTGGGGGCGGTCAGGGTGGAGAAGTGGACAGACTTGAGATGCTGTCTGTAGCAGCAGTGGACTCAGTGGTGGCCCCAGAAGATAAGCCACATCCTAACCCCCAGAGCCTGCAAATGGGATCTTGTTTGGAAAAGGATCTTTGTAGATATAATTAAATAAAGGATTTTGGGATGAAATAATTCTGGAATATCTGGGTGGAGCCTAAATCCCATGACACAAGTGAGGCGGAGGAAGACTCGAGACAGGAGGCCCTGGTGAGGACAGAGCAGAGGACGGACTGGAGGCTGGAGGGAGGCAGCCTCGAGGCAAGCCAGGGAGCCCCTGGGCCACCAGCAGCTGGAAGCCAGGGCAGGCTCCCCGGCTGTGGTCCGAAAGCATCCCCCAGATTCATGTTGGAAATTCCATCCCCAGCAGGGCAGTGCTGGGAGTTAGGGCCTGGGGGAGGCGCTCAGGCCGAGGGCCCTGCCCCATGCACGGATTGATGCTGCTGTGAAAGGACTGGCCAGCATGTGTTCTCACTTCTGATCTTCCCCAACATGAGGATGCAGCAGAAGGCCTTCACAGGTGGCAACGTGGTGACCTTGAATGTCCCAGCTCCCAGAACTGTGCCGAAATCAATTTGTTCTTCATAAATCACCCAGTGTGTGGTGTTCTGTGGCAGCAGCACGGAATGGACTGTGCTTCTCCCCTGGAGCCTGCAGAGGGAGTGTGGCTGTTATGGACTCTGGAACTGAGTACATTTCTATTGTTTGAAGACACCACCTCGTGATAATTTCCACGGCAGCCGCAGGAGACTAATTCAGAGAAAGCCACAATAAGTTGCTGATGTATTTGGGTGGTGATGCAGAGAAAAGGAAGGGGTCAGGAATGACTGCAGGCCTGGGGCTGCTCGGTTTGGGGTGGGGGGTGGTGTCTCGGGACAGGCTGGCGTAGCTGCTGTGGTGGCACAGAGCAGAGGCTGTCAGGTCATGGGGGGCCAATGCCAGCCTTGAGTGTCCCACAGGTTGGCCGGGGATACGGACAGCACACCGGGGTTGGGGAGACTCACTGAGCACGGGCTGCCTGGAGATCATGGAGAAACCAAGTCAGGACACGGGGGGAAGGGAGAGAAGGAAATGGGGCAACGCTTTTTGCTAAGTTTCTATCGTTTTGTTTGCTTTTCTGTGTAGCGAAACAGAAAAGATGGATGGTAGCTGGGGACAGAGCAGGCCGAGGAAGTCCTTGGATTTTCATGTGGAGGTGTAGCGGGAAGCTGCCGGACAGTGGGGCTGCAGGGGGTGGGGAAGAGGTTGGCCATTTCCCAGCGCAGGGCTGGTTCCTCCAGGGAAGAGTGTGAGGTTTGCGCTGCTGCTGCGTTAACCGTGCCTCTGAGCCCCCAACCCAGCCACTCAGGCAGGTGGGGCTGCTTCAATTCATGCCTTCCCCAGGGAGGAATCTGAAGAACTGTCTACATGATCAGGGAAACGCAAGGAAAACTGCGTGGCACCACGCGTACCCCATAGAAGGGCCAGAATCCCAAGCACTGACAACACATTCGGGAAACGCCGGGAGCGCAGGTTCATTCCTGTGGGAAGTGGAACCCGCAGGCCCTGTGGAGAACAGCTTGGCAGCTGCTGACAACACGAAACACACTCTCGGCAAACCACCCAGCAGCCACACCTCGTCATTTACCCACTGGAAATCTCCTGCCCACACAAAAACCTGCACCCGGATGTTGATAGCATCTTTCTTCATAATTACCAAAACCTGGAAGCGACCAAGATGCCCTTCAGTAGATAAGTGGAAAAATAAACCGTGGTGCATCCATACTGGACTATTATCCAGTACTGAAAAGAAATGAGCAGTCGGGCCAAGAGCAGGCACATGGGAGAAACATCAAGTCCCTGTTACTAAGTAGAGAAGCCCCTCTGAAAAGGCTGTAGGCCGTGCGACTCCAGCTCTGCAGCATGGCGCACTGGAAAAGGCAGAACCATCCGGAGGCTGCAGGGGCTTGAGGAGGGTAGTAGGAGTGGGCGGGCACAGGGCTCCTGGGCGGCGATGCTGCTGTTTGTCCACCTGTGGCTGTGCCACCAGGGCGACCTGACATCCGCTCTGGACTCGGTGGAGGTGATGTCAGTGCAGGTTCCTGGGTGGTGACTAATGTGCCCCCATGCAGGGTGTTGGTGGCAGGGGGGTTCCAAGGGGGACGGGAACTCCCTGTACCTTCCTCTCAATTTTGCTGTAAACCTTAAATTGTTCTTTAAAAAGTCTAATTTTTTTAAAAGACTGGGGAGCCTAGTGCATTTTTGCACTATGGTGAGAGGGAGGGACAGCCTGGACCGGAGGTAGGGCCTGTGGGGAGAGGGTGCCCCTGGAGGCTGCAGCCGTGGGAGGGGGCTGGTGTGGACTGGGCCTGGGTGGGATGGGGAGGGAAACACTTCGGCCCTATGGGCCTCTCAGGCACCTGTGCCACCTGGGGAACCAGGGTGCCCGATTCCGGAGCTGTCAGGGCTGCTCATGGGGCTGCAAACCACCTCTTCCCGTTGCTCAGTACGGCAGGTGTGGTAGACAGGGTGTGATGGGGCCTGTCAAGAGAAAAAGGGTTCAGGGCAGCTGCAGGCCAGATAGGGGCGGGATGGGAGCCCACCACTGCAAGGAGCTTGTGCCTGCGCCTGCACCCCCTGCAGAAACGTCATCCCCCTAACTGGCACGGGCCTGCCCTGTAATATCTTATATGTTGCACTGGATTTCCGTTCAGCTGTGAGGTAGGGACCACACTCCATCTCTAGGCTGTGAGGTAGGGATGGAGGAATACATGAACCAGCCCCCCCCACCCCATCTCTAGGCACGTTCTTGCATGATTGGGGAGGGGCTGCAGATTTCATACCAGCATCAAGGTGGCCATGTCAGTGTGGGTTGAGCACCTCTCCGCTGCTAATCAAACCTCCTTATCCCCCAGCTGGACATTTTATGCAACGAGGAGATCCTGGGCAAGGACCACACACTCAAGTTCGTGGTTGTCACTAGGTGGAGATTCAAGGTGAGACACGTGATTTGATTTTCAGAGTCTGCTCTGAATGGCAGTGACTTTGCTGTGCATCTCTTATCTAAAATGTTAAATGACTCCAGCTGGGTGCAGTGGCTCATGCCTGTAATCCCAGCACTTTGGGAGGACGAGGCGGGCGGATCACGAGGTCAGGAGATCCAGACAATCCTGGCTAACATGGTGAAACCCAATCTCTACTAAAAATACAAAAAATTAGCCAGGCGTAGTGGTGGGCACCTGTAGTCTCAGCTACTCAGGAGGCTGAGGCAGGAGAATGGTGTGAACCCGGGAGACGAAGCTTGCAGTGAGCCAAGATCGTGCCACTGCACTCCAACCTAGGCGACAGAGGGAGACTCTGTCTCAAAAAAAAAAAAAAAGTGATGACTCAGCTACAGAAATTGTTGTGAAACACAGTTCTGGTCTTTCTGAAATCATCAACCCCAGAGCCAGCTTGGAAGGTGCCAGCTGAGCTGCGAAGGGCACAGGCCCTGGTGGGAAAGTGCTGAGGCCATGAGTGCCATGAGCAGAGGGTCCCCTGGGGCCTTTGGGCCCCTCTGAAGCAGGAAACCAATGGTGGAACTCTCCCACCTCAGCTGGTGTTGCTGCCTGGGGAGAGGGGGAGGAGCCAAGGCTGGCCTGGGGCTGGGCCAGAGGGTTTGAGGGAGAAGGGGGCAGGGGAGTGGCAGCCAGGGCCACATCAGGTACAGGTGGCCACCACGGTGTGCACAGTGGTCACTGGGTCACCTGGGGCCAGGGGAGAGGGCACATGTCTTCCTAGCCCGTCTTCCCCCAGCAACTTCTGGGGGACCCTTCTGTTGCTCAGAACAGAAGGGTCTCTGTGCAGCCCTGCATGTGGACTGTGCCTCACGGGACGTGATTCCTCAGCACCCTTCCCGATGAAGTAGGTCCTTCTCGCCTCCACCCCTGCTAAGCAGGCACTGTGCGTTCTTGTGTCTTCCAGAAGGCGCCGCTCCTGCTGCACTACAGACCCAAGATGGACTTGCTGTGAATGGTGCCACACAGCGCCCACAGACTGGGCCCTCGCACCCTTGGGTGCTCCCGGCCGCCGCGCTTAAGAACATTGCCTCTGGGTGTCATGTGGACCAGACTTCTGAATAGAGAATATTTATAACTTTTGTATGAGAGAGAATTCACACTCAACAAGACACTACCAGCACCACGTTTACAGAGGATGAAAACACTTCACAGTCTCCCAGAGCCGATCGTCCTCTCCCCCGCCCCACCCCGTGCTTCAGCCTTGCAGGGAGAGTGATGCTCCAGGCAACACGGTTCTGAGTCACCTTCTGACACGAGCTCCCTCTGCTTGCTTTCCAGGTCTTGAAAATCTGAATTCACTTCAGTTTAGTTTATGAATTTTAGGTTTCATGATAAGCCTCAAGTGTAGTTGGACTTTTATTGAATCCTTCCTAAGTTATTGAAAAAATGTCTTTTCATGGTGAATGACAATATTTATGTTGCCTTTAGCTTCTTGAAGATTTAGAAGTTATATAAAAAATTAATTTAAAAGCAAACCAAAAGAGGTTTCCATTAACATTATGATTTAACCATTGTATTTAATTTCCCACCTTATGAAACACAACAGCAGCTCCCTGACTGGTTCGCCTTTCATTGTGTGAGGTCGGCACTTGGACTCACTCAGAACTGTCGCTCACCTGTGGCTGACACACCCAGCCCTGGAAACGGGGCCCCAGACGCCACGTCGGGATTTCTGACATGCTCAGCAGGTAGACCAGAGGCCGTGTGACCAGCTCAGTGCTGGTTTACGGAACAACTCTTACTTTTAAAAATTACTTGTTCCCCCAAATTGTTGAGTGCCGCCGTTTGGTTTCCTATGTTTTCTTTCCCTGTTTTGATTTTGCTGAAGGGAGAGGTGGTGGTGGTTAGGATCAGAGCTCTCCTGGCATCCGTGGGGAGGATTTGCTGGTGGTGGCTTCGGGCTCATGCCCAGACACACTCACTGCCCCGTCTGTCCAAGGCCTCCCCTTCCCCTTTGCTGGTGGGAGGAGCTCGTGTGCTCCTTGGCCGCTTACTGGAAGGGCGTTTTTCAGAGCTGCAGGGACAGGGTGAGCAGCTGAAGGGCTAGGAGGGAAGCCGGCCCCCGCTCTGCAGAAGCTGCATTTCAGCTGAATCTGTGTTTCAGCCTCAGTTGGTTGCACCGTTAGCCCCTCTCCTCCCGGATGGTCATGTTTTTGTCACATTAGAGAATAAACAGCCACACACACATTTTTTTTTTTCCTTTAAAACAGTAACTTGGAAATATGAAAAGGCCAGAAGGAGGAGCAAGGGCTGTTTTCTGGAGTGGTTGAGGTGTTGTCCTGCAGTTGTCATTGTCTTCTCCACCGGGCTGTTCCCATTTATTTCCTGTGGAACTGAATCCCTCCTCCCTCCACTCCTTGGGAGCCCAGGTGGTCCTTGGCCACCATTCAGGCTTTCCAAGAAGCCAACCACCTTGGAGATTTTTTTTCTTGAATTTCGCTGTTTTCTTCTGCTTCCTTTAGATAAAAAGCAGCTCAAGAGACCTTATCTTAGGGATGAGAAAAACATGCATATTAATTCCATCTGAGTGATTGTCAGTGTAAGGCCTTTTAAAACAAAAGCAAGTTCTTTGTTAGGAATTGGTCAAAATTCATCTCTTTCTTTAAGCCCATCAACTCCCAGGACGGTTTGAGTTACTCAGTTACCTAAGCTTGCTATTCATCCAAATCATTTTCTAGAGTCACTGTATAAGGGTCTATGAGTAGCTGTGTATGAATAAATATTACCTGTCTACCTCAAAATACACATACTGCTGAAGCATTCTGTACAACCGTGTGTTATCACAGTGCAGTTTTAAGTGTAACGTTAGAACTTAGGCATTTTCCTGTGTGGCGGAATAAGAAAGGATTAAACAGTTACAAGCCTCCAAATTCAAATAAAATTAAATCACAGTTCAGATGAAACTGAATATCATTGTAATAATCTCATAATATATATTTGTAACTTTGTAGCTATCTTTGAAATCACTTGACTTTGCAATGGTGCTAAGCTGATAGATTTAAATACACAGACGGGCGAGTGGCGCCCGTGTCGATGTCTTCAGCCAGTGGTGACCCTGCTTTTGTAACCGCGTTAACCTGACAAAACCTCAGCAGCAGAAGTCCCTATTTTTCTAGGAGTTCATCGTGCAGACAGTCTTCACTACAGGACTCGGCCCTGGGGCCTCTGCCTCTCGTCTGACCTTGCAGCCTTAGTCGTTGGAGGCTGGAGCGCAATGGCCCTGCCGTCTGTGGAGCCTCTGGGCGGCCTTCTTTCCTTTCTGTCAACCTCTCATTTCACAGAAAAAGGCTGAATTTCATTTTTTCCAGCATGAAAGCCAGGATCGGTTAGTGGTTGGATTCTATTGGTTTTTTTTTTTTAAACAGATGGAGTTACTGTGAAGAAGTTTTCACAACTATTTATGCTGGTAAAACAAATGCTGTTAAATCACCTTATGCGTCGTTTTCAACAGCAGTGGGGCTAATTACCCGGAATACGGTCTCACCGATGCAGTTTTCATGGACATAGAAAATTCAAATAGAATATATAATATTGAATTTAAGATTTGGGGGGTTAAAAAAGAAAACTTAACTTTATAAAATTATTTATTCTATTTTAAGCCTTCTATCATATTTTCCCATCCAATTGTTTGGTTTCAGTGGTCCAGCTTTATTTACAGGCATATAAAATGAAATTGTGAGATGTTTTGCAAGCTTCTTTTTACTTTGAGTAGCTTTTAATTTGTATGTTTTTATGTGGATGAAGAGCATTTTTTATGCTTTTGTGCAATAGGTTCCAATATGCATTTATTAGACATCTGTTTAAATGGTAATGTAGCATTTATTTTGCTAAATTGAAAGGGAACATAGATGGAATTCCAAAATATGTACATTCAGCTGTTTGGTTTTTCGTTTTTCATTGTTATTATTGTGAGAATGCTGTTATTGGGGTTGTGTGTGAGTGCCCGTCAGCCAGTGATGCCTCGGGCCACGCTGTGGGGCCACCTCAGTCCTGCCTGGGTCCTGGTGCCTTGGACCCCACGTGCTTGTGGCCAGGCTGCCCCTGGGCAGGGCCATGTGGCCTCAGACCACAAGAGCGGAGCTGCCCTGGCCCAAGCACTGCAGCTGCCTGCACCCCCGGGCTTCGCAGCCTTGCTTGTTTTCTCTGAACAGCAACAGAACAGTGTTCACAGCGATTCAAAGGGTGGCATTGGGTTGGACGTTCTGGGTACAAGCCAACCTAGTCCCACGTTGTACGTGAATGTTTAATGTGCTCTCAAAACATGGAAAATAAGTTTAGTGCACATAGCTAAATCACAAAACATCCAATTTCTCTGTTTCCTCAGGAAGTCATTACTGCGCCACCACATCACATGACCTTAACATGATCAATGTATTTCTCTGCCTTGACATTTAAATACATAAATTGAGATAAGTAGATTAGAAAATCATTCAAATGATACCATAATTTGTACGGGACAGGGTGCGGGCAATGGCCACGTGGCCAAGGCCCTGCAGGAACGCGCCGAGGTCTCCCTCACCCTCCAGGTGTCCTTCGCACCCAACAGTGCGTCTGAGGAACGAGCTGCAGTTTGAGCGTTCCCCTGAGATGTGCGTAGCCTCCGTGTAAATGTCCACTCCCATGGCTTAATTGCCTATCAGACGCATTTTCCCAGACGAAAGCAATGTTGGGTTGGGGAAGACAGTGCAGCCACCCAGCCTTTACCAGCAGCGTACGGCAGACGAAGGCAGTCGAGGTGTGGAGGTGATCACGAAGATACATGTGTTTGACTGTTTAATTTGAAAGTTTACATTTTTTATGCTTTGTGTTGGTGTGTAATTTTTGTACTCTTGGTGGCTAGTTTTTGTCAAATCTTTTTTGGAATATTGCTTAAATGTTTTGATTTTATGATAGTGAAGCTTGTATTCAGTGTTTTGCCAATTAATATTATATGCTTGTAATAAAAGCAAAAGAAAAGCTTAAGTGAAAGTGTTTCTGGCTGGAAATGTATTACATAAATCATTTGTATGAGCATGAGAGATGACTTGCTCATGGGATGAGCAATGCTGTGGGTATTGGATGGACCACTCAGGCAGCCTGGCCGCACACACACACATGCATGCTACATATGTGTACGCTCAGACCACATGCCTGCACATATGTCCACACACCAGCCCACGGCTCCCTTCCTCACCCCAGCCCTCCCCACTCCCAGGTTAACCAATGTCTCGATTTGCTTCAGGCGGCATTTGTAAACTGTCACCCTGCTTGCAAACCCTCATTTAAATTGGTCCAGCATTTGCTACCAGAGTTTAGGCCACAAACTTTGTAAAGCTCAGTTTGTCTCCTTGCAGAAAGAGGTTGCTGCAGTTTGGAGCTGGTTATGCCAAGGAAAATACGGCTAAAAAAGAACTTACTGATTCCCATAGGTGTGTCAACTGACAAATGAATGTTCCATCTCCCTACGACAATTTGCTGCCCCTCCCCAAAAAAAGCACTATGGCCAAAATTTCAGTTTTTAAAGGTTAAGTAAAATACAACAATTCTGAAACTCTTAAGAGAACCAGAATTGGAAGGAAAGGAGAATGGCCAAAATTATATTCTCACAACCTAAAGCAGTAAACTTTAAAAATAGGTTCAGTCTTAGACTTGACTTAATTGACTTAGGCTGGGCATAGTGGCTCACACCTGTAATTCCAGCACCGTAGGAGGCCAAGGCAGGCTGATCATCTGAAGTCGGGAGTTCGAGACCAGCCTGGCTAACATGGTGAAATCCCGTCTCTACTAAAAAATATAAAAATTAGCCGGGTGTGGTGGCAGGGGCCTGTAGTCCCAGCTACTCAGGAGGCTGAAGCAGGCGAATCGCTGGAACACAAGAGGCAGAGGTTGCAGTGAGCCGAGATCACGCCACTGTACTCCAGCCTGTGCTACAGAGCAAGACTCCATCTCAATTTAAAAAAAAAAAAAAAAAAAAAAAAAAAAGGACTTGGCGGGGTGCAGTGGTTCATGCCTGTAATCCCAGCACTTTGGAAGCTGAGGCGGGTGGATCACAAGGTCAAGAGATCGAGACCATCCTGGCCAGCATGGTGAAACCCCATGTCTACTAAAAATACGAAAATTAGCCAGGCCTGATGGCACGCACCTGTAGTCCCAGCTACTCAGGAGACTGAGGCAGGAGAATCACTTGAACCCGGGAGGCAGAGGTTGCAGTGAGCCGAGATCGCACCACTGCACTCCAGCCTGGGCGACAGAGCGAGACTCCATCTCAAAAAAAAAAAAAAAAAAAAAAAAAGACTTCACTGACTCAAAGTGTATTTTACTTATTTTCGGCCAGTCCATCTGTCCATCTTAGAAATGTCAAGATACTGGCTGAAACCACAAGCAGACACTGATGTCAGCGTCAACTGCAGGGAGTAGGGGAAACACAAGTCCTCAAAATTGGGTCCACCCACTTTGGGGACTGGGCCATGAAGCCTGGTGATAGCAGCCACGGGAGCCTGAGGTCTGAGAGCTTCAAGCTCCATCTGAGCACAGTGGGTGGGGTCCCTGCACCAGGACCCCAGAAACAAGCTCTGGAAGTTGGTTCCTGTGGGTTCTGCAGCAGCTCAGGGCTGCAGGGACCTTGACGCTCTCACAGCAGAGCCAAGCCTCGGCCTCTCTGCTCGCTGGTGGTTTTGTTTCTCCCATGCAGTTCTGTGTGCATAAGACAAAAATCCTGTGTTAGTCATGTGTGTTAGTACACCTGTGACCGGGTGAAAGCCAAACAGTGTCCCCTGAAAGGCAGCAGAGGAACAGAAAAACAAGGGGGTTTGCTGTGATGAGACCCGCACCGTCTGCGTTCAGGAAGCCAGGGCCTTCTGCTGCTAGAGGCCCCTGAGGCCCACCAAATCCTCCCAAAGTAGATGTCCATATGGCTTCTAGTTTTTAAGGATAAAACTCCCTTGAGATGCACTGAGTCCCTCCTGAGGGGCTGTGGAGGGCTGAGCCTGCATTGGTTGGGAGGCCTGTGTCCTGACGGTGCTCTGCAGTAGCTACACTGAACGTCCCCTTTAATAGAAAGAATTATCTGTCTTCCGCTTACACAGAAATGCAACTGTGCTTACATAAATCAGCACAGAGTCCTAAATCCATAAATAAGCAAAGAGTCCTTTCTCTTACCCACATTACTCCTCAGTCAAGGAAAGTACACAAAGCACATTTGTTTCATTTTTTTTGGTGGCTTATGCTCCAATTGTGAGGAAGGAGATGCTCCCCTGGGCCCACCCCGCCCACCCCAGAGTGTCTGCCCACGCCAATTCCTGGGGAAGGTGTGGCCTGCTCAAGGGATAAGACTCCTGTCGACGTTGGACAAACAACCATTTGACCACTACATTTATTCCTATGTTTTTTCTTTGTGTGTGTGTGTGTGTGTGTGTGTGTGTGTGTAGACAGAGTCTCACTGTGTCACCCAGACTGGAGGGCAGTGGTGTGATCTCGGCTCACTGCAACCTCTGCCTCCTGGGTTCAAGCGATTCTCCTGCCTCAGCCTCCCAAGTAACTGGATTACAGGCACCTGCCACCACGCCAGGCTAATTTTTGTTTTTAGTAGAGACGGGGTTTCACCACGTTGGCTGGGCTGGTTTCTAACTCCCAACCTCTGGTGATCCGCCCGCCTCGGCCTCCCAAAGTGCTGGGATTACAGGCGTGAGCCAGCGCGTCCAGCCGAAGGTTGCTTTTTTAAAGCATTTTTAGTCAAAGTCTTTTGAAAGATGAAAGGTCTGGCCTTGGTCACAGTAGTCCTGCTGTGAAGACGCATGAAGGTGCCCTGGGTCAGGGGAGCAGCCAATTTCACTGACACCCTGGGACGCACAACCAGGACCTGACCTCTTGCTGGGAGATTACCCCGAGACTTCAGTCATCACCATGCACACTGCCTTGTAGGAAGGCTGGGAACCCTCAGGTGGCGACAGCCCCCAGTCTGCCAGGGCCCCTCAGAGGTTGAGGGGGCAGGGTCCCTCCTCACATTTCTCACCTGCAGCTGGTGCCACAACTGTGAATGTTGGAGTTGTCCAGTCCCACAGCTTCCTCTGCCCCACAGCACAGGGCAGATTGGCCTGCAGGGCCTCATCACCCCCATTCTCTGAGAGGAGATGTGGCTATCTCTGGCAGGCCTCGCTCTGGCTGGTAGCTTTCTCCTGGGCTGCCATCTTCTAGTGCCAGTGAGGACTCTGGTCATCTCACCTGCTTAATTCCCATACTGTGTTGTCCACAGCTCTGCTCGGGTCTGGTAGTGAGAGGTGACAGTGTGCTGGCAGCCCTCTCAGCCCTCGCTTGCTCTCGGCACCTCCTTGGCCTTGGCACCCACTCTGGCTGCCCTTGAGGAGCCCTTCAGCCCGCCGCTGCACTGTGGGAGCCCCTTTCTGGGCTGGCCAAGGCCAGAGCCGGCTCCCTCAGCTTGCAGGGAGGTGTGGATGGAGAGACAGACGCGGGTGGGAACCAGGGATGTGGGCAGGCTTGCAGGCCAGCAAGAGTTCCGGGTGGGCGTGGGCTCGGCAGGCCCTGCACTCAGAGCGGCCAGCCGACCGGCTCTGCTGGCCCCGGGCAGTGAGGGGCTTAGCACCTGGGCCAGCAGCTGCTGTGCTCAATTTCTCGCTGGGCCTTAGCTGCCTCCCTGCAGGGCAGGGCAGGGCTCGGGACCTGCAGCCCACCACGCCTGAGCCTCCCACCCCTTCCATGGGCTCCTATGTGGCCCCAGCCTCCCCGACGAGCACTGCCCCGTGCTCCACGGCACCCAGTCCCATCGACCACCCAAGGGCTGAGGAGTGCAGGCGCACAGCACAAGACTGGCAGGCAGCTCCACCTGCAGCCCCAGCGCAGGATCCACTGGGTGAAGCCAGCTGGGCTCCTGAGTCTGGTGGGGACTTGGGAGAAGCTTTATGTCTAGCTAAGGGATTGTAAATACACCAATCGGCACTCTGTATCTAGCTCAAGGTTTGTAAACACACCAATCAGCACGCTGTGTCTAGCTCAGGGTTTGTGAATGCACCAATCGACACTCTGTATCTAGCTACCCTGGTGGGGACGTAGAGATCTTTTGTGTCTAGCTCAGGAATTGTAAAAGCACCAATCAGCACCCTGTCAAAAACGGACCAATCAGCTCTCTGTAAAATGGACCAATCAGCTCTCTGTAAAATGGACCAATCAGCAGGATGTGGGTGGGGCCAGATAAGAGAATAAAAGCAGGCTGCCCGAGCCAGCAGTGGCAACCTGGTCCTGTCCCCTTCCACACTGTGGAAGCTTTGTTCTTTTGCTCTTTGCAATAAATCTTGCTGCTGCTCACTCTTTGGGTCCACACTGCCTTTATGAGCTGTAACACCGCAAAGGTCTGCAGCTTCACTCCTGAAGCCATCGAGACCACGAACCCAGTGGGAAGAATGAACAACTCCAGACGCGCCGCCTTAAAAGCTGTAACACTCATCGTGAAGGTCTGCAGCTTCACTCCTGAGCCATCGAGACCACAGACGCAGTGGGAAGAATGAATAACTCCAGACGCGAAACCTTAAGAGCTGTTAAGACTCACCACGAAGGTCTGCAGCTTCACTCCTGAGCCATCGAGACCACGGACCCAGTGGGAAGAATGAACAACTCCAGACGCGCCACCTTAAGAGCCGTAACACTCACCACGAAGGTCTGCAGCTTCACTCCTGAGCCATCGAGACCATGAACCCAGTGGGAAGAATGAACAACTCCAGACACAGCACCTTAAGAGCCGTAACACTCACCGCGAAAGTCCACAGCTTCACTCCTGAGCCATCGAGACCACGAACCCAGTGGGAAGAATGAACAACTCCAGACGCACCACCTTAAGAGCCGTAACACTCACCACGAAGGTCTGCAGCTTCACTCCTGAGCCAGCGAGACCACAGACCCACCAGAAGGAAGAAACTCCAAACACATCCGAACATCAGAAGGAACAAACTCCAGACACGCCACCTTTAAGAGCTGTAACACTCACTACGAGGGCCCTCGGCTTCATTCTTGAAGTCAGTGAGACCAAGAACCCACCAATTCCGGACACAGTAGGACCCCCTTTATGGTGTGGGGTTTTTTTTCTTTTTTTGGAGACAGGGCCTCACTCTGTCACCCAGGCCAGAGTGCAGTGGTGCAATCATGGCTCACTGTAACCTCGGGCTCCTGGCCTCAAGCCATACTCCCACCTCACCCTCCAGAGTAGCTGGGACTACAGGCACCACCACACCCAGCTAATTTTTTATTTTTGTAGAGATGGGGTTTTGCCATGTTGCCCAGGCTCGTCTCGAACTGAACTCAAGCAATCTGCCCACCTCGGTTTCCCAAAGTGCTGGGATTATGGCAGGAGCCTCCACGCCAGCCCTTTTTCTTTATTTTGTGTGTGTCTGTGTGTGTGTGAAAGAGAGAGTACCATTCTGTCACCCAGGCTGGAATGCAGTGGAGCAATCTCAGCTCACCACCAACCTCCACCTCCCAGGCCTAAGCAATTCTCCTGTCTCAGCTTCCCAAGTAGCTGGGATTACAGGCACCCACCACCACACCCACCTAATTTTTGTATTTTTAGTAGAGATGGGTTTCACCATGCTGGCCAGGCTGACCACAAATGACATTCCTCAACACAAATGATCCGCCTGCTTCAGCCTCCCAAAGTGTTGGGATTACAGGCGTGAGCCACCTCACCCAGCCTTTTTTTTAATGTTGGCTTTTCTTCTGTTAGATCAGCTCCAGAAGCAGCTTATCCTGTGTCATTTAATCTCATCAGAATTTAACTAGGATTGCAATGAATGTACAGTTTACTTTGTGGGGCAGCTGACATCCTTCACCCACGATGTGGCATGTCTGCCAACTCACCCTCTTTTAGCATCTTCCTCAGGCGGTCCTTACACACTTCTCTTCCAGCTTTTGTGATTCTTTCATATGGAGGTGGAGGGTTGTGGCTCATGCTCCGATGGGTTATTGTGGAGTAGAGAAACCCACTGGATCTGGCACGGACTGAACTCCTCGGCTGGTCCTCAGGGTTCCTCAGGGGATTTTCTTGGATTTACATGCAGATGATTGTATCATCAACAAACTACTAAACCCTGTCTCCAATATTCATCTCCTTCCCTCTTTTTCAGTTCTCTCACCCTGCTGGGATGTCTGGAAAACACTCACAGTGATAGCAAGGAGAACTGTGCTTGTCTGACTTTAATGGGAATACTTTAAATATCTTGACTTAAGCATGATTGCTGCAGGGTTTTGACAAATACCATTTACCAAATAGAGAAATTATCTTCTGTTACAGCTTATTAAAAATCAGGAATGCCGGGGGCAGTGGCTCACACCTGTAATCCCAACACTTTGGGAGGCTGAGGCAGGTGGATTACCTGAGGTCAGGAGTTCGAGACCAGCTTGACCAACATGGAGAAACCCCGTCTCTATTAAAAAAAATAGAAAATTAGCCAGGCATGGTGGCACATGCCTGTAATCCCAGCTACTCAGGAGGCAGGAGAATTGCTTGAACCCGGGAGGCAGAGGTTGTGGTGAGCCGAGATGGCGCCACTGCACTCTAGCCTGGACAAGAAGAGCAAAACTCCATCTCAAAAAAAAAAAAATTCAGGAATACGTGTCCATTTTTAAAAATGTTTTAATATTTTAAACTAAAATTTTTAACTTTTTTGTTTGAAGCTTTAACACATGTACAGTCACGCGACCACCACCACAGTCCACACACAGAATGGCTCCACCCCCAAATCTCCTTAGTGCCACACCTGACCACGGCGCCTTCCCCCAACCTTCCTTCACCTCTTCCCACCCCCATGGTGCCCAATGTGTCAGTCTCTCCCCATTGTCACTGCAGAGGAGTATTTCACTGCATAGATATACCACAGTTTACCAGTTCACCCAATGAAAGGCATTTGAATTTCAGCTTTTGATGATTATGAATAAGGCATCAGTAAACATTTACGTACAGTTTTTATGTGGACTTAAGTTTTTCATTCTCTAAATACCCAACAGTGGGATTGCTGGGTCATGTGGCTGTGTACATTGAACTTTATAGGAAACCACCATGCCGTCTTCCATTTCCAGCAGGTCCACACCCTGGCAGCTTGGGGCACCACCAGCATTCTCTTGCACTGCGGCTGTGGTGCAGGTGCCTCGTGTCCTGCGTGGTGGCTGAATCTGCATTTCCTGGTGGCTGGTGGTGTCAAGCCTCTTCTCCTGTGCCCAACAGTCAATGCTGTGTCATTGCTGGTGCATGTCTGATCAGGTCTTTTCCACTTTTTAGTTGGACTGTTTTCTTACTGTTGAGTTTTAAGAGTTCTCTGTGTATTCCAAATACAGGTCCTTAGTTGACAGGTGATTTGTGAATATTTTCTCCTCATCTTTTCATTCTTTTCACACTGTCTTTGGTAGTTCAAACGTTTTTAGGTCAGGCACGGTGGCTCATGCCTGTAATCTCAACTACTTTGGGGCCGAAGGTGGAAGGATCACTTAAGGCTAGGAATTTGAGACCAGCCTGGGCAATACAGCAAGACTCAGACTCTGGAAAAAATTTTTAAAACCAGGAATAGTGGCTTGCACCTCTAGTCCCAGCTACTCAGGAGGCTGAGGAAGGAAGATGGCTTGAGCCCGGGAGGTCGAGGCTGCAGTGAACTATGACTTACCACCACACTCCAGCCTGGACAACACAGCATGACCCTATCTCAAAAAAGTAAGTTTTTAATTTTGATAAAGTCCAATTTACAAATTTTTCTTTTATGGATTCTTCTGTGGATTATGCCTTTGGGATCATGTCTAAGAACTCTACCAAATGTCATCAGGTACAAAGGTATTTTTCTGTTTTCTTCCAAACATTTTATAGTTTTGTTTTACGTTTACATATGATTGGAGTTAATTGTGTACAATGTGAGGTTTAGGCCAAGGTTCCATTTCTACCATATGGATGACCAACTGCCCCACTGCTCTGTTGAATGGACAATCCTTTCTCCACAGGGTTGCTTTTGTTTGCACTGCTGTCAAAGATCAAATGGCCCTATTTATGTGGGTCTGTTTCTAGACTCTCTGATCACTGACCCATCTGTCTGTTCTTTGCCAATACGACAGTCTTGATTTTTGTGGCTTTAAAGTCTGTTAAAACTGTGTAATGTGATTCATCTAACTTTTTTGTTCTTTTTAAAACATTGTTTTATCTATCCTTTTTACTGTTTTAGCTAGCTCCTTCACCATTCTGTATACATTTTAAAATCATCTTTTCTAAATCTAAAAAGAGTCCTACTGCAATGTTTTGGAATTTTGTTAATTTCACAGATCCTTCTGAGACTGGCATCTTATGTTCAGTCTTCCAGTCTATGAGCGTGCTGTGTGCCGTCTCTCCACATACATAGTCTTTTTAGCATACAGATCCTGTTTTGTCTTGTTAGATTTATACCTCTCTCTCTCTCTCAGGAGCTACTGTGTTTTTAACTTCAGTTTCCAATGTTTTATTGTCTATAGAAGTAAGATTTTTTTTTTTTTTTTGAGACAGTCTGGCTCTGTTGCCCAGGCTGGAGTGCAGTGACATGATCTCGGCTCACTGCAACGTCTGCCTCACGGGTTCAAATGTGGCATGATCTCAGCTCACTGCAACCTCTGCCTCCCAGGTTCAAGCAATTCTCCTGTCTCAGCCTCCTGAGTAGCTGCGATTACAGGTGTGTGCCACCACACCCGGCTAATTTTTGTATTTTTAGTAGAGACAGGGTTTCACCATGTTGGTCAGGCTGATCTCCAACTCCTGACCTGGTGATACGCCTGCCTCAGCCTCCCAAAGAGCGTTGGGATTACAGGCATGAGCCACCACACCGGGTCTTTTATTTTTTTTGAGACAGAGTTCCACTCTTGTTGCTCAGGCTGGAGTGCAATGGTGCGATCTCGGCTCACTGCAGCCTCTGCTTCCCGGATTCAAGCGATTCTCCTGCCTCAGCCTCCTGAGTAGCTGGGATTACAGTGCCCGCCACCATGCCTGGATAGTTTTCCTATTTTTAGTAGACACAGGGTTTCACCATGTTGGTCAGCTGGTCTCAAACTCCTGACCTTAGGCCATCCACCAGCCTCGGCCTCAGCCTCCCAAAGTGCTGGGATTACAGGCATGAGCCACTGCACGCAGCCCTAAGATTAATTTGTATGTGTTACTGGTGAACATTCCAAACTCACTTACTGGCTCTACGAGGGTCTTTGTGGCAATCATTGCTGTTGCTTTAGATGAGTGTTCTCTATATAGACAATCATGTAGTCTGTGAATAAGGAAGTTTTATCTCACCTGTAATCCCAGCACTTTGGGAGGCTGAAGTGGGAAGATCACCTGAACCCAGGAGTTCAAGACCAGCCTGGGCAACATAGTGAGACCCCCCCGTATCGACTAAAAATACAAAAATTAGTCGGGCTGGTGGCACATGTCTGCAATCCCAGCTACTCTGGAGGCTGAGGCACATGCTCTCTGGAAGGAGGTGCCTGGGTGTGGCTCACCCTCCTCTTTTTCCCTGCTACCTAAAAGGAGGTCCCCAGGTGAAGCTCACTCACAACTCAGAAAGTTCAGGTCACCTCTGTGAGGGCATATCTGCATACACTATTTGGACTCGGCTGGATGTGCATGCCTCTGGTCCCAGCTACTTGGGAGGCTGAGGTGGGACAACTGCCTGAGCCCAGGAGGTCCAGGCTGCAGCAAGGCAACAGCGCACCATTGCACTCCAGCCTTCTGAATGACAGAGGAAGATCCTGCCTCAAAGAACAAATATTTGGACTCCTCCTGCATGGTCAATTGTCTCCTCTCTCCCATCTATTTATTAATTCAGTCTTTTATTTTGGAAATGGGATATTACTAGGCCTTGACTCCTGGGCTCAACTGATGCTCCCACCTCAGCCTCTGAGTAGCTGAACTACAGGTCCCACTCTGCCCAGCTCATTCAGTCACTTATTACATCAGCAAAGACTCATCGATATTTCTTCAGCCCTGTGCATTATAATCCAATGCTACTTTATTCTGCTATTCAAGTTATTCCAGCCTCGCCCATTGGGACCCCTTGTCGCTGTGTCCCTTTGGCCCACAGTTGTGGGTTGTTTTTTTTGTTTTTTTGAGATGGAGTTTCACTCTTGCTGCCCAGGCTGGACTGCAATTGTGTGATCTCAGCTCACATCAACCTCCATCTCTCAGGTTCAAGGGATTCTCCTGCCTCAGCTTCCCCAGTAGCTGGGATTACAGACATGCGCCACCACACCTGGCTAATTTTGTATTTTTAGTAAAGACGGGGTTTCTCCACGTTGGTCAGACTGGTTTCCAACTCGCAAACCTCAAGTGATCCGCCCGCCTCTGCCTCCCAAAGTGCTGGGATTATAGGTGTGAGCCACCGCGCCCAGCCTGTGTTGTTTTTTAAATCATTTCCAGGCTCATGGTGTATACCTTCTGCGCCAGTCCTAGGTGAATTTCTCCTGGTTGGTGAGTTTTCATTGTTTACCTCTGCTCACACAGGGACTCGAGGAGGGAGACTAGGACTCAGAGTCCTCCTTCATCTTGTCACTTCTCTAAACAATTACTTTTTGTTGAAGACGCCATGTAAGCTGGAATTCAAAGCCATCTCTTTGAACAACTGTGTGAAATAATCGTGCTAAACTGTTATTCTCCTTTAATCGTTCCAACCAAGCACCCACGGGGGCCATTATTCCTCTCCTACAACTGCAAGGCAGTGCCTCACCAACTAGCTTTGTTCCTGAGGCAAGCGGCAGGAACCCCTCTGCTTTCCTCAGTGAGCAAGCGGCCCCTGACCCTGGCGAGTGAGTTTTCTCTTCACAGCCCCCTGTCCCTGCTGCCCACTGAGCCAGCCAGCCCGAGGGTGGAAAAGTCATTCTGGCTCTAAGCTTCCAGCACAGTCCGGGAGACCACACGGGTCCTGGGGAGGGTGGCTAAGCCCGAGGGGCTTTATAGGATGAGTCACAAGAAAGTCCATCTGGTGGGCCCTCCCTGACTCCCCTCCACTGTCCCCGGCTCACGGCGAGGAAGGCAAGGCTGGTGGGGGGGACAGGAAAGGGCTGGGGTCTCTCCCCACCTCCACTGCCAACGCCCTGCAGACCCCCAGGCCACAGCCTTTCCCGGGGCTCCCCCAAGGTATGGGAGGTGGGGCGGGTCCAGTTTACGCTGGTTTCAAAGAAGTGAGAGCGCCCCGCCGCCATGTCATGGAGGGTCCCGCGCCCCCACCCCTTGCCTGGGGTCGTGTGTGGGCA
This sequence comes from Homo sapiens, assembly GCF_000001405.40. Taxonomy (NCBI): domain Eukaryota; kingdom Metazoa; phylum Chordata; class Mammalia; order Primates; family Hominidae; genus Homo; species Homo sapiens. Next base: position 781,349 of record NC_000004.12, read on the forward strand.
GCCGCAGAAAGCGCCCCGACGGCAGGAGCGGGGTTCCAGGCTGAGACCGGGCCTCGGCGGCGCCCCTTCCTGCCGGGAGTGGCGCATCCCAGGACCCACAGACAAACAGGGCCAGCCAGGGTCACCCGGAGCGCGAAGGCCGGCTATGGGCTTAGGGTGGGGTCTGGTCCCTACGGCCGGCCTAGGGGGAACGCGGGACAGGAGAAGGTCTGGGAAAAACCTGCTTCCGAGGCCTCGGCTTCGGGGCGTCCTCCTGAGCTGGCGCCAGCCCGCAGCGGGGCCGGGCAGGGACGCCGGCCTAACGGTGGGGACCGGCAGGGCCTGGGGGCAGGACGAGACAAGCACACAACCGACGGGGCGGGGCCAGGCGAGGGCACGGGGCCGAAGAAGCTTCTGCCAGGCCCGAGACCCGCACTTAGTTACCTGAGAAGGCGGGAAGGTGCGGCCGCGGGGTGAGCGGCGGACTGACCCAGCTCCAGCGCCTCTGCAGAGGCTTGCAATGGCGTCTCTCGGGCTCTGATTGGTCAGGCCTCCACACGTGAGCCTCTAGGAGCCAATCATGTCGGCCCACCTAGCATGCGCTGATTGGCTCAGGCTGGCCAGGGGCGGGCGCGGTCCTTCCACGGCCCGGTCCCCGCTCCCTTCCCCAGGCCCGGAGGCCCCGCCCGAGCGGCTCCGCTGGGGGCGGTTCTGCTGGAGAGGACGGATCTGCTGGGGAGATGGATATCCTGGAGGGGCGGATCTACTCGGGGGGCGGGTCTGCTGGGAAGGCCGGATCTGCTGTGAGGGGCGGGTCTTCTGGAGGGGCCGATCTGCTGAGGGGGCCGGATCTGCTGCCTGACAGGGCTTCCTGGCCTGGGGAGGAGGCCGTGTCTGGAGCTTGAAAGCCGGCCCCGCTGTGTTCAAGATACAGTCAAACGTTCAGAAGGAGGAGACTCCGGGGGCAGGGTGGTGCCCAGCCAGTGCATGGGGCCAGGGCCACGCTGGTGGCACCCAGGCAGCGCTGCCTCCTGGCTCTCGAATGGCTGTTCTCTGCCCAGAATGCTCTCCCACGGGACACGCGCCTCCCTCCGGGTCTGTGCACGTCACTCTGACAGAGAGGCCCCCTGACCACTCATGAAATAGTAACCCTAACCATTGCTCTCTGCTCCCTGTCCTGCTTGATTTTCCTCCAGGGCAAACACCGCCACTTCCATGTTTATCATCTGTCCTCCATCACTAGGAAAACCAGTTCCAGGAGGGAGGGACTAGTATTCCCAGCCCCTAGAACAGAGCAGCGCATATCACAGGGGCTCAGTAAACATCTGGGGAGGAGTGCCATTCCCAGGAGGCCTCAGACCCCGTCACCTGAGATGAGAGCTGGATCCCGGAGAAGCTCAGGTCTGACCCAGCATTCATTGCTGTAGGAAGGGCTCGTCTAGACTCCAAGGGAGCCGGGTGCGGTGGCTCACGCCTGAAATCCCAGCACTTCGGAAGGCCGAGGCGGGCGGATCACCAGGTCAGGAGATCCAGACCATCCTGGCTAACACGGTGAAACCCCGTCTCTACTAAAAATACAAAAAATTAGCCGGGCGTGGTGGCGGGTGCCTGTAGTCCCAGCTACTCGGGAGGCTGAGGCAGGAGAATGGTGTGAACTTGGGAGCGGAGCTTGCAGTGAGCCGAGATCGCACCACTGCACTCCATCCTGGGGGACAGAGAGAGACTCTGTCTCAAAAAAAAAAGACTCCAAGGGAAAGCTGCCTGGGTCGTGACCTGGCACGTCCAAGTCGCTGCTTAGGCTTGCAAGGGGGTCCAGACCAGGCTGTGGATGGGAAATGGGAGGCTGGGGGAGGATGGAGGCTGAGCAGTGGCTGGATGTTGGGGTGCCCTGTTGAGGGGCAGCTGGCAGCAGCCACGGACACAGGGGTGGGTGCAAAGACACTGAGTTTCTGTTCCAGGAGGAAGGGGGGCCAGCTGGCAGAGGAGAGATCACCCTGGGCAATTTGGTGGTGCCTGGGGTGCACACTTCCCCAGAGGCAGCAGGAGGAGGAGCTGGATACACCCTTCCCTGGGCTTGGAGGAGAGCACGTTCCCTCCCAGCTCCCACCTGGCATCCAGGAGGGCCCGGCCTGGGGTCAGGGCACATGGGGCCCTCCTGCCCTGGGACTGGGCAGCTCCCTGGGGCATTCCCAGCCAGCAGCATCAGGAAGGTTACAGGAGACCCAGACATGCTGCTCCCTAGAGAGGGCTCCTGACAAAGATTTTTTGTGTGGTCAAACTTTAGTTAACTTCCTGAATCTTCTGGTAGGCCCATTGGCCCACTTCCTTGTAAAATGCAGTTTTAGCAAAGAATCTGGCTAAGTCAGTTTAGCAACAAACCTTCATCCTGGAGATCTGATTGGGGTCCTCATGCTTCACCACCCTATGGGTCTGTCTGATTGCCCTGCCTGTCTCCAGCTAGAATCCAGTTAGATGGGTTTCATCAGAATCCCCCAACCCCTGATGTTCCTCAGTCATTTTCCATCCACTGAGCCCACCCTGCTCCTTGGCACCCATGGCAAGCCCTGTTGCATGGTCCCTGTACCTGTAGTGCTGGTCCTGAATAAAGCCTTCCTCACTCAGCTGTAACAAGTGTCACGGGACCATCTTTTCTTTTCTTTTTTCTTTTTTTTTTTTTGAGAGGGAGTCTCGCTCTGTCGCCCAGGCTGGAGTGCAGTGGTGTCATCTCGGCTCACTGCAACCTCTGACTCCCAGGTTCAAGGCGATTCTCCTGCCTCAGCCTCCCGAGTAGCTAGGACTACAGTTGCTTGCCACCTCACCCAGCTTTTTTTTTTTTTTTTTTGTAGTTTTAGTATTAATGGGGTTTCACCTTGTTAGCCAGAATAGTCTCCATCTCCTGACCTCGTGATCCGCTCACCTCGTCCTCCCAAAGTGCTGGGATGACAGGCGTGAGCCACCGCGCCCGGCCTGAACCACCGCACCTGGCCTGAACCACCGCACCTGGCCAGAATCATCTTTTAACAGCTTCCAAACTTGGAGGTCAAACAAGGACTTTCTGGGGAAGCAAGTGGCAGGCAGCAGCTAGGCGTGGGCTGCGCATCCAGCGGATTGAGTGTGGGCGGGACCGCCAGCAACCAGGCAGAGGGGCTGTTCTCTGGGTTGGGGTCAGGAACCTCTTCTGGCCTCAGCCCAGGTTGGCAGACATTTCCCTGCAGGGATCCGGGTCCAGGACTCAGGAGGAGGGACAGTCCCACGGGGGTGCTGGGGGGCAGGAATTCCTGGGTGGGCCGAGGTAAGGGCAGCACAGGGTGACCTGGGGCCCTGGGCCCGGTGGAGCTGAGGAGAGGGACAGGCCTGTGGTCGGGGGTCCTAGGTGGGAGGGAGAGCAGAGGGCAGATGCTTTGCGGGTGGAAGAACCACCCTGGGGGGCGGGAGACCCTGAAGGCGCAGGTTTGTGTTTAGATGGAGGTTGCGCTGGCTGGACGGCCTAGGGAAAATGGGTCTGACTGGATGGAGCTGAGTGAGAATGGTGGGAGGCCCTGCAGCCGCCGTGGAGAGAACATGCGCGGGGGAAAGCCCCGGTCCTCCGGCTGGCGAAATGGACCTCTGGAAGGAATGGCCACACGGTGTGAAATCACTGGTGTTTATTGGCTGTGATTCCATCCGGAGAGAACACACGCAGGGGCCCCGACATGCAGGAGGAGGCGCAGGCGCAGGACAGACGGACAGAGGACACCACGGTCTAAGCTAAGCTCGCGGCCCGGGGCGCCATGCGCTGGGAACGGGGTGCGCAGGTTCTACGAGAGGACGCCCTGTCTGCTCAGAGCTGGCTTTGTAAGGTGTGAAAACAGGAGTTTTTAAAAGACACGACCCGGGAGAAGTCAGTGAGAGGGCACAGGGCGAGCAGGACGGACAGCGACGTCCCCGCGGGCCGCGTCGCTGGGGCGCAGAGGGGCGCGGTGGTCTCTGCCCGGAGGGGCGTCGGTCGTTAGTATTGCAGTCTAACGTTATGGCTTCTCTAAAGCTATGTAAGGTCATGAAGGTCAATGCCAAGCCACGCCCTGGCCCGAAACACGTGGAGACTTGATGCATTTTTGATGTGGACGAAAGGGCCCGGGGGCGAGGCGGCGCCTGTCAAGATAAAACTCATTAAATGCAAAGACCTCATTTACCTGAGATTCAACAAATTGTGATGCAAATTAAACATGAATGGAGGAGAAACAGGGGCTCGGATGCCGCCCCGCAGGGCCACCAGGTGGATTAGGCCACACACGCGCCAGCTGCGCGCAGGGAACCCCGCAGGCCCCACCCGAGGAGCTGCCCACGGAGGAGGTGCTGGGCAGGGGCGCAGGGTCTCCAGCGTCCGGTGCCTCGGGCCTCTGCGGCTCCTGTGGAGGGTGCAGTGTTCAATGGCCGAGGGCAGGGGTCCTCCCCAGGGAGAAGCAGCAGCCGCGTGGGCGGAGAGGCTAGGAGGCCGGGCGGGGGGCGAGGACTTGGGAAGAGCGGGGTGACGGGGGTGGGGGCTGGGCGTCCCCCAAACCTATTGCTTTGTTTCCTTTAGTTTAGAAGTGAACACGGCCGTGGCGTTCGTAAGAAGCAAAACCTTCCAGAGAGGAGAGGAAAGGACGCGGACAGAGACGGATGGACAGGGGCGCGAGGGGGCCAGGCCGGGGGGCGGAGAGCGGCCGCGTGCGGACGCAAATACTCACGGCGGAGCGATCCGAACCCCGGAGTCCGCGTGCAGGAGGGGGACCCAGGCCCCGCCGCCCTCGCCCCGCCCGCAGCCCCCCGTCTGCTATGGCTGTGCTCCTGAGTGCGGGCCCGACAGGCGCCCACCGCCGCGAACGCGCGCACAGGGGTGGTCGCGGGGCTGCCCTTCGGCGGCCCTGGCCTCGGGCGCTGCTGGGTGGGCGGTAAACAGCAAGAGAAAGGGGCGTCCCAGGCGATGGGGCTCCAGCCACCCGCGGGCAGAGGAGCACGGGGCGGACTGGGGGGGTCCTGGGGGCGCGCGCCCCTTGCCGGGTGAGGGAGGCGGCGGGCGCGGGCAGGGCGGGCCTGGGGCTATGGCTTATATCGGCGTGGGGGCTGCGCTCTGCTCGTCCCTCAGGGGCCTCCGCGGAGGATCTGTAGGGGGAGGGGCGGGGGCTCCGCGGGGCCGCTGTCCCGCGCGCGGCTACTTCTTGAGCATGTCCTGCAGCGGCCCGGGCAGGTACTTGATGACGGTGTCCAGGATGCTCTCGTCCTCCTCCTCCACCTCGTCCCCGCAGCCCGGCGGGATGGCCTTCTTGGGCCGCGTCAAGCTCCCCTCGGAGTTGGCCTCCATGGCGGCCTGGGCCTCGGCCTCGCGCTCCTCCTTCTTCTTGATGCCGTACTGCGGGGGAGGCGGGGGTCAGGGCGGGGGTCCCGGCGGCTCCCGGGCGGGCCGCAGCCTCCCTGCGCCAGGGACTGGCCCAGGAACCCCCGAAGGCGTGGGTGCGGCCCCCTACCCCACCAGGCACACAAGGACCCCAGAAGGAGAAGAGACCCCACCCCGGGGGGTCCCTGGAGGAATGGGAAGCCCCCACGGAGAATGGGGGCCAGGAGCTGACATGGGGGGGAGCAGGGAGGGGGAGGCTCCCATCTTCCTTGAGAGGAGAGAGGGCTGTGGCCCCACCTCTGGCTCCAAACCCAGCCCAGCCCCTGGCATCCTGCCTTCCAGGAAGCCTCCGGCCCGGGGCAGGGAGGGGTGGGCAGGATGCTGCGTGGCAGAGGTGGGGAGAAACAGTCAACCCGCAGCTGACCCTCCTGCCCAGTGCCTGGTCCACGACCTGCATTCACACTCCCGGGCCTGGCCAAGGCTGCCTGGATGCGGCCGCGGCCCCAGCAGGGCCACTCCCTGGCAGGCCGCTGCAGCTCCGTGGGCAGCCGGCAGAGGGTCCTGGGCTGCGGTCACTTCCAGGCACTGGGTGTCCTGGAATCCCGCCTAGTCGTGCCCTCAGCCAGTATGCCTGGGCCTCACCGACCCCCTGCCCACCCGCGTTTCTCATCTCCCGTGAGTGCGTCTGCCCTCCGTAGTAGCTGAATATTGTCCCCCTCAAATTCATATTGCCTGGAGCTTCAAAGGTGATCTCATTCGGAAACAGGTCTTTGTTGATCTCATAATGGTAAGGATGGGGACGAGGCCATCCTGGATTTGAGGGGCCTCAAGTCCAGTGAGAGTGTCCTTGTAAGAGACAGAAAGGACAGACACCCGGATGGGGGCGGGCATACGAAAGCGGAGGAGGTCGCGAGTGGTCAAGAAACACCAGGGATTCGGGGCCGCCAGACGCAGGAAGGGGCAGGGAAGGGCCCTCCCCCAGAGCCTCCAGAGGGAGTGTGGGATTTTGTTCTTCTGCCCTCCAGGCCTCTAAGTTTTTGTCAGGCCCCGGGGTTTTGGTTTCTAGATCAATACGCCTCCCCACGCCACACTCCTCCAGCCCTCCCGTGAGCCACCAGCCCAGGAAGCCTGTGGTCATGGTCAGGCCACGGAACTACGGAACAGCCTCCTGCTGCCCAGGAAGGTGGGAACCAGTGGGGTTGGGCTGGCCTGGAAGGATTGGGGGCCTGGTGTTGTACGGAGCTGGACTTCCATCCCCTGAACAGGACCCCCGGGCCAGGTCCAAGGTCCTGGATCTGAGATTACAGGTGCTCTGGAGTAGTGAAGGCGTCAGCAGCTGCGTCCAGGAGAAAACTTAGGAGGGGAGTGGGCACCAGCACTCTACAGGACGGAGGAGCACACCGCGGGATCACCAGCCACAGGGAGGGGCCTTTCTGCCCAGGAGGAGCCCCTCCCCTGCCATCTCCTGCTCCTGTCTCAGCAGCCCCTCCCCATAGAAGCAGTTGGTTCTGCTCCTGGTGCTGGGCACCCCCTGGATCTCCAAGGAGGCCCCTCCTTCCTCCCAAATGGAGGGGGGGCTGCCTGTGTGCTCCCCAACCCCACCGAGGGCAGTCTCGGCACCTCTCCCCTCCCCTAGGGCTGCAGGTGGCTCTGGGTGTGGGGGGCCAGGGCCACCTTCAGTGAGATGGAAAGGAGGGCGCCACGTTCCCAGCCGCCTGTGGCCAGACCACCACCTGGCCACTGAGGAGAGAGGGGCCGTGGGCTCGCCCTAGTCCTCAGCAGCCCCTGCGCACTCTTGACAGAGCCGGGACTCCAGGGGTCTCCTCAGTGAAACGAAGAGCACAGGGTAGGAACGTTCTCCGCACAACAGGGGCGACACCCAGAGGGCCCTGCAGGCCCAGAACAAAGCCCTGACCCTGTGGGGCAGCAAGAGCAGATTGGTTCTCGTCCTAGCCATCCACAGCGGGAAGGGCAGCAGCTCCAGGCACGGAAGTGGAGGGAGCATGTGCTCTTCGTCCTGTGGGGCCAGGGGTGTGCTGGGGAGAGCGATGCCACTGGAAGCTAGGTCCGGCCAGAGAGCCTCCCTCCAGCCAGGGGTGTGGGGGTCTGTGCATGTGGCGGCAACATGTGTATCCAGCCCAGGAGGCTGTGCTGCCCACAGCAAAAGCACTCAGGAACATGTGTGTGCTCAGAGGAGCATGCCTGTAACGGCGGAACATGAGTTGTGTGAGCAAAGGAACCTCCCAGGTCAGGGGAGTGACCCTTGGGGCTTGTGGGACCCTGTCTGCAAACGGTGTGGGATCCTTCCTTCTGGGCCCAGGAAGGAGACCCCAGGCCCTGCCACCAGGTTGTGGGACACTCGGAGCTTGGCCTGAAGTGCCAGTTGCTGCAGTGAGGCTCCAGGTCATTCTGAGGCTGAGGTCACGCCGGACTTGGCCTGAGGGCCAGGGTCACTCTGCCGGGAAAACAGGCTCCGGGGCTGGGCTGCACACCAGAGCCTGGCTTCCACGTGGTCTGGCTGAGACCCAGTTCTGAGGCGTCTGCTCCAGAGACAAACGCCCAGGCACACCCAGCCCCAGGCCCACCGTGATGCTGGGCAGCAGCTCTCCAGGAAGTAACACCTGAGGATGGGAGTGGCTGCTGGGGGCGCCCAGGAGGCCCTGACACGTCTGAGGTGAGACCCTGAACCCTGAAAACACGGTATTCGTGAGAAAAAAGGGCAGTGGGTGCTAATCAATGCTGAGAACCAACAATAGGAATGATAGGACCAAACAGCCAGCATTCAGCAACCAGGTGGACACCTCCTAGCCGCTGTGGGAGCTGCGGGGGGTAGGGGGATGCAATGTATTGAGGGAGCCTAGTGGGCCCTCAGAAGGCCCGTGCAGGAAGGCCCAGGTGTGGGCTGCCCAACATGGGTGGCTGGAAGCTTATGCAGGACAAGGGCGGGTCAGTGCGCGGAGCACAGCGGGGCAGTCTCCCTCCTGCTCCCTGGGCCCGGGCCTGTCCAGATGGCTGCCTGACAGGAGGTGCAGGCGCGCTGCTCCTCTGGGAACTGCCTAGGGGGCTGGACACTCCAAAAGGACCCAGTCCCCATCTGCACAGAGGCCTTGGACAGGGCAGCTCAGCGTCTCTTCTCTAACCAACCCCCAAGATGCCGGGGGGTGCCACGGCCCAGAGGAGGCTGGAGGCAGCAGGTGTTCTGATCAGGTGGCCACGCCTGAGGGCAGGGTTCCCCCACCCCAACAGGTGGCCACGCCTGAAGGCAGGGTTCCCCTACCCCAACAGGTGGCCACGCCTGAAGGCAGGGTTCCCCCACCCCAACAGGTGGCCACGCCTGAGGGCGGGGTTCCCCCACCCCCCAAAGGCCACGCCTGAGGGCAGCGTTCCCCCACCCCAACAGGTGGCCACGCCTGAGGGCGGGGTTCCCCCACCCCAAAGGCTCTGTGGAGGAGGACTCTGTGGGGAAGGTGTGGACGTGGGGTCCGGGGGGATCCACTTTGGCAGGGCCTCCAGAGCAGAGAGGCTGGTGCTTCCAAGGCCTGAGGGGCCAGTGGGCTGCGGAGGGGGCTGTTCTTGTGGGCAAGTGTGTGGCCTCAATCCCTGCCACCTGCTGTTCTCTGAGGGGCTTAGACCAAGGCAGGATCGCAGGTTGGTGCCTGGCAGCAAGGTCCGGCCAGCTCCCCATAGGCCTGACCGGCGAGCCCTGCACCCCAGCTGCCAGCTCTGGGCCCCACATGGAAGCTGAGGAGGTGCTTACGCTTCCCCCTCTCCTGGGCCTCACTCTCCCTGGCATCTCCCAGTCTCTGGAGGGTGCAGCTGCTGCATCCTGCCCGGGCCACTCGGTCCCTGACGCTGCTGGCCCTGTCCCCACCTCCTTGGGGTCCCCTCAGCCTGCCCTATCCTGCCTCTGGGGACCCTGAGGAATGACATGGCCTGGAACAGCCAGCGTCCCTCTAGGATCATGCCAGCAGAGGCCGGAGCCCAGGGGACCAGACCCACTCCAGAGACACCTCCCTGGATACACGGACCCACACATAGCCCTCCCAGACCCCAGCCCACCATCGCTTTGTGTCCTTCCCTCAGCTGCTACCCACTGCCACCTCCACTTCTACCCAGCGTCAGCTCTCTCTAGCTCTGCCTGGGGCTCTCTCCTCTCTGTTCCCTGTGTCTCGGCCTTGATTGCTGTCTCTCCCTCTCTCTGTGCCTGTCTCTCCTCTCTTTGTCTCTCTCCCCTCTCTCTTTCCCTCTTTTTGTCTTTTTCTCTGTCTCTCCCTCTCTGTGTCTCTGTCTCTCCCTCTGTCTTCTCTCTGTCTCTTTATCTCTGTGTCTCTGTTCCTCTCTGTTCTCTGACTCCCCCTTCCTTCTCCTCCTGTCCCCGTCTCCCGCTCCTGATACCCACAGTCTCCCGAGCACATCCCAGTGGACTGTGGCTGCCTGGCTGAGATGGTGCATTTTCTCCTGACTTCCTCCTGAAGCCCTGGGTCAGCTGCGGGGCGGGGGGCGGGGAGCGGGGGGCGGAGGGGTGGGCTGGAGGCTTGAGCCAGCACAGCAAAGTCGATCAACAGGAGATCCCTGGAAACGTCCAGTGACCCTGGGTGGGATGCCAGGGCGCCCGGCCCCCACTCCCCATCAGCGGCTTCTCTGCACCCTCCAGGGTGCATGGCGGTGGGCGGGGGGCTGCGAGGGACCGGAGGGTGTGGGGAGAATCCGTGGGTGGGGAGGAGCTGGCCTTTTGGGTACAGCGGCTGCATGTGCCGCACCTGCCCCGCCCCTGCCCTCCCAGCTCCACCTCTGTCCACTTCAGGAGCTCCAGCTTCCCCACAACACCCCGTGAAGCCCACCCTTCCCTGGGTGCGGCTGACACAAGGCCAGGAAACGGCTTCTCCACCTGCTCCAGGTGCCGCCGGCAGCAGGGAGGGGTCCCGGGAGTCTGAACCTTCCCACCCCGAAGCCAGGCCATCTTGGCCCATCCAGGGCAGGGGACTGAGGCCACCTTCTGGGAAACACAGCTTCCGGCCTGCTGGGCCTGCTGCGGCCCCTACCCTCGGGGCCAGGGCACGGGGTGAGCACTGCGCCCCAGGCAGCACCCCAGGCCCCTTCTACGTGGGATGTGAACATCTCCCACCATGCCCGCTCACCCCTGGCTGGAGACTCCTCCAGGCTGATGTCTGTGCCCACCCGGCTTCCAGCCAGGGCCGTGCTGGAGCCACCGAGGAAGCCGGAGCGGCTGTCGGGACCCAGGCTGCTCCCTGTGCCTCGTGCCCCTCGGACCTGGCCGCTGAGGGGACCGGGCTGAGTGGGAGTGACCTTGCGTGGCTGTCCTGGTGCTGGCAGCCACTCTGGGCCGCCTCGTGAATCCCAGTGGGTGCCCCCCTCCCTGAGTCCTCACTCCAGGCCGGGCTCACCTGAGAGCGCACCCCCCATGCCAGGTGGCCGCCCCACGACCCCTCGGCCCAGGGCCCCAGGCAGCCAGCCAGGCTCCACGCAGGGCTGCGCATCGGAATGCGGGCCTAGGAAGCCCGCCAGGGCTGGCGCTGTGGTCAGGAGCAGGAGGGGCTGGGCCCCACAGAGGGAGCCCAACCCGGAGCCCCCACCCCTCACCCCTCCGCCACTCTGAAGCCCCCAAAGGGTAGGAGGCCCAGGGGGACGCCCGCCCCTCTTCCGGGCAGCCCCTTCCACCCAGGCGGGATCTGGGTCCCCGCTGGACTCAGGGCCGCCTTCCCGCAGGCGGGGCCGGCCCGGCGCGCACCTTGTCTCGGATGCCCTGGCGCACGGCCTCGCGCTCCGCCTCCATCTTGGCGTACTTGGCCTTGCGCTCCTCCTCCGCCTGGCGCAGCGCCTCCTGCCGCTCCTCCTCCTTCTTGGCGGCGTCTGGGTCCTTCTCCTCGTCACCCCCCAGCATCTTCCCCATGTCCTTGGTGGCCCCTGGTACAGAAGTTGGTGATTCAGACCGCCCCATTCAGATGTCCAGGGCCGGGCTAGTGTCTCAGCCACACTCCCCCACCTTCTGGCCGACCCCCCAAACCCTCCATCCACTCGACCCTCTGGCTGCCCCCACCACCCTCCAGCCGCTCCTCCCACCTCCATCTGGCCCTGACCCTCCTGCCCGGGACCCTCCATCCAGTGTGCTGGGGTCTCCTGCTTTGCTTTCTGTTCCTCAAGAGACACAGGCAACTCCGTGGGGGGAGGGAGAGTGGCGCTGTGGTTGCGCGTCTGTATGCACCTGTGTGTGACTGCGTGCTTATGCGTACGTGTGGCTGTTGTGGTTGTGTTTGTGTGTGCACCACGTGGTCGTACATCTGTATGTGGTTCTGTGTTTGTGTCATATGCATGCCTGGCTGTGTGGTTGTGCATGTGTGTGTGGTTGACTGCATGCGGTTGTGTGATCAGGCTTGTCGTCTTGTGGTTGCGCGTGCAGTTGTGTGTGAGCTTCCAGGGGTTGAAGCGTCTTCTCTGGTCATGTGTCCAGCAGAGGCCTGGCCTCCTGGAGGTGGTGCGGTTCAGCCATCTATGCAGGCAGTGGGTTGAGGGGCAGGGCTGGCTGTCAGAGGCAAGGTCACCAAGTCTGACCCCTGGGGCAGAAGCTGGCATGGGGGCTGGCAGGGGCCCTGCTGGGGCAGGAGCTGGCATGGGGGTTGGCAGGGGCCCTGCTGGGGCTGCAGGGGACCGCTTGTTACTGGCACCCAGGCCCTAATTGCTCTGCGGTGCTAGTCACTACTTTTCTCATGAGCTGCTGATTCACAGGCCCCACAAACACCTCCCTAAACAGCTCTGCAACTCAGCCCACAGGACAGATATGCATAATTACGGGCTCTGAATACAGCAGGCACTGCGGGGAGCCCTGGCCCTCGGCAGCTCCAGAGAGCAGAGCAAGCTGGCTGGACCCAGCACACAGGTGTCACTGAGGGAGGTGACTTGGCAGAGCGGCCAGGCTCCTCCATGGCCACTTATAGCCCTCAGCGTTGCAGGGGTGCTCCTGGACCAGCCTCGTGTGTGTGAGGGGACTCTGGCCACACGTTGCCCCTGCAAATGCCGCTCTCCCCCCGCGGCCACCCGGCCCCCTCTCGAGGTGCTCCTCAGTGGTGAGGCACTGGCTCTGCCCCCTCCTTGAAGGTCTTGCCTCTGGGCTCTGCCCCCTGGATGCCAGACCTCCTAAGGACTGCCCCCGACCAGCTGAGCCCATGCCTCGGGTAGAGATGTCAGGTGAAATTGTGGGTTAGACTAACACCACCCAGCCACTTTCCACCTGGGTCCAGGTGTGCCCCCCACCTCGTTTCTGTGGATTCAGCAGCTCCATGTCCCTGGCGCTCTGGGTTCCCCCTCGCCATTACTATGCTGATACCGGGAAGCTCCGTGCTATACGGAGCCTGGGGCGACGCCCTCGCCTGTAGCTATCTGTGCCAGTGCTGCCTCTGCCAGTCACTCAGGAGTGAGCTCCCTGTCGAGGGTGGGCAGGAGCTGTCATTTGGAAGGCCCGAGCTGTTGGTGGGAGGAGAATAGCTTTTTGGTTGAGTGCTCTGGGCTGAAGGTGTCACTCAGACAGGGCCATGCCTGCATCCTGCAGGCGCCGCCGACTGCACCTGTTTCCCTGCCCCCCATATCCTGGCTGTCTGAAGCTATCACAGGCAGTGGGGTGTGGGGAGAACGAGCCCCTCTTGCTGCCCTCGTCGCTGCTGGGGACAGGCAGGCAGCCTATGCTAGGCACTTGGCTGATAGCACAGATCTGGACTCCTCAACAGAAAGCTAAGAGGCTTGTGGTCAGTTTTCAGCCGCATCTGCCATGTTTTGCAAAGCAGATTTTAGGCCCATGACTCAAGGGAAACTGGGTCACAGTAGAGTTGCTCCTGGATTCTTCTAACAGTCCCCAGTCATTGGACCAAAATCTCTCTGCCTCCAGCGGGCTGTCTCTAGCAGGTGTGTGGGGGAGGCAAGGACAGCCCCCACAGTCCTGACTGCCTTTGTGCAAATCTTAACCCCCATGAGAAAAGCTAATTCACCCTAAAGTGAGTGACCCGTGGCTCTTTCTCCCTCCTGGAAAGGACTGGCGTCTATAAGGAGGTGGGTGAGCCTGGTCTCTCCCCACATTGCTCTCCTGATGGAAGGGGTTCCTGGCAGGGGTGGGGAGCTGCAGGGCTTCTGCAGCTCAGTGGGCTGCCCCTTCCCTCCCCTCCAGCTGATCCCATAGGCTCTGGGTCTGGTCGCGGGAGCCGGCATTTATAGAGCACCAGGTGTGCTGCGCTCTGCTCCAGGGGTGCCTGTGGGGGGCCCTCCCGCTCTGAGAGTGTGGAGGCCCCACTTGAGCCCTGGGCTGGTCCAGGCGCCAAAGGCTTCTGGAAGGCCCACCTCTAAGGAGCCGAGGATTCGTGCTCCCCGCAGGCTGCAAAGCCACTAGGCTCAGAGGGACCCGCCGCGAACCTGGGGAGCGTCACAGATGCCGCCCACGCCCCCCCGCTTTTCGGCCCGGGTACTGCAGGGAGGCGCCTCCAGAACCACTTCCAAAAGCTGGGAATTGGGCGCAGCCAGGAGCGCAACAGAAACTGCGGGAAGCTTGTTCCTGGCACAGAAACCCAAAGTGCCATTTGCTCTCCCGGCACAGACGCCGGAGCGGCGAGACCGGCGCAGAACGGGCGGCCCCGAGCACTGCTGCGACCCCGCCGGCCTCGACCTCGACACCCCGCGACCCCGCCGGACCCTGGAAGCATGAGCTGCATCCCGCATCCGCAGGAGGGCGGCGCTGCGACCCACCCCCGCCCCCGTTTCCAGAGGAGGCCGCTGCGGCGCGGGGCGGTCCCACGTGGTGCCTGAGGCTGGGACACCCCGACTCTGATTGCAGGGGGGTCGGATCCGAGGCTGGGGGTCCCGCAGTCTGGCTGGGGTCCGCTACTGGCCTCGACGTACAGGGGCCGACCCCACCCCTACCTCGTTCTCTGAGCCTCAGCTTCCCCCCGTGAGAGGTGGAGGCGGTGGGGGGGCGCACCGGGCACGACCCCGCGGCAATGACGGGGCTGGCAACGCCCCCCACAGCGGCACAGGCGGATAAACCCTCTGGGGAGGGAGTTCAGTCCCAGCGGGAGGGGCCCTTCCCACCCGGGAGCTCGCCCCAAACCGGGTGGAGAGGGGGTGGGGGGGGGGTGCAGATCGCGGCGCCTCCCTGCCCTCTGGCCCTGCTGAGACTCCACCGCCCACCCCACCTCCCGGTAGCAGAAGGGGCAGAAGCAGAGACGTTTCCTCTGCAGACATCGGGGAGGGTGGGGTCAGGGCCGCGCGTTTCCAGCCCTGAGGCTCTTCCCGGGAACCCACCTCCCAGACCTTTGCTGGAGTGGCACCCACGCTCCCGAGACGCCCAGGCAGTTTCTGGGGGGATCTGCTTATACAGAGCAGCCGCCCCTGAGGTCAAAACCCTGCCCAGGGTTCCCTTACACGGTAAGTACAATGACAATGGCTGCATTCAATTTAGTATACGTTATACATAATGTATATGTAAATACTACATCCATTAAAGTTGATTTTTAAAGCTTCATTTTGAAATAATTGTAGATTTACGGAAGAGTCACAAAGATTGTATAAGAGGGCTCCCTAGACGCTGACATTGCAGCCACCGAGTGTTCGTCAAAGCTGAGACCTGGACATGGTACCAGCGACCACCCCACTGAAGACTTCATGTGGGCCTCACCACTTTTCCAGATCCGCCTCCCGGGTTCACGCAATTCCCTTGCCTCCGCCTCCTGAGTACCTGGGACTACAGGCACGCGCCACCACGCCTGGCTAATTTTTGTATTTTCAGTAGAGACGGGTTTCACCGTATTGGCCAGGGTGGTCTCGAACTCCTGACTGCCTGATCCGCCTGCCTCGGCCTCCTAAAGTGCTGGGATTACAGGCATGAGCCACTGCACCCAGCCCAATGTTAATTTTTAAGAATGGAAAAATGCTTTTTAACTTGAAATAAAACTACGGGGAAAATTATAGAATTGAATGAAAAATTAAACAATATCTAAATAAAGAAAGACACTTGTTATTTTTCTGGCCAGGGTAACTCCACACGTAAAGACGTCCATCCTCCCCAAACTCCGAAGAATTAAGAAGAAAATTCTGTGAAATCTGACAAGCTGAGTGTTGCATACAGACCTGCAAAAGGCCCATTTGCCAGGACAGACACCTGAAGGAAAAAGAGGAGAGTGAGGTCCACCAGATACCAAGACAGAATGATGATGGTGCAGTGGGAGGAAGACAGACAACGGGCCCAGAGTGGGGAGCCCATCCCCAGACCCCCACAGACACAGGACCCCCACGTGGGACCAGAGACAGAGGTGGAGGCTCAGGACCCTGGAGAAAGAATGCAGTATCCCCAGATGGGACAGGATACTTAATGGGAAAGAATAAAACTGGACCCCTGCACAACACACAGACACATTCTTATTGATTGTAGAACTAAACATGAATCCCAAATAAATGTAGGCAAAGAAAAACACAGTCCTTGCCACTCTCTGGCCCGTCACCAGCTGTATTTCCCTTTGTAGTTGTCCATTACCTGAAATGGTGCCATCTGTTGTTTGTTTGCTTCTGATTGCCAGTCTGCTAACAGAAAGCCCCATGGGAGCAGGCAGTCAGCTCGGAGCTGCAGCCCTGGCACCTAGAGCAGAGCCTGCCACACAGCAGGTGCTCAGCAAATAGTCTAGCTCTGTCGCCCAAGCTAGAGTGCAGTGGCAGGATCTCAGCTCACTGCAACCTCCACCTCACGGGTTCAAGTTATTCTCCTGCCTCAGCCTCCCAAGTAGCCAGGATTACAGGCGTCTGCCACCATGCCTAACTAATATTTGTATTTTTAATAGAGACGGGGTTTCACCGTGTTGGTCAGGCTGTTCTCGAACTCTTGACCTCCTGATCCACCCGCCTCGGCCTCCCAAAGTGCTGGGATTACAAGCGTGAGCCACTGAGCCTGGCCACAACCTGACTTTAAGACTTACTGTAGGCCGGGCGCGGTGGCTCACGCCTGTAATCCCAGCACTTTGGGAGGCCAAGACCGGCGGATCACGAGGTCAGGAGATCGAGACCATCCTGGCTAACACAATGAGACCCCGTCTCTACTAAAAATACAAAAAAGTAGCCGGGCATGGTGGCGGGCGCCTGTAGTCCCAGCTACTCGGGAGGCTGAGGCAGAATGGTGTGAACCCGGGAGGCGGAGCTTGCAGTGAGCCAAGATCGCGCCACTGGACTCCAGCCTGGGCAACAGAGCGAGACTCCGTCTCAAAAAAACAAAAAGACTTACTATAATCAAGGCACTATGGTATAAACAAAAGAACAGACATATAGGCCAGGCACAGTGGCTCACGCCTGTAATTCCAGTACTTTGGGAGGCCGAGGTGGGTGGATCACCTGAGCTCAGGAGTTCAAGACAAGCCTGATGGACATGGTGAAACCCCGTTTCTACTAAAAATGCAAAAATTAGCTGGGTGTGGTGGCGTGTGCCTGTAATCCCAGCTACTTGAGAGGCTGAGTCAGGAGAATCACTTGAACCCAAGAGGTGGAGGTTGCAGTGAGCCGAGATGGCACCACTGAACTCCAGCCTGGGTGACAGTGAGACTCCGTCTCAAAAAAAAAAAAAAAAAAAAGAACAGACATCTAGATCAATGGAAAGTATAGAAAGTCCAGAAATAGACCCATACATATATTGTCAATCGATTTTTGACAGAGCTGCAGAGGGAATTCAATGAGGGTGAGGATAGTCCTTACTTCTGTTTTCTTTTCTTAGACAGGGTCTTGCTCCGTTGCCCAGGCTGCAATGCAGAGGCTCAATCATAGCTCACTGCAGTCTCAACTTCCTGGGCTCAACTGATCCTCCCACCTCAGCCTCCCATGTGCCACCATGCCCAGCTAATTTTTTAAAAACATTTTTTGTAGAGACAAGGTCTCACTATGTTGCCCAGGTTGGTCTCGAACTCCTGGGCTCAAGTGATTTGCCTGCCTCAGCCTCCCGAAGTGCTGGGATTGCAGGCGTGAGCCACTGTGCCCGGCCAGATAGTGCTTTCAGAAGCGCACTGGCTCAATTCAATATCCATGTGCAAAATAAACACATATGTAAATGTTTTCCTTTACCTGACACTTTATATAAAAATGAACTCACAATCAATCATAGATCTAAATGTCAAAGCTGAAATTATACAACTTCTAGAAGAAAACAGAAGAGAAAATTTCTGGGACTTTGGCTTAAGCAAAGATTTCTTATATAAGTGACAAAAGCATAAATCTTAAAAAGAAAAATTGATAAACTGAATTTCATCAACATTAAACATTTTTGCTCTTCTGCGATATTATGAGATATATATATATGTTTTCATCTATGGCTCCTGCCTCTCACTCCCATGGCCCTTGTTATAATGTTGGGGCCCTTTAGAATCAGGAAACAGAACCCCTCTCTCTGACCTTCTGCCCTCTTTTCACCTGTGCAGGGCAGGACTCAAATCTTCCCCTGACTTCCTGTTGGTGAGTCATAAGCCCTCATTTCAGAAGGGGCCCTGCCCCGTGCCCTGGAGGAAGGAACGCTACAGAGAGAGGCCAAGAGGAATCTGGACAGGCCTTGCTGGGTTTAGATCACACCCTTTTCATCGGTCGCATTTCTACGGGGACGTCCATGCTTCTTCCACCATGCCTATCCGATGGAGTCTCCTCAAGAGGCGGGGTTCAGGAGCTTCCAGAGAGCTGGGCACATGGAGGCTGGAAGGAAGGCGAAGAACTCATCCACGTGCCAGGAGGGTAGCACCCCAGCTCCACGGGGTGGAAGCTCCTCAGAAGGGTGGCACCCCAACTCCACAGGGTGGAAGCTCCTATCCTTGGGACCCTTCAGGCCTGGCCATGTGTCTCTTCATCTGGCTATGTGTATCCTTGAAAATATCCTCTGTAGGCTGGGCATGGTGGCTCACACCTGTAATCCCAGCACTTTGGGAGGCCGAGATGGGCGGATCACCTGAGGTCTGGAGTTCGAGACCAGCCCAGTCAACATGGTGAAACCCCGTCTCTACTAAAAATACAAAAATTATCCAGGCATGGTGGCATGTGCCTGTAATCCCAGCTACTCAGTAGGCTGAGGCACAAGAATTGCTTGAACCCAGGAGGCAGAGGTTGCAGTGAGCCGAGATTGCACCATTGTACTTTAGCCTGAGCGACAGAGGCAGGCTCCGTCTCAAAAAATAAAAAATAAAAAGATCCTCTGTAATAAACCATAGGCATATGTTTCCCTGAATTCTGTGAGTTGCTCTAGGAATTAAACCCAAGAGGGGTCGCATGAACCCCAACTCGAAGCCGGTCGTTCAGACATTCTAGGGTCCTGGACTTGCGACTGGTGGGATGGAGGGGGCAGCCTTGTGGGACTGAGCCCTCAACGTGGGGTTTCTGAGGCTGTCTCCAGGTAGACAGCATCAGAATGGAATTGAATTGGAGAACACCCTGCTGTTGTCCACTGCCGGACTGACTGCTTGCTTGGTGGGTGGGGAAAACCTTCATACATTTGGTCACAGACATCTTCTGTGTTGATTATCCTTGTGGAGTGAGGGCAAAGGGAAAAACAGTTTGAGTTTTTCTTAACATCTTCAAAAGACACTGTCTTAAAAAATGAAAAGGTACACCACAGGCTGAGAGAATATATTTGCAAACCACACATCTGATAAAGATCTTAGGCCGGGCGCAGTGGCTCACGCCTGTAATCCCAGCACTTTGGGAGGCCAAGGCGGGCAGATGAATTGAGGTCAGGAGTTCGAGACCAGCCTGGGCAAAATGGGGAAATCCCATCTCTACTAAAAAATATATATATATATACACACACATATACACACACAGACACATATATGTGTATATACATACACACACATGTATGTATATATAAATATATGTGTGTGTGTGTGTATATATATGTATATATATATATATTAGCCAGACATGGTGACGGGCAACCGTAATCCCAGCACTTTGGGAGGCCAAGGCGGGCAGATGACTTGAGGTCAGGAGTTCGAGACCAGCCTGGGCAAAATGGGGAAACCCCGTCTCTACTAAAAAAAAAAATATATATATATATATATATACACACACATATACACACACAGACACATATATGTGTATATACATACACACACGTATGTATATATAAATATATGTGTGTGTGTGTGTATATATATGTATATATATATATATATATTAGCCAGACATGGTGACGGGCACCCGTAATCCCAGCTACTTGAGAGGCTGAGGCAGGAGAATTATTTGAACCCTGGAGGTGGAGGTTGCAGTGAGCCAAGATCGTGCCACTGCACTCTAGCCTGGGCGACAAGGCAAGACTCTGTCTCAAAAAAACAAAAGGTTGGCCGGACGCAGTGGCTCACACCTGTAATCCCAGCACTTTGGGAAGTCGAGGCGGGCAGATCACGAGGTCAGGAGATTGAGAATAGCCTGGCTAACATGGTGAAACCCCATCTCTACTAAAAAAAAAAAAAATGCAAAAATTAGGCAGGCGTGGTGGCACGTGCCTGCAGTCCCAGCTACTAGGGAGGCTGAGGCAGGAGAATTGCTTGAACCTGGGAGGTGGAGGTTGCAGTGAGCCGAGATCGGGCCACTGCACTCCAGTCTGGGTGACAGAGCGAGACTCTGTCTCAAAAGAAAAAAAAAAGTCTTATATTCAGAATACACAAAAAACTCTTACAACTCAATAACAGGAACACAAACAACCTGATTTTTAAAGTGGACAAAAGACATTTCACCAAAGAAGAGAAACAGATGGCAACTAAGTATAGTCATGGACCATGTAAAGCAACATGATGTCGCAGCCATTGTAAGGTGTACCACGTGGTACCTTTTCTATGTTTAGATGTGCTTAGGTACGCAAATACTCACCACTGTGTTACAACTTCCGTGCCATTCAGGCAGTCACGTGCTGTGCAGGGTTGTGCCCGGGAGCACCAGGCTACCCCCAACAGCCTGGGCGTGCAGGGTTGCTCCATCTGGGTGTGCAACAGTGCACTCTTTGATGTTCGCACAGCAACAAAGTCACCTAATGACACAGTCCTCAGAACTTGTCCCTTTCGTTACATGATGCATGACTGCACGAAAAGACACACGTGGCTGTTACAAATAAAGTTGATCGACGTGTCAGTCATAAGGGAATTCAAACTTAAATCACACAGAGATACCACCACATTCCTACTCAAATGTCTGAAATTAAAAAGACTGACTGTGCTAAGTGTTGGCAAGGAACACTGGTGGAGGAACTGGAACACTCATGCATACTTGTGGGAAGGTAAATGCTACAACCACTTTGCCAACAGTTGAGCATTTTCCTGTACAACTGAACATGCCACCAAATGACCCAGAAATTCCACTCCTAGGTGTTTACCCAAGAGAAACAAACACTTAAGTTCACACAATGGCAGGAACAGGAATGTTCATGGTAGTTTCATTTGTAACAGCCAAAACCAGAAAGCAACTCAAATGTCCATCAACAGGTGAATAGACAAACTGTGGTATGTCCACACAGGTAGCATCACTTAGCAACAGAGACAGATGAATTGCTGATACACCAAACAACACGGGAGAATCTCAAAGTCTTTATGCTGAGTGTAAAAGGCCAGATACAAATTATTTAATTTCATGTATGTACATTTGGGTGCAAACTAATCTACAGTGACAGAAAGAAAATGTAGATTGCCTGGGGCCAGGCAGACTTAACCACGGTGATGGTGAAACTCATTGGAGTGTACCCTTAAGAGGGCAATGGTTATTGAAAATAAATTGCACCACTATCAAATTGATCAGAAGCCCTAACAAATTAAAAGCTAGAGATATTACAGGCCATTTTCCCTGATCATAATCTAATCAAGTTACAAATACTAAAAACATGACCAAATCACTAAGTATGGAAGCCCAAATATTAGAAACAAGGACGTAAGTAACCCTTCAACTGAAGAGGAAATAAAAACTGAAAGTGTAAAAATTCCAGAAAGCAGCTGGGCGTGGTGGCTCACACCTGTAATCCCAGCACTTTGGGAGGCCAAGGTGGGAGGATCAAAAGGTCAGGAGTTTGAGACCAGCCTGGCCAACATCGTGAAACCCCATCTCTACTAAAAAAGATACAAAAATTAGCTGGGCTTGATGGCACATGTCTGTAATTCCAGCTACTCAGGAGGCTGAGGCAGGAGAATTGCTTGAACTCGGGAGGCAGATGTTGCGGTGAGCCGAGACTGCGCCACTGTACTCCAGCCTGAGCATTAGAGTGAGACTCTGTCTCAAAAAAAAAAAAAAAAAATTCCAGAAAGCATGAAAGATAAACACTAGGCGTCTGAACTTAGGGTCCAGGGCTAAAACTTTTTTTGGGAGGAAATTCATAGTCCTTCATTTTAAGGAAGAGCAGAAAGTATAGGAACTTCATTGCCATCTTAAGAAATTTAAAAGAAACAAAACAAAATAATCCCAAATAAGACAGGAAGAGATAATTAATGAAGAGAAAAGCAGAAAATGGACAATGGTAAACAGTAAATCTGCCTGCAGTAAGACCGAGGGCATGACACACAGCTGCCGCTGCGATTCTGCGCTGTTTCGAAGGGTCCAGTGAAGCGCATGAAAAGATAAGACACAGTCATGTGCCACATAAGGCCGTTTCAGTCAACAGCAGGCCGCATGTACGACAGTGCCCTGGAAGGCGACAGCACCGAATTCTCACGGTGCCTTTTCTTTCCTTTTTTTTTTGAGACGGAATCTCGCTCTGTCGCCCAGGCTGGTGTACAGTGGCGCCATCTCGGGTCACTGCAAGCTCCGCCTCCCAGGTTCACGCCATTCTCCCGCCTCAGCCTCTGGAGTAGCTGGGACTGCAGGCGTCCGCCACCGCGCCCGGCTAATTTTTTGTATTTTTTTTTTTTAGTAGAGACGGGGTTTCACCGTGGTCTCGATCTCCTGACCTCGTGATCTGCCCGCCTCGGCCTCTCAAAGCGCTGGGATTACAGGCGTGAGCCACCGCGCCCGGCCTTCTTTCTTTCTCTTGAGACCTGTTGTCCAGACTGGAGTGCAATGGCGTGATCTTGGCTCGCTGCAACCTCCACTCCTGGGTTCAAGCCATTCTTGTGCCTCAGCCTCTCAAGTAGCTGGGATTACAGGCGTGTGCCACCACGCCTGGCTAATTTTTGCATTTTTAGCAGAGATGGGGTTTCACCATGTTTGGCCAAGCTGTTCTCAAACTCCTGACCTCAAATGATCCACCCACCTTGGCATCCCAAAGTGCTGAGATTACAGGCGTGAGCCACCACGCCTGGCCTCACGGTGCCTTTTCTATGCTTAGGTGCACAGCCTCACCCTGGTGCTGCCGCTACTGCGGTGTTCAGTGAGATGTGTGTTGTGCAGGTTTGCAGCCGGGGAACAATGGTTGCACCACACGGCCTGGGCGTGCAGGAGGCTGCATCATCTAGGCTTGTGAAGGGAGATTCCATGACAGTCCCACAGCCACGAACGTATTCCCGTCAACACAGGATGGTAATAAGAGTTATAAAAGAAGACAGCCAATTATCTCTTTCTCCGTCTCTCCCACCTCTCTTCCTGATGACACGATCCTATCTCTGAGAAACTCAAGACAGTGCAGTAAAAACCTACCAGAACACATCATGGGATGTGGCAGCATGGCTAAATACAATATCCATACTTCCGAATTAATAGTTTTCCCCCACACTGTCAAGAACAAGCTAGAAACAGGAACAGGAATGACGTTCCACTTACAATAATGAGGAAAACACACAATAAGTACGAAAATATAACCTACTTAGAAATAAAAGGGAAGTCTATAGAACCTATATCAGAAAAAAATCATGGATTTAAATCGTACGGTTTTGGAAAGACATGCCAGATTCTTGGTGGGCAGGCTTAATATCATAATGACGTCAGCCGCATCAACAATAATGTGCAATTGTATGTAATCCGGATCGCACCTTCAGCTTAAACTCCAACGCTTTTGTTCTTTTTGGGGCTTTGGATAAAATTAAGGTTCATATGGCAGAATTGATGTCAGAGGAGACTCAACCCAAGTGTCACAAAGAAGTGAAAACGCACCTTGCGGGGGCTCGGGAAGTGCCTGCAGAGTCCCAGAGACGGCTCTGGCGGTCGTCAGCCTGGAGGCCGGCAAGCGTGGGGAGCGACGTGCTCAGCCTCCACGGGAAAGGTGGGCGGCGGCAGCCATTTTGGAACGCAGGCGGCAGCCATTTTGGAACGCAGTGCGTCGCCGCGAGCACGTGCGGAGTTCACCCGGCGTCCCACTCCTGCGCGGCGGCCGGCTAGGGCGGGTGCTCCTCTGTGGAGAAACGTGCCCACGCACGCTCGCGCACCGTCTGTCTCGGCAGCGGCCCTGGCGTGTGGCTGGAGACAAGGTGATATCTTGGGCGTGTGGCCATACGCCCATCGCACATCCACACAGGGAAGCCCGGGGCCTGGAGCGGGAGGGAGGGGCTGCTGTGGGCGCTGCAGCCGGAGAGCCACAGGCAGACAAACGCGCCGCAGAGCCCATGTTTGGAAGGCAAAAAGGAAAAACAATCATGTATGAATATACCCCTGTTGTTAGGATTATCTAAAGATAGAAGGAGGATCGGAGGGTTACACACGAGGTTCACACCGAACCCAAACCCTGAAAAACCTAACAGGTGTTCCTTTGAAGCTCTCATGGAATGCTTACAAGGGCCAGGTGTCAGTCTGCACCACAATGAGATACCGGCTCACACCCACTCAGACGGCTGTTATCAAAAACCAGGAAATCACAAGTGTTGGCAACAATGTGAAGAAACTGGAACCCTGTGCCTTGTTGTTGGGAATGAGAAACAGCACAGCTGCTGTGGAAACAGTCTGGCTGTTCCTCAAAAAATTAAACATAGAATTGCCATATGATCTAGCGATTCCATTTCTGGGTATAGACCCACAAGAACTGAAAGCAGAGTCTCTCACAGATACCTCCATACCCCTGTTCATAGCAGCATTAACCACAATAACCAAGAGGGAGAAACAACCCAGGGTGTCCATCAGCAGATGAATGGACAAGCACAATGTGGTGTAGACAGAATGGAATATTATGCAGCCTTAAAAAGGAATTAAGTTCCAACACAAACTGCAACATGGATGAACCTTGAGGACACTATGCTAAATGAAATAAGCCAGACACAAAAAGACAAATACTGTAAGATTCCACTTAGATGAGGTCCCTAGAGTAGCCAAATTCATTGAGACAGGAAGTAAAGTGGTGGGTGCGAGGGGCTGGGGGAAGGAGAGTGGGGAGTGAGTGTTTAGTGTAGACAGAGTTTCAGTTGGAAATGATGAAAAGTTCTGGAAATAGAGGTGTTAGTTGCACAACATTGTGATGTACTTAATGCCACTGAATTGTGCACTTAACATAATTTAAATGGTAAATTTTATGCTATATATTTTACCACAAAAAAGAGAAGCATATACCTGACTTCAAACTATACTACAAGACTACAGTAACCAAAACAGCATGGTACAGGTACAAAAACAGACACGTAGACCAATGGAACAGAATAGAGAACTCAGAAATAAGCCTGCACACCTACAATCATCTGATTTTCAACAAACCTGACAAAAACAATGAGGAAAGGATTCCCTATTTAATAAATGGTGCTGGGAGAACTGGCTAGCCATCTGAAGAAAATGGAAACTGGACCCCTTCCTTACACCTTATATAAAAATTAACTCAAGGTGAATTAAAGATTTAAATGTAAAACCCAAAAGTATAAAAACCCTAGAAGAAAATCTAGGCAATACCATTCAGGACATAGGCAAGGTTGAGAATTTCATGATGAAAACATCAAAAGCAATTGTAATAAAGCAAAAATTGACAAGTGGGAGCTAATTAAAGAGCTTCTGCATAGCAAAAGAAACTATCATCAGAGTGAGCAGACAACCTACAGAATTGGAGAAACATTTCTCAATCTATCCATCTGACAAAGGTCTAATGTCCAGAATCTACAAGGAACCCAAACGAAAGACATTTATGCAGCCAACAAACCTGTGAAAAAAAGCTCAACATCACTGATCACTAGAGAAATGCAAATCAAAACTACAATGAGATACCATCTCATACCAGTCAGTATGGTGATTAAGATTAAAAAGTCAAGAAACAACAGATGCTGGGAAGGTTGCAGAGAAATAGGAACACTTTTATACTGTTGATGGGAGTGTAAATTAGTTCAACCACCGTGGAAGACTGTGGCGATTCCTCAGAGACCTAGAACCAGAAATACCATTTGACTCAGCAATCCCATTACTGGGTATATACCCAAAGGAATATAAATCATTCTATTTTAAGATATATGTACGTGTATGTTCATTGCAGCATTATTCACAATAGCAAAGATAGGGAATCAACCCAAATGCCCATCGATGATAGACTGGATAAAGAAAATGTGGTACATATACAACATGGAATACTACACAGCCATAAAAAAGAATGAGATCATGTCCTTTGCAGGGATAGGAATGGGGCTGGAAGCCATTATCTTCAGCAAACTAACACAGGAACAGAAAACCAAACACCGCATGTTCTCACTCGTAAGTGGGAGTTGAACATTGAGAACACATGGACACAGGGAGGGGAAAAACACACACTGGGGCCTATGGAGCAGGGGAAGAGAGAGCATCAAGAAAAATAGCTAATGCATGCTGGGCTTAATACCTAGGTGATAGGCTGGCAGGTGCAGCAAACCATCATGGTACACGTTTACTACCTATGTAACAAACCTACACATCCTGCACATGTATC
Source organism: Homo sapiens (assembly GCF_000001405.40). Lineage (NCBI taxonomy): Eukaryota > Metazoa > Chordata > Mammalia > Primates > Hominidae > Homo > Homo sapiens. The sequence continues at coordinate 807,466 of NC_000004.12, forward strand.
CCGGAACTTAATTTTTTTTTTTTTTGAGATGGAGTTTCATTCTTTGTTGCCCTGGCTGGAGTGCAGTGGCACAATCTCGGCTCACTGCAACCTCTGCCTCCTGGGTTCAAGAGATTCTCCTGCCTCAGCCTCCCAAGTAGCTGAGATTACGGGCAGGTGCCACCATGCCCGGCCAATTTTTTTTTATTATTATTTTTAGTAGAGATGGGGTTTTCACCATGTTGGTCAGGCTGGTCTCAAACTCCTGACCTCAGGTGATCCGCCGTCCTCGGCCTCCCAAAGTACTGAAATTACAGGCGTGAGCCACCTTGCCTGGCCTTAAATTTTTTTTAAAACAGAGAAGCATAAATTTTAAATGATTTATAATCTCACCTGTCAAAAAAATGTTAGGCCACCTCTGTTGACATTTGTCTTTCTTGATATATTAATCTCAATATGTTTTCCAGAGCAGAAATAAGGCTGCATGCTTTGGCTCAGAGTCATGGCACAGGTGCAGCACAACCAGGAATAAAAAATCCTTGGCTGGGTGCGGCGGTCACACCTGTCATCCCAGCACTTGGGAGGGTGAGGTGGCTGGATCGCTTGAGCCCAGGAGCTCAAGATCAGTCTGGGTAACATGGCAAAACCCTGTCTCCACAAAAAAATTATGAAAAATTCGCCAGGCATAGTGGCACACACCTGTTGTCTCAGCTACCTGGGAGGCTGAGGCGAGAGAATTTCTTGAGTCTGGGAGGTGGAGGTTGCAGTGAGCTGAGACCCTGGCTCAATAAATACATAAATAAATAAATAAATAAAAATAAATAAAAATCCTCCTCCTGGGCCCTTGTAAATGTAACATCTCTCTAACAACAAACGAGTTGGAAAATATTAAAACCACGGTTACCACATCTCCAGGAACTGGATGTATCGAGGCCTCAATCCAGCGGCATGTCAGGGGTGGCCCATGCTGTTCATTCCCTGAAACGCTCACGCTCCCGGCAAGCCCAGGCATACACAGCAAAAAACACCTCACTCCAATTGCCACAGAAAAAGCAACCAAACAAACCAAGGCAGGCAGAGGAAAGGAGTTTGCAAAGCTAACGGCAAAACGAATCCGTCCAGAAAGACAAATGTCAAAAGAGTCAGCGGTTCAGGAGGTGGGTCTTGAACCTCCCATAAAACAGGCATCAGGCAGCTGCTCAGAGTGAGAAGACAGAAAGAAGCCTGGGACACACAAAACGAGGGGAAACGATTGAGAACTAGCCACACCCAGACAGGAAATAAGATGGTCAAATAATATTTTACACACACTTTCCTAATACACTTAAAAACTTGAATGAAATGGATTGTCTTTAAAACCCGTTGTAAAAAATCTGAGAACGATGTCTAAGAATTCACAGATGGATTCTTTCAAACATTCAAGAAACAGATAATTCCAATGATATTTAGAATGTTCTTGGAACGGAGAAAAAGAAGGAAATCCTCTGGGTTATTTTTGTGAAATTAACATAAGAGCAATGCCAAAAATTGGTGGAGAGATAGCGATAGAGATAGAGAGCGCGCGAGTGCGCGGGCGGCAGGCCGGGCTCCAGCGAGAATGTCAGTGCTGAACGCTGGGCCAGAGCGGGAGGAGAGTCTGGCGTTCCATGGGAAACACAGTGAGTACTCAGTGGGGCTCATTTTAGCAAAGTGAGGATGGTTCAATATTCAAACACGATTATGCTCCTCACGCTGTGAACCGTATCTTGCGGTTGCTATTCTCAGGGCTGGCGGGTGGCTCTCGCCACCCCACGTCCTCGCCTATAGACAGTGGAACGGTGATGACTCCCCAAGGCCCCTTCAGCCTTGGGTAGGGCAGGAGTGCACGGGGTGGGGCCCGGCCAAAGCTTCTCATTCTCCCCCAGAAAGGGGCCCTATGGCTGCCAAGCCTCTGCCCTGTCTCACGCCCTTACTGAAACGGGCCCTGTGGCTGCTGAGCCTCTGCCCTGCCTCGTGCCCTCAAGGAAACGGGCCCTGTGGCTGCTGAGCCTCTGCCCTGCCTGCTGCCCTCACTCAGCCTTGAACACGGACACATGGCCTGAGGGGGTGGGGGGGACCTCAGGCCGTGGGGGCCACATGTGTGACCACTTCATGACCATCACAAAGGTAGGCGTCCTCCGTAACTCTCAGAACCCAACTTTTAAACAGCTTTATGGAGGTAACTGACATACCCTAAGTCTGTTTTGACGCATGTATATGTGTATGAAGCCATCACCACAATCAAGACAGTGGACACGTCCAGCCCTCGGGTTTCATGGTGGCCTGTGTGGCCCCTCCCACCCACCACTCCAGCCACTGACCTACTTCCTGTCACTATGGATTATGGGCTTTCTCTAGAACTTTATATAAAGGGGCACACACAATACGTGGTATCTGCAGCAGGCGGGGGGACTGGCCCGGTTACTGAGTTCGCTGCTTTCTGGGACACCCCATCACACCAGCAGCTCACCCCTCTCCATGCTGAGCAGGACCCCACGGTGTGGATGCACACGGCTCCTTCACCCGCCCACCTGTGTGTGAACCGTGGGTTGTTCCTGCACACGTCTGTGTGGATCTGCACTTTCTTTTTTTTTTTTTTTTTTTTGAGATGGAGTCTCGCTTCGTTGCCCAGGCTGGAGTGCAGTGGCATGATCTCAGCTCACTGCAAGCTCCGCCTCCTGGGCTCACACCATTCTCCTGCCTCAGCCTCCCAAGTAGCTGGGATTACAGGCGCCTGCAACCACGCCCGGCTAATTTTTTGTATTTTTAGTAGAGACGGGGTTTCACCATGTTAGCCAGGATGGTCTCGATCTCCTGACCTCGTGATCCACCCGCCTCGGCCTCCCAAAGTGCTGGGATTACAGGCGTGAGCCACCACGCCCGGCCTTGGGTCTGCGCTTTCATTTCTCTTGGGTCAACGTCTAGGAGCAGAATTGCTCAGCTGTGTATTAAATTTCTATTTTGCTTTTTAAGAAACAGCCAAGCTGTTTTCCAGTGCGGTTGTGCCATTTTAAGCTCCCACTGGAGAGCATGAGGGCGTGGGTTTCTCCACATGCGTGAGTGGCTCTGTTGACTCTGGTCACCCTAGTGGGTGTGGCAGCATCTCGCTGTGGTGTGTCCCCGTGACCAGCACTGCCGAACATCTTCATATATCCTTAATAATCATTCCTTTAATTCCCGTATCTTCTTTGGGGGAATATCTATTCAAATCTTTTGCACATTTTCTTTTTTCTTTTTCTTTTTTTTTTTTCGAGATGGAATTTCACTCTTGTTGCCCAGGCTGGAGTGCAATGGCGTGGTCTTGGCTCACTGCAACCTCCACCTCCTGGGTTCAAGTGATTCTTCTGCCCCAGCCTCCCGAGTAGCTGGGATTACAGGTGCCCGCCACCACACCTGGCTAATTTTTGTATTCTTAGTAGAGGCAGGTTTTCACCATGTTGGCCAGGATGGTCTCGAACTCCTGAGCTCAGGTGATCCGCCCGCCTCAGCCTCCCAAAGTGCTGGGATTACAGGTGTAAGCCACCACGCCCAGCCTCTAATTTCCCTTTTTTATAAGAGGTGGGACCTTGCTCTGTCACCCAGGCTGGAATGCAGTGGTGAGATCATGGCTCACTGCAGCCTTGAACTCTTGGGCTTAAGTGATCCTCCCACCTCTGCCTCCCAAGTAGTTCAGACAACAAGGGCACACTGCCATGCCCAGCTAATTTTTAAATTTTTTATAGAGATGGGATCTCCCTACATTGCCCAGGTTGTCCAGGCTGGCCTCAAACTGCTGAGCTCAAGTGATCTTCCCACCTTGGCCTCCAATCAGCTAGTGCTACAGGTGCATACCACTGTGCCCAGCCAATTTTTTTTTTATTTTTCATAGAGATGGGATCTTGCTCTGTTGCCCAAGCTGGCCTGGAACTCCTGGCCTCAGGCAATCCTTCCTCCTTAGCCTCGCAAAGTGTTGGGATTACAGACATGAGCCACTGCACCCAGCCTCTAATTTCCACTTTGATTTCTTCCTTGGCTCGTGGGCTATTTAGAAGTGTGTTGTTTAGTTTCCAACTATTTGGGAGATTTTCTAGATACCTTTCTGTCTTTATTTCTCATTGCATTTCATTGTAGTTGGAGAATATATTTGCATGACTTGAACCCTTTCACGTGCACTGAGACTTGTTTCAGGGCCTCGAATATGGTGTGTCTTGGCAAATGCTCCATGTGTGCCTGAAAAGAAGAAGGACTACTCTGCTGTTGCTGCTCAGAGCGTCTGTGAACATCAAGCAGGTCAGCCTGGCTGGCTGTGCTGCTCAAGTCCTGTCTGTCCTTCCTGCTTCTCTGTCCTTTGAGTTGAGTATCTCCAGCTCAAACAGTGGGTTTGTATGTTTCTCCTGTGACCTCCTTCTGTCTTTGCTGACGTATGTTGGAACTCAGCTGTCGGGTGTAGAAGCAGTTGAGACCATGATGTCCTCTTGATTAGCTGACCTCTTAATCACCAGGAAATGACTTCCTTCATCCCTGGCAATATTTCTTGCACTGAAATCTCCTTGGTCTTATATTAATATAGCCACTCAAGTTTTCTTCTTATTTTTTCCCTATCTTTTCACTTTTACCTGACTAGAGTCTTTATATATTTATTTATTTATTTGAGACAGAGTCTTGCTCTGTCACCCAGGTTGGAGTGCAGTGGTGCGATCTCAGCTCACTGCAACCTCTGCCTCCTGGGTTCACATGATTCTCCTGCCTCAGCCTCCCGAGTAGCTGGGACTACAGGCGCCCGCCACCACGCCCCGCTAAATTTTTGTATTTTTAGTAGAGACAGGGGTATCACCATGTTGTCCAGGATGGTCTTGATCTCCTCACCTCAGGTGATTCAGTTGCCTCAGCCTCCCAAAGTGCTGGGATTACAGGCAGGAGCCACCGCACCCAGCAGAGTCTTTTTATATTTAAAGTGGGTTTCTTGTATGTAGCACAGAACTGGATCTTGATTTTTTATCCAATCTGACAATTCTGCTTTTTAATGAGAGTGTTCCCAACAGACAGAGAAGAAAAAGTCATAAATCAAAGGGCGTCCATCAGAGTAATAAAAAGGGTATGGGCTTGAGTGTGGGGAAATTATCTTCAGACAGAATACCGCTCGAATCCCACCTAGCAAAGTTCCAAAATAAGAGAGGAAAGGACCAAACTCTTTCTAAGTGACTTGACCATATCAAGAGCAAAACTCAAGAATATACTTAGGGGCCAGGCACGGTGGCTCACGCCTGTAATCCCAGCACGTTCCTAATGCTGGGCATCCTAACGCTGCGTGTCCTAACGCTGGGTGTCCTAACACTGAGCATCCTAATGCTAACGCCCGGTGTCCTAACGCTGCCTGCTCTAATGCTGGCTATCCTAATGTCCTAACGCTGGCCGTCCTAATGCCAGGCACCCTTACAAATGATAGTGTACTGAGTTTTGTTTAAACATGATGGATTGAACATATATGCTTATTGACGTGCCTTTCCACAACCCCACTAAGATGGGAGTAAAGAAACTGAACAGGCTGGGAGCGGTGGCTCACACCTGTAATCCCAGGACTTTGGGAGGCCGAGGCAGGCAGATCATGAGGTTAAGAGATCAAGACCAGCCTGGCCAACATGGTGAAACCCCGTCTCTACTAAAAATGCAAAAATTAGCTGGGTGTGGTGGCAGATGCCTGTAGTCCCAGCTACTTGGGAGGGTGAGGCAGGAGAATTGCTTGAACCTGGGAGCCGGAGGTTGCAGTGAGCCAAGATTGTACCACTGCACTCCTGCCTGGGTGGCTGAGCTAGACTCTGTCTCAAAAAAAAAAAAAAAAAAAGAGAAAGTGAATAGTATAATTTCACAAGAATAACACAACAAGAGAGGAGAGGCCAGGTAAATCGGTATCAGATTGGGGACGATGGAAAGCAGGTGCACGGATGGGCTCTGCAGAGGGAGATGCTGCTGAGAAGCTGACCAGCCGGGCAGAACCCCAGGAAGACTCTGGGACTGGAGGCCCTGCTGTCAGGCGAGTGGGGCAGACATGAGGGATGGTGAAAGGTCTGTATAAAGGGCACTGGGCCCACCACCCACGTGGCAATGAGATATCAAGAAATCATTTCCTTGGAGAAACTGAACCAGAGACCCCCAGACTCAGACCAATCCTCAGGCACCAATCCTAAAGGGCAGAAGTGATTCCTTGAAAACAGAGAGTTCATGGAATATCTGCACCCTACAGAGCCCTCACTCAAGCCCAGTCCACTGCCCTGCTCATAGATCCACCATCCAGCCACACAGAATCCATTTCTGGGGAGATGGAGCCACACTCCCCAAAAGACCTAAAGGGCCTGACCTGTGCGGATTCCCAAGCATAAAAGCCAGCTCGCCACGTTTGCCCTACAGGTAAGCCCAGAATTCCCACACACACACAGAAGACTTCCAACAGCTTTTCCTGACTCGCTGAAACATAAATGTGCATCCAGGGAAAGTCTCTGACACAAAGAAAGCTGCAAGCTAAATGGACGGAAAAGGAGCTTGTAACAAAATGACACAGCAAAGACCACTGCCTGGGCATCGGAGGCAGAGCCACACCTGGGCGACCCAAGCCGGCGGCCAGACATGTGAACTCAGAGGCCTCTCTCCCGTCCAGCAGGTGGAACCCCTGCTTTTCCCACCACTTGCTCTGAAAGGACCATACAGGTATCTGCCTGCAAATACAAGGGACCCACACTCCACTTCCTCTTATAATCATGCTAGCTGTCCCCACTCTGCCTGATTTTTTTTTTTTAAGACGGAGTCTCGCTCTGTTGCCAGGCTGGAGTGCAGTAGCGCAATCTCAGCTCACTGCAACCTCTGCCTCCTGGGTTCAAGTGATTCTCCTGCCTCACCCTCCTGAGCAGCTTGGACTACAGGTGCCTGCCACCACGCCCAGCTAATTTTTGTATTTTTAGTGGAGACCGGGTTTCACCATGTTGGCCAGGCTGATCTTGAACTCCTGACCTCAGGTGATTCACCTGCCTTGGCCTCCCACAGTGTTGGGATTTCAGGCATGAGCCACCACGCCCGGCCCTCTCCCTGACTCTTCATTCCTGCCTCATGCGACCCGGAGATGGAGGATGGCCCCCGCGACTCACAGCATCCTCTCTGCCAGGATCTGTAGCAAAAATCTTCGAACTTGTTTCCTATTGCAGTGGTGGATTAAATCTGTGCCTTAAATCTGAAGAACCAGGGGCTACCCCAGGCCAGGTTTTCCCCAGGAGTCCGGGAGGAACACAAGGTTGGAGTCCCTGTGCCAGAGTGATGGCCAGGCAGGCAGAGCCTGTACATGGAGCAGACACAAACCACCGGGCATCTGCCAGTATGAACAAGTGTCGTGTGTGAGGGGCCCCGGCCATGGGTCGGGTAACTAGCGTTCAAGCCGTCCACCAGGTGAAAGAAGGATTCCATGAAAGGCACCAGGTCTAGCCCCATTCATTTCCCATTAGGGCAAGACTGCCAGCTCTCACACACTGGAACCCCAGTTTATCTGGGGGCTCCCAAAACAGAGCTCAGAGACAACACAGAGAACAGAGGAAAACTTGTAAAGAGAACGAACATTTAGAAAACAGAAAAGAGCTCTTGGAAATTAAAAATATAAATGCAGAAATTAAAAATTCAGTTGAAGTGTTAGAAGATAAAAATAAGGGGTCAGGCGTGGTGGCTCACGCCTGTAATCCCAGCACTTTGGGAGGCTGAGGCGGGTGGATCATCTGAGGTCAGGAGTTCAAGACTAGCCTGGCCAACATGGTGAAACCCCGTCTCTACTAAAAATACAAAAATTAGCCAGTCATGGTGGCAGGTGCCTGTAATCCCAGCTACTCGAGAGGCCGAGGCAGGAGAATTGCTTGAACCCAGGAGGTGGAGCTTTCAGTGAGCCGAGATTGTGCCACCGCACTCCAGCCTGGGTGACAGAGCAAGACTCCGTCTCAAAAAAAAAAAAAAAAAAAAGAACTACAGAACAAAGAAAAGACTTTATAAGAAGTGTAATCGCAGTGCACTGCAGGGCTCAGCGCTAAGCAGTATTTACATACAGCCACGGAGGGGCATGGGGGCAGGTTTGTAAGCACCGAATGCTCTGGAGCCCTTACAGGAGGTTAACACGTGGCATCTGAGATGACCCCGTGTGGCACTTACTCAGAAACATAAGACACACACCTCTGAGTGGGGCAGCTTAAGAAGTCCGTTATTGTAAGTTCCACAGTATCTTGTTCAGTCTCAGCTGCAATTGTAACAGGTTTCACAGGTCATAAATCTCAGCGGCACTTGGAGAAGCACCGTGAGAGGCTGTTGATACAGTGTTTGCCACTGCAAACCTGGCTTCTGCCCAGGCTCTTGTTACAACGGGTGGGGAAGTTGCAGACATTTACACACCACTTCCAACTCTGTAACTTGGACTTAGGTCTCTACTGATTCCATATCTCATCATCAAAAAGTTGACTTTCTGTCTAAATGTCTGCAAAATAAACAAAAACTTCCCTGAACTATCCACCCATTCAAAGATCTTTTGTTGTCTGTCCTTGAGAATATAAACGCCTGTTAAGGGAAATTATATTTGTTACAATGTTTATGTTGAGCTATTTAAGTTATATTCACCTTGGAGGCTGGTTTTTCTCACCAGCCTGAGACCTCAGCTCACTGACTGCACTCACTAGTCCTAATAAATCAACAGCACTAGCAACTTTGCAGTGTCTCTTAAATTTACAAGTGGATCTGAAGGCATTCTCCGTGAAATTTTTTTTTTTTTTTTTTTTTTTGAGACAGAGTCTCACTCTGTCACCCAGGCTGGAGTGCAGTGGTGCAGTCTCGGCTCACTGCAACTTCCGCCTCCCGGGTTCAAGCAATTCTCCTGCCTCAGTCTCCAGAGTAGCTGGGATTACAGGCGCCCACCACCACACCCGGCTAACTTTTGTGTTTTTAGTAGAGAACAGGGTTTCACCATGTTGGCCAGGCTGGTCTTGAACTCCTGACCTCGTGATCCACCTGCCTCAGCCTCCCAAAGTGCTGGGATTACAGGCATAAGCCACTGCGCCCGGCCAAAAATATTCATAAATGAAGTGATGAATGATTTCAAAACAATGCAGTATCTCAATTTTCCCAGTGATTTTCTCATATCACTTCTTTATACTTATTATTTGAATTCTCTTCCTAGCCTGGGAAACATGGTGGGACCCTGTCTTAAAAAAAAAAAAATTAGCCAAGTGTGGTGGTACACACCTATAGTCCCAGTTATTCAGGAGGCTAAGGTAGAAGGCTCACTTGAGCCCGGGATGTTGAGGCTGCAGTGAGCTGTGATCGCTCCACTGCACTCCAGCCTGGGCGACAGAGCGAGACCCTGTCTCAAAAATTACAAAGACCAAAAGATGGGAGAGGAGTCGGAAGAGTATAAAGTGTGCAGAAGTCCTGGAAGTGTGTTGGCAAGGACTGGAAATACACTGCATCATTTTCAACTCTGGCAAGTAGAGCTTACATCATGTTTTCAAAGAGCACGCACATTCCAAAGCACTGCAGAGGTTTTAAAGAGAAAATGTGGTCCCTACATTAAGTTAAAATAAATGAAACAGCAAGAAAGCGTTTAAAAAGGCAACAACAAAGATGACAGAGGTTAGATCACATATGTTGGTCAAAACAGTGCACATTAAACAGATGCATTAAGGCTCCAATTAGATAAAAAATGAAATCCAACTACATGTATTTCTGAATGGCAACCCACATAAAGTGACAGAAACGTTAAGCAAGGCTCAGCAGGGGCACACTGGGTGAATGTAAAAAAAAAAAAAAAAAAAAATTCAGGCCGGGCGCAGTGGCTCACGCCTGTAATCCCAGCACTTTGGGAGGCCGGGGCAGGTGGATTGCCTGGGTTCAGGAGTTCGAGACCAGCCTGGGCAACACAGTGAAACCCCGTCTCTACTAAAAAAAAAAAAAAAAATTAGCCAGGCGTGGTGGCAGGCACCTGTAATCCCAGCTACTCAGGAGGCTGAGGCAGGAGAATCGCTTGAACCCAGGAGGCGGAGGTTATATGAGCTGAGATTGCGCCACTGCACTCCAGCCTGGGCAATAGAGCGAGACTCTGTCTCAAAAAGAAAAAAAAAATCAGTCCAAGGAGACTCCTAGGCAAAAATTAAAACAAGACCCAGCATAATCAGGATAATTTAATATTAATTAAGAGAAAAATTTTAAGTAAGGATGGAGCATCAGGAATCCCTACCCACTGATGACTGCAGTGACCGCCCCCTTCCCTCACGCCCCCTTGGCCATGAGGATTTCCTCCTCCAGGCCCTGGGGCTCCCTTCCCCTCCACTTCCATCTGGAGATGCTGCTGGCCAGAGACCCTCCCCAGGTGCCCATTGGAGGGTGCATTGTTCCCACCAGCCGTGAGGGGAGGTCCTGTGGGCACGCTGGACATAGTATCTCAGAATATTTTCCCCATCCGGTGTCAAGGAATAAACCAGCATCTGAGGAGCCAAGTCTGACAGGGGACACTGGAGGCGCCACCGCCCTCGGGGGTGGCTCACTGTCCACCTGTCATCCCTGAGCGCATTGGGCAAGGTCAGAAGAATGACCACAGGTGAATCTGGTGTAAAAGAAGGTTGGCTTTTGGCTCCTGTTCTTGCATTGCAGACAAGCCCACACCCCTCCTGAGAGCTGGGTGTCCAGCCTGCTGCCCGAGAGGCCCCAGTGCAGCTGAGCACAGGTCCAAGCCAAGCCTGGTTCGCCCCAGCCCTTGGGGAGGGGAGGCACCGAGGCGCTGGAGAGGTGTTGCAGCACCGGGCCATGCCCGCCTGACCTGCTCACCTGCTGACACCCAGGGGCCCTGGGCCTGGCTGGCCGCCACCACCTTACTTTGTCAAGCTGATTGTGGACCAGCCCCAGCCCCGCCACGGGCCTCGACTGCCACCGTCTCAGAGAGGCTGACATGGTGGCCTCACAGGTCCCCGGGCCCAGCGTCTGATGCACGTCCTGCAATGCTCCCTCTGTTTTGCGCCCACGCTGAAGTGCCACAAACACCTCTTCTCTCCTCAGCAACTCTGGTGGCTTTGCAGATCTTCATTAGCTCACCTGGGATGAGACGCTGACCTGAGCTGGAGCTGGGGTCCTGCAACCATGGCCAAGGCCCCCCGTCCACACCGCCGAGGCCAGGAAAGCCGCGCCATGTGAGTGACGGGAAGAGGCCGAATGAGGGCCAAGGATTACAACTGTCCTGGAAACCGGCGGCTGCGCCATCTGCCGCCGAGCTTGGCACTGTTTGGGTCACTTATTGGCACGTCCACCTCGCCTGTCTCCACGCATCCTCTCCTGAAAGCGAGGACCAGGTGCTGTATTGAAGAGCTGGGCGCTCGGTCCGCAGGCAAGGACAGCAGTGCCCGCGGCCAAGGACGGTGCTGGACTGGATGGTGGAGCTGGAGGGTGGGGCCTCGCCTCATCCCGGGGGACCGCCTAGTGGAAGGGCTGCCAGGCACTCAGTGTCCCCCTCGTCTGATCTCCGTGTGGACCAGGAGACCCAGGTTCTCTGAAGTTTGGCAGCATCAGATTTGCGTGGACTCAATGTTCATTCTGAAGCTTTCATCAGTTCCCTGTTCTGTCTGATGTCCCAGCATTAAACGCTCTGCGCTCCCCGTGCGAGTCCAGCAGCGTCTGATGGCAGCAAAGCGGGACTGAAGTAGTCCTGTCACGCAGGAGCTATTGAAACAAATGCTCTAACCCCAACTGGAACGTCTTGCCAACCAATGAGGCAAAAACATAAATAACTTTGTCAGTTGAAGTGCATAATATCCATTTTATTCCCAAGTTGGGGCTAAAGTATTTATAATTGAGTTGCAGCTTAATCAACCAAGAGCATCCTCTCTGGAGGAAAGGACTGCCCTTCACGGTTTCGGGAGGAAAGGCAGTTTCTCTGAAGGGTCCTTCCAGCCTCCCAGAAATCTGGGATAAGAGGCATCTCTGCCGAACCCAGCAAAGTGAGTGAGTGCTTTCTCGACCACACGGCGTTTGTGAAGTCCGTTCTGAACAAATGTTGGCATTTTACTGTTAAGTGTTTGCAAACTGCCTTTCGAGCACATGCCTTGTTCCAAGGAGTAAGGCTGGGAAGGACACACTGCTGGGGGGTCATTGCCTAGCGGTTCTGCACCTAGAAACCAAGTCTCCCCAAGTTGGGTGTGAGTCAGGCACTGTGGGACGCCTGCCCAACACCCGGCCTCTGTTTGGAGTAGGACGGGCCCACCCTGGCCCCCACCTTCCTCTTCTAGCTGTGGCAAGTAAATGGAAACCCTCCATGAGAGTCTGTAAAGACCACCACTAAACAGATGAAGGGGTTGCCCCTTAGCTCCTCTCTTTTTCCTTCCCTGACTATGGATGCAATGCTGGAGCAGCAGCAGCCACTTTGAGATTGTGAGGAGCAGCTGAGCATGAAAGATCCACTGAGGACGAAGGTGGCACCTGATGGCACCAGGTCCCCAGTAGCATCGCTGAGCAGCTGGGCCACCTCCTGACACATCGTCACCCCAATTCAAGCTCCTCTTCCTCTGATTGTTACTTGCAGCCAAAAGAATCTTCCCCATGTGGAATTCAAGAGCTTCACCTCCGGATCTGCTGCTGTCCCTGCAGCTCAGCCCAGCCTGCAGCTCCACCGTCCTCCCAGGTCCAGCTCAGCCCAGCCTGCAGCTCCACCGTCCTCCCGGACCCAGCTCAGCCCAGCCTGCAGCTCCACCGTCCTCCCGGACCCAGCTCAGCCCAGCCTGCAGCTCCACCGTCCTCCCGGACCCAGCTCAGCCCAGCCTGCAGCTCCATCGTCCTCCCAGGTCCAGAGAGCCTGATCAGTGGCCCAATGGGGCAGGAACTGGCAGAATCCCCCATTGCCTCAACCACCAGGAGCCTGTGGGGTCCCTAATAAACAGAGAAGGCTGAGCTTCAAACTGGGCAAGAAGAGAGAGGCAGGAGAGCCAGAGGGACCTCTGTCTGGGACAGGGTGGACACCCAACCTTGCCCATGGTGTAAGTCTCAGGGGTGGACACTGGGAATCAGGGCAGGATTGCCCAGATCCCAGTTGCCTCCATGGCCCTGCCTGAGGTCCCAGATGGTGAGTGCTGAGCCCCACTTTGGTGCCGGGAAGGAGGAAGGAGGTGCCCCCTCCATCCCCGTGGAGGGCTGGGGGAGATGCTGGTGTTGGCTGCATTGTGGCTCAGGGCATCCCTGGCCTGGACTCCTGGCTCTGGTGGTCTCTGCTCACAGAGGGAGATTCTTTCCCAACTGCACCCCTCACCAGCCTCACGTGAACCCCCAAGGTGGACACCCCTCACCAGCCTCACGTGAACCCCCAAGGTGGACACCCCTCACCAGCCTCGCGTGAACCCCCAAGGTGGACACCGGTGGCCCCCACAAGCCCCTTGGGTTGTTCCTGCCGAGAACTCACAGCCCAGCCCCACGGGGGCGCGGAGGGGCTCTCCCACACGGTGGAACCCTGCACTTCCTGCCTGGGCCGTCCACGAGACACTTCTCGTCCACCCCGGCTTGGATGACCACAATCCTCCCCCTCACGCCAAACCCAGGACCGCACCCCTACGGTGTGTTCTCCCCAGATGTTCACCTGCTTCCCTCCCCATGTAGGACTGGACACAGAACCCAACAGCGTACCACTCTCCGGGGACAAGGACAGCTTCTCCACTGAACCCAGGCCAGGCTGTCGCCCCCCAGGTTGGGCCTGGCTGGGTGAGGGGCATTCACTGCCGGACACTGTCCATCGTGACTGAACCACCGGAGTCACTGGACCTGCCCGCTAGACCTCCCCACACGTGGCAGAGCCGAGCATGGGTGAGTCCTGCCTTGGGCTCTGTCGCTGGGGCAGTCAGAGGCTCTCCTGAGTGTCCGGCTGCCTCCCACTCTGCACCCCAGCCTCTCCGCACATGCATCCTCCAAGCCGTGTCCCACCTGAAGCCCCGGCCCGCCTGCCCCACACATTCCCGAGGACCTGAGCGTGTTTAAACAGGGCGTGTGTCACATCAAGGCGGAGGATGGGAGAGCGGGTGGCTGCTCGCTTCTGCCACATTTAGCCCCATGAGGGTCTGCAGTGACCACGGCACCCACACGTGCCACGTTCCTCCACGCTGTCCACAGAGCTCCCAGGCCGTGTTTGCAACTTTCTGGCCTGAGGAAACCAGTTTCTTTAAATTACTCCCTTGAGGACCCTGGATCCGGACCCACGTGTTGTGGGGGGAGGCCCGGCCCCAGTTCAAGGCCACTTTTGCTGCAGAGGAGCCTCCCGCTCCCCCACGAGCGATCACCCCGGCAGCCACCATGCTCCCTTCCCTTGGTGGCCCCAACAGGGGCCCCTCCTTGAGACCCAGCGTTGGGTCAGATGAGCAGGCCCTGGGCCACTCACTCCTCAGCAAGACTCACACCTGCGGCCCAGCCTGCCGCGGACAGCCCCCGAATGGTCTTGATTTAACCAGGCCTGTCCCCCTGCCCAGAGCCCTGGGCAGGTCCTCACCTCTTCCTCCTCTCTGCTGCACCCTCTGACGGGCGTGCACGTGTGCATGTGCCATGCTGCCTGCGCTCCTGGCCCTGACTCCTCTTAGCAGTTCATTTCTAATGCGTCTCTCTCCCCACTGTCTCTCCCTCTGTCTCTGTCTCTCCCTCTGTCTCTGTCTCTCCCTCTCACCACTGTCTCTCCCTCTGTTTCTGATTCTCCGTCTCTCCCCATCTCTGTCTCTCCCTCTGTCTCTGTCTCCATCTCTATCTCTCTAACTCTCTCTGTCTCTCTCTCTCCTTCTGCCTCCACCTCTCCCTCTGCCTCTCTCTGCCCTCTTCCTTTGTCTGTCTGTCTCTCTGTATCCCTCTGTCTCTCCCTCTGCTCCCATCTCTCCCTGTCTCTGTTTCTCCCTGTCTCTGTCTCCCTCTGTCTCTGTGTCTCCCTCTATCTCTGTCTCCGTCTCTCCCTCTTTCTCTCTCTCCCCTCTGCCTCTGTCTCTGACGTGCCGTCTCTGTTTTCACCTGTCTGTCCCTGTGCGTGCTGAATAACACATTCTTGTCTTTTTCTCTGTCTGTTTCTGGGCTGTCATTTTCTTTCTCCAGCTCCCCCTCCCCGACCCTGTTTCTGGGTTCGCCTTTCTTTGAACGGCTTCCTGGGTGCCTCCTGCTCCCTCTCCTGCCAGCTTCTTTGTGTCCGGGGCTTGGTCTGTTTCTCAATAGTTCTCTTGGGGTCTCTGCCAAGCTCTGTCGTGCTGTCTGGAGGTTCCCCCATTTCCCATCTCTGTCTTGCTCTGTCTCACTCACACGCATCCTGAGACAGCAACAATGAGGCTCGCCGGGTGAGGGACAGAGGCGCAGAGGCAGAAAACAAGGTCTCGACTGGAAGCCCCCCACCAGCTCCCGCCCTCAGCAGCTCTGGCTCCGAGCCTCAACGTGCTCTGCAAAGCCAATGTGGGGTGCTCTGGGAAGCACTCAGCGTGGAGCCCCCCCAGGGTCTGCTGGCTGCCCCCGCTCAGCTCCACCACGCTGAGCGACGCCTGCCCGGTTGCTGCTGCTGGAGAAACTTTGGGCTGCCATGAAACAAAAAGGGAATTCAGGCTGGTAATTACCCAGCTAATTTCAGTCATGTAGACAGCCAAATAAGATATTTCAGTTTCTTACAAGCCCACCTCAGGGCCTGAATTAGCCAACTAATTAATTATCCGTAACAGCCTGGGACTCCCTGGGTGGAACGTGCGTCCCTCCCAGCGCAGATGCAGGCTTGTCCCTGAATCACAGCCCGGTGACGCAGCCATTATAATTAGACTCAACCTGACTCTTACCCTTGACCACGAAATCTCAGGGATGTGGCCCCAGGACAGGCTCAATATCTTTTCATTTAATTTGTGTTGAGTGGAAGCACAGCCACCCTCCGGGAGACAGCCAGGCAGGCAGCTCCTGCCCTGGGGGAAGCGGCGCCTGCCCTCTGTACACCCTTGTCCCTGGCCCCTCGAACCCGGCCAGCTCCCCCACTGCAGAAATGCTCCCAGGAGGCCTGACTCACTCCAAGGTGTGAATGGCATCAGGTGAGGGTGCTCCCCCGTGGAGGCCACCCAAGCAAGACGTCTCTAGTGGTAGAATCGGGCACCGGCCACAGGTTCCCCTCACAGGAGTTCTGGGCACTGGTGCTGGGGGAACACAGGATGGACGGCTCTGGGCAAAACTGAGACTCGCCACGACAGCCCCGAGGCCTGAGTTGACCCATCAGCTCTGCCGGGACACGTCTGTACCAGCATGGCCCAGGCCCTGCCCACCTCCTGGTCTAGGAACCCAGCCACTGCTCTTGACATGGTCTCTGGCCACAATGACAGCCTTGGGTCAAGTGGGGACGAGGTTCCTTTCAAATAGCAGACAGCAGGTTGGAAGGGGGCCTGGCCCCACCCCAGTACACACAAAAAAGGCTGCACGTCCCGCCTGGGAGGCAGTCGAGACACACAAGCTGTTTCGGGCCTTTTCCTTCGCTCCCGTAACCAGCAAGCCCTGGTCCCTGAGGATGGCGCTGCCTCACCCAAGTGAAACCCACAGGGTCCTCGCCAGATGCACAGGCCAGCTCTGTCCCCACGCCTGTCCCTGAGGCTGCCACCTGCATCCTGCTCTCCCACCGCTTGGCTCTCCTCATCTGGAAGGAAGCCCCCTTGGGGGCTGCCCAGCCTGGCCAGTTAGAATTGGCCCTGTAAAGCCTACGCCAGAGTGTGCACCCTCCCCCAGGACGTGCATCAGCATGGTCCATGGGCTCTGCCCCGACCACAGCAGTGGGGCAGAGTGAGCTTACAGGGCAGCCCCTGTCCCGCCAGGAACACCAGTTCTGGCTCGGGGCCTCGAAAAGGGCCGGGCTGGGGGCGCTGCTGGGCACGGTCCTTGCTCCTCTGCCCCAGGCTCCTGTGCAGGGCTGCGTGGGTGGCCGTGTGGCTGCAGGGGCGCTGCTGCGGTGGGCCAGATGAGGAGCAGCTGCTGTGGTGGTCTCTCCATGTCCCCTCAGCCCCTCCCCACCCCACCTCCCGCTTCCTACCTCCTAGAGCCTGCTTCATCACAAACTCCATGGCGATTGCTCTGCTTCCACAGTGGCTCCTCCAGGGGTCAGAACTCACACGCAAGTATGGCCGGGAGCGAGTGTTCTTCCTGGGGGAGAGTGAAGTGGTCACAGGTCACCCTAAGCAGGCCCCTGCCTGGCCTTCCCCAGAGACCATCATTCCTTACCCGCAATACCTTGTGGGCTGGACCCTCCCCCACCTGGAGCGGCTGCCTGGGAAGTCCTTCGTGAGGGGCTTCTGTCCCCACACCCAAACCAGGACCCCAGAGGACCTGAAAATGGTCTCCCCAGCTCCTGGGGTGTCTGAAGCCTCTGCAGGGAGGGCTGCTGATGGCTTAGGGGGCATCGCTCAGAGGCGCCTGGCGCCAGGCTGCGGAAGCAGGGGCGGGGCCCAGGGGGCGTTTGAAGGTGACTGCTCCGCTCTGCAGCTCAGTGTCTGGAGCGGCGCCTCCGCGGTGGTCCCGAGCCCAGGGCCGTGGAGAAGGGTTGGGGGTGGGTCTTTGAGCGGGTACCCTTCAGGGCGGGCTCCTGTGGCTTCTGACCAGGGAGGCTTGGGTGACCCTATCCCTGACGGCACTGCAGTCAGTGTGCCCCCCACATGGCCCGCGTAGAAGAGATCGGGGTTGGGGAGAAACTTCAGGGGGCTCAGCCTTCAGGAAACACGTGGGGACGGGGACAGAGCACCCCCGCCCCGGGGGCGTGCATGGGGTGGGGTGGGGCGCTCTGGTCCCCTCTTGGGAAGCCGCTTTCTGAAATCACAGCAGCCGCAGTGAGCCCCCCGGTTTTGCGGGGTCTCTCCTATCGGGGAACCCCAGGTCCCTGGAGAGACACTGTTTGACGGTTCACCCCTCGCCCTCCGCAGAGGAAGGAGACTCGCGCGGGGACTGGGAGGGCGGCGGGCGGGGAGCGCCCCTCGGAGGCTTTGCCGCAGCGCCGATTCTCCTCCAAACTTCTCCCCTGGCTCCCGCGGCGCGGGGAAGGAGGGCACGGCCGGGCCCCGCAGACCCGCAGGGCTCCGGCCCCGCCGCACCCGCACCCCTCGGCTTTGCGGGCGGGCGAGCGGCCCTCAGGCGGGAGCGCGCCAGGAGAGGAAAGAAAGAGGGCGAGGGAGGAGAGGGGGAGCCTCGAGACAGGAAGAAGCGAGGAGGAGGCCGGGCGCGGGCCGGGACCGCGGGGGCCGCTTCAGCACCGCGGCAGTGGACAGCGCCCGCCCCGGACCCCGCGCGCGCGGAGCCCGGGAGAGAAACGGGGGCTGCGGGGAGAAGCCGGGGTCGGGGGGAGAAACGGGGGCCGGAGGGAGAGGCCGGAGCCGGGGGGAGAAGCCGGAGCCGGGGAGGAGAGACCCGGGGAGCGGAGGCCGGGGGGAGGAGCTGGGCGAAGCCGGGGCCGCGGGGAGAAGGGGGGCCGGGAAGGAGAAACCGGGGCCGGCGGGAGAAGCGGGGAGAAGCGGGGGCCGGGGAGGAGACGCCGGGGCCGGGAGGGGAGACCCGGGGAGCGGAGGCCGGGCGCGCGCTGCGCTCGGGGCGCGGTTACCTTCCCGGGGCGCGGGCGGTCAGCGGCGGGGCGCGCTCGGGCCGGCTGGGTCCATGTGGCGCCCGGTGAGCTGCGGCGGCGGCTGAAGGGCACCGCGAGGAGGGCGCGTCACTCGCAGGCGCTCCCCGCCCCCCGCCCGCGTCCGAGCGTGACGAGCACGGGGAGGGGAGCGCCGAGGGGCGGGGCCGCGGGCGCCGGGCGGGGGCGGGGGTGGACCCGGGGGCGGGGGCGGAGGCGGACCCGGGGGCGGGGGGCGGGGGGTGGACCCGGGGCGGGGGCGGGGGGTGGACCCGGGGGCGGGGGCGGGGGGCGGGGGCGGGGGGCGGACCCGGGGCGGGGGCGGGGGGTGGACCCGGGGCGGGGGCGGGGGTGGACCCGGGGGCGGGGGCGGGGGGCGGGGGCGGGGGCGGGGGGTGGACCCGGGGCGGGGGCGGGGGTGGACCCGGGGGCGGGGGCGGGGGTGGACCCGAGTGACGCGCCCCCGCCTCCCTCCAACCCGGCCCGGGCTCGACCTTCCCCCGGCGGGCGCCTGCGACCCCCGCCCGCCCCTGATCTGGGCGCCCCCGGCTCTGCCCCCCCGCCCCCAGCCCGACGGTGCGGGCCTGCTCCCTACAGGGTCCGCGCGGGGCCGGTGGGTGCAAAACCCTCGGGCGGAGAAGTCGCTGCCTCCCGAGCGGAGGGGCCAGGGGTTGGGAGTCGCTGCCGCCCCCATTCTCCGGTGACCGTGTCCCTGAGCGCCGCCCGCCGCCCCGACCCCTCTGCCCCGACCTCCCCGTATCGCAGGGCGGGAGAAGGGGGCCCCCAGACCCCTGAAAACCCACGCAAGCCCCTCGCAGCCAGAGACCCGCAGGCCGGCCCGGGCTCACTTTCGGTGTAACGGAGTCGCTGTTTCCTTTACCGGGACGAAGGCCAGAGACCCCACCGCTCCCTCCCCTGGCCCCCGGGATTTCCTCTGCAGCGGACGCGGCACTGCGGGAGAGCGGGGTCGCCGCAAGGTCGGCCCTGCGGTTCGCGCTGTGCAGTGTCGGGAGCCAGGCGGCGGGAGGGATGGGGCGCACCGCGACCCTAGAGCTGCCCTGTGCTCCTGGCGGGGTGGGGGTGGGGAGGGGGGAGGGGGGCCGCTGCCGGTGGCCGCCGCACTAACTTGTCACTGTCCCCTCCCTGCTGAGTCCTGGGGACTCCCCTGGCGCAGGGAAGATGCGGCCCCTCCCCCGCCCTCAGCCCCATCCCCTCCGGTGCCCCGTGTTTAGCCTGAGCTCAGGAGGACTCAGAGGCCTGGACTCCCAGCCTTGGCCCCAGCGCCTCTGCCCCCGTCCCCACTCTTCTGCTGACTTGGCAGGGGACCCTTCGCAGAGGAAGGGAGCGCTGGGGGAGAGGGAAGGGTGAAGGCACCAGGGCCAAGCCCATGGGGGCTCCCTGAGACAGCCATGAGGGTCCCGTGGGCCTGGGGGTTCACAGGCAACCTCCCAGAGGGGGACCCATGCCCTAGGATTGGGGTCTCTTCAGCCTCCCTGGCTGGAAGCCATGGGCACCCCCAGCACCGTCCCTTCCTCTCTCCCGGGATCTGAGCCAAGTGGGCTCAGAACGTTGGGCCCAGGGACAGGAGGCAGGACACATGCCTGGGGGCCCGGCCTGAGCCCCAGCCTGCTCTGCTCCATCTGCTCCTCTAGTCTCCTCAGGACCTGGGAGGGGACAGCAAGGGTGAGATGTTCGGGTCCAAGAAAGAGGTCACTTCTCGGCCCTGGTGCTTTCTCTCTCCATCCCTAACTGGGTGGATAACCCAACAGCTAACCCGGACAGTAACCCCAGAGAGGACCCCAGGGGTGACCCCCTGAGCCCAGAGCCAGGCTCATGACTGACCCTGCCACCTCCACAAGCTGCATGCAAGGGATATGCTGGTGCCTTTGGGACAGTCTGCACAGGAGTGCAGGGAGGTGCCCGTTCTTCCGAGCAGAAGCACTGGACTCCTAGGCTGACCCCTCCCCGTTCTACAACCCAGGCCAGCCTGAGCTCCAAGCACACCTGGAGCTGGGGCCTGGGGCACAGAGGACAGAGACCCTCTGCCAGCCCTCACGTTCTGCCCTGTCTTCCTCTGCCTCTCTCTCTGTCTCTTTCTCCGTCGCTGTATCTCTCTGTCACTGTGTCTTTCTGCCCGTCTCTCTGTCTCTATCTTTCTGTCTCTGTCTTTCTCTGTCACTGTATCTGTCTCTGTGTCTTTTTGTCTCTCTGTCTCTTTCTATCTCTGTCTCTGTCTTTCTGTCTTTTCTTTCTCTGTCGCTGTATCTCTCTGTCTCTGTGTCTGTCTCTGTCTCTCTGTGTCCGTCTCTCTCTGTCTCTGCCTGTCCCTGTTGTTACTTGTTACATCCAGCCACACATGCAGTGACTGCTTCTCAGCTCTCACACTTGTCTAGGCCCTAACCTGGGGGTGGGGGGGCCCAGCCACAACTTGGGGGAAATAGACAAGGTTGGTGACAGCCCCAGGTCAGAGTGACAAGTGGCCTAGGGAAGGGAAAGTGGGCATCTGCTGGAGGAGTTGAGGGTGGTGCCCACTCAGGGTGTGTGAGCTGGGCCAGGGGAAGGGAAAGTGGGCATCTGCTGGAGGGCTTCAGGGTGGTGCCCACTCAGGGTGTGTGAGCCAGGCCAGGGCTGCCCAGCTGGGATGGGAGTCACAGGCTGCTGGCCAGGAGCCACCCAGGCTCCGTTCCAGTGGCAGAAGGTGGTGACGCGGCAAAAGGCCTCTGCCAACCCCCACGGGCCACTTGGCCACACCAGGGCAGGTGCGGTTGGCCCTTCGAGTGCCCAGAGGAGGCCCTGAGCCCTGGAGAAGAAGCCCCGCAGACCTCCAGCCGGCTGGAAAGGGGCAGGAGCTGAGTGAGAAAGGGGCCAGCAGGTTGAAGGCCAGGTTGAAGATCCAGGCAGGGAAAACATTTTGCAGGCCGGGGAAGAGTTGGAGGCCACCCCGTCCAGGCGGATGTTGGGAGAAGGAGGAGGTGGGGTGTGGAGCAAGTCCGGGAGGAGCAGGATGGAGCTCCAACGAGGGCTCCCCCAGAGGTCAGCTTGGAGAAGTGTGAGTGCTTGGCTGGGCCGAGCCCTGGCTGTGGGGCCTGTGCCAGCCGGTTGGACATGGATGGTACCCCCGGCCCAGCCAGCCCTCTGCTCCTCAGATGCTCCATCCCCAGCCCCAGTGAGGCCAGGGACCCCAGGAGCACAAAGCAGGACTGTGTGAGGACCATGTGGCACTGGGTTTGAGACCCTGCGGGGTCACTCCAGACAGCAGGGAAAGGAGGCAGCTGCCCTGCTGCAACCTCCAGCTCTAGCCTCTCTGGAAGCCCCTGCCAAGGCCTCCACTGCCACCCTGCTCCCATCTTCTGGGTCCCATCTGCCCATAGCCCTCCTGGGTGCCAGGCATCCTCCTTGCCTTGGGCCAGGAAAGGGTCTGGGAAGCACTGTCAGGGTTTCCTGGGGTTGGCCTTCAGTCCTGGCGTGGGGTGTGGCCAGGGGGCCATGTCCCCCATGGGCCCAGCAGGAGGGCAGCGCTCTGCCACACCGCATGTGTGGATCCGGCCCACAGCACCCACCCAGAACCTTCAAACACAAACTTAATAGTTACATGTGCTGAGTGATTCAGTCTGAGTGCCGACACCATCCACGCTGTCATTTTCCTGCTGGATTTTGATATTCCAAAAGTAACAACACGTGAAAAGCGTGAGCAAAGCAAGATGTAGACCCTTGCCGTTTGCCAGAGCTGGGGCAGGACCTGGGCTGAGTGGAGGGTGTCCTCGCCTGGGAAGCGCCCTGAACCCGTTCCCCTCCTCCACTGGGTGAGAGAGGTCCAGCATCTAGCCGGGGGAAGCCAGCGCCTGGGAGGTCAGCCTAGTGGGCCCCTGGGAGCAGAGCAGAGGTACTGCCGCAGCTGAGCGAATGCTTGTGCCCCAGGCCCTGCCCTGGGGTCCTGGGATCCACGGCTGCCCGGTCACACGGTGCCCAGATCTCATGGTGCCCCAGGGCACACATGGGGCCCGCTCTGAGCTGATCTCTTGCGGCCCAGCATGGTCCCAACCATGCAGTCAGCAGCACCAGGTAGCCGGGTCAGCGGCACTCACCCCTGGCTGGAGGGAGCCTCTGAGCTGGGCAAGGCCAGGTCCCGGGCAGCCCACCCGCCAGGCCAGGGCCCTCCAGCTTCAGGGGGAGCCACCGGCTCCAGCCCTGCGCTGAGTGTGGGGTGTGGATCTGGCCTCCTTCAGCCGGGGACCCTGATCCACCAGGGACCCAGGGCAACAAAAGAGCCGCCCGTGGGGAGTGGGCTTGGGGTGGACAAACCCAGAGGCTGTGGAGGAAAGGGGCCTTGCTGTGGGCTGCAGCTGCTCGAGGGACTCCGCCCTCCCAGCCTCAACACCTCAGGGCAGGAAGGAGGGGCTTCAGGGGCCTTCCCGGAGGACAGGGTGAGAGACAGCTCGTCTGGGAGAGGCAGGGCTGGCCCAGGGGTGTGGCTGGCTGGGTGGTGAGCACAGTGGGTGGTGCTGGAATTTGGAGATGGGCAAGAGATCCTGGGAGCTGCCAGTCGTGGGGAGGAGAAGTTTCCCGGGAGGATCCTGGGCCAAACACCTGCACTCCTGGGACCCAGAGCCTCAGATGCTCCTTAGGGTCTTGAGTGCCGTGTGATGGAGCCGGAAGGGGTAGGCGGGGGGCAGAGGGCAGGGAGAGCTGGGTTGAAGCCAGGCTCAGAACGCCGAATGCCCCTTCCCTCCCTCCCTCTCCTCCAGTGACACCTGGAGTGAGGCCACATCACATGCATGTGGGTATTTTTGGGAGCATTTCATGCCCAGGAAGTGGGAGGAGGAGCTATTTTGGCTCCCCAGGAGCACGGGACCCCTCCGGCAGCCCTGGTGCTCACTTAGGGAAAGGGCGTGCACGGCTCAGCCGGGCTGTGGCCTTCTCTGTGTCCCCTAGGGCTTGACCTCCTGACTGTCGGACTTTGTGTCCATGGGTGTGGTGGGGGCACAGTGGCGGAAGTGAGTCCCTGGGGCTGTCCCTGGAGGGCAGAGCAGGGGCATCTTAGGGTGGGGTGGGCCTGGGAAGGTGCGGGAGGGCAGCACCGTCTCACAGGGCAGTGGGCGCCAAGGCAGTGCTGCAGGACAGGGCAGTCACCCCAGCAGTGTAGACAGCATAGCGGCGCCCAGCAGAGGGAGGGTGTCCAGTTCCAGGGAAGGTGCCTGGGCAGCTGGAGGCCAGCAGACAGGGGTGTTCACAGCACAGAAGTTGTGCGTTGCAAACCAAGGCTTCCTGGGTCTCAGCTCCCCCTGCTCAGGGGCTCCTGCTGGGCCAGGGACACACGTGTGGAGTGGGCAGCCTGGCCCTGTGTGGCCTCTCTCTGAGCTGCCTCCAGGAAGCTTCAGGAAGCTTCAGAGGCTCCCACGAGGTGATACGGGAGAAGCTGCTGCCTAGGGTATGTGTATCCCACAGCCCCTGGCCCCGTCCACCCACCCTGCTCCTTTGCTTAGGCACTGGCTCAGCCCTCAGTAGCTCAGCCACCCACTAGCACACAAGTGTTTCCAGACACTGCTGGGAGCTGGGCACTTGTCCTGAGGAGGGCAGGTGGGGCTGTGTCCTCACAGGGTCGTGTGCTGGGAGGAGACAGTGGACAGGAGCTCAGGAGATGGCAACAAGAACCCTGCAGGAGCCTGAGACAGAGTAGGGAGAACACGGCCATTGGGGGGTCAAGCCAGCCCTGAATAACTTGATGTCACCCAGGCCCATCACAGGTGAGGGGATCACGGCCGGTGGGGGGTCAAGCCAGCCCTGAATGACCGGATGTCACCCAGGCCCATCACAGGTGAGGTGAGCACAACTGTTGAGGGGTCAAGCCAGCCCTGAATGACTGGATGCCACCCAGGCCCGTCACAGGTGAGGGGAGCACGGCCAGTGGGGGATCAAGCCAGCCCTGAATGACTGGATGTCACCCAGGCCCGTCACAGGTGAGGGGAGCACGGCCGGTGGGGGATCAAGCCAGCCCTGAATGACTGGATGTCACCCAGGCCCGTCACAGGTGAGGGGAGCACGGCCGGTGGGGGATCAAGCCAGCCCTGAATGACTGGATGTCACCCAGGCCCGTCACAGGTGAGGGGAGCACGGCCGGTGGGTGATCAAGCCAGCCCTAAATGATTGGAGGTCACCCAGGCCTGTCACAGGAAACCCAAGGAGTGCCCACAGTGTGGGCTGAGGCCTGGGGCGGGGACAGAAAGGAGCCCTGAGTCCAGCCTGGGGGAGGCTGCTCCAGGCTGTGCACCCCACGGTCCCAGCACACAGTGGCAAAGGGGTACCTGTGACCCCACAGGTGCTGCAGAAACATCTGGAGGGTGTGATTCCCAACCTGTGCTAATGGTGAGGCTGGTGTGGCTCAGAGAGGTGAGCCCTTAGCCCAGCGTCATACCACTGGCCCTAAACCAACAATGTTGGAGCAGAGTCAGCCCCACAAAGGAAACGGGGCATTTACTGAAAAGAGTCAACTTGCGGGCACCCTGGGGCAGCCCAGTCCCAGGCGGTGACTTCCCAGGTGGGGCCAGGAAGGGCACTGGGGCAGAACACACGGGGACCCGGGGGGTGTGGAGAGGGCTTGGGGGCCACCCAGCCAGGACCCCATGGAGGAGGCATTGAGGGAGTTGCCTCAATCTGGGCCACCCGAGCCCCTTGCCAGGCATGGCGAGCCTGGGGACTCAAGTCAGCTGCCCTGGCTGGGCTGAGCCTTTTGGGCCACATCCCTGCCCCCAGAGCTCCAGGCCTCACTCAGGGCTCCTTTCCGTGCCGGCTCCTCAGAAGATGGGAGGGTTGAAGGGCTCCCCTCACCCACAGGTGCCCAGCAAGGACCCCTGGGGGCCGAAGGCTCCAGCCCTCGGGCCCTCTGGGCTGCTTGGGAATTGCAGTTTGGTGCTGACTGTGGACGTGGCTGCGCCCTCTGCCCTGAGCCCGCTTCTCTCTGAGCTGAGTTCTGGAGCCTCTTCCTTCTCAGGATCTTGACACTCAATGCTGGTCCCCGATCCCTGCGGATCTCAGGGTCTCTCTGGGGGCTAGGAAGGGACGAACTCTCCCAGATAGCAAGGTTACAGGTTAAAGTGGGGCCTTTTTCCCAAATTGGCCTATGGGGTGTGACAGAGGCTCTCTGGGCCTGAAGTGTCACTCCCAAGGGAAGGGGTCACGTCCTGGGGCCGGGAGCAAGTGTGAGCCATGAGAGGTGGCGGCAGAGCTAGTTCCACGGGTTCTGCTGTGATGGCAGCTCAGGCTGGGAGACTTATAAGGACCGAGACTGAGGCCCACAGCTCCACAGGCCTGGCAGGATGCGGTCAACGTGTGGGCACGGAGGGAGGCCCCCTTGCTGCGGCCTCATGTGGTGGAAGACAGAGGAAGGAGGAAGGTGGAAGGAGGAAGGGGGAAGAAGGAAGGAGGGAGGGGGAAAGGAGGAAGGAGGGAGGGGGAAAGAGGAAGGGGGAAGAGGGAAGGGAGAATGGGGAAGCGGGGTGGAAGGAGGAAGGAAGAGGGGGAAGGTGGAAGGCAGAAGAGGGATGAGGCTTCAGGTCGGAGCAGAGACCACCCTGGCGGAGGAACCAAGCCTGCCCTCAGCCCCACTGTCTGCCAGCCAGGTATTTTGGGCCAGGAGGGAAGGCTCGGTCACCCCTGGCCGGGTGGCTAATGCTGTCCCCCTGTGCAGCTGGCCACTGTGTTCCAGCCAGGCAGGCTCTGTACACAGAGCCCTGAGATTGGTGTCCCCAAGGTGAGGGAGTCAAACCCATGTGCCTGGACCAGCTGATGTCAGGACAGAGCCCTGCCCAGGAGCTGGATGGGGCCCCCGAGCCGGCCCAGCCAGGCGCTCTGTACCCAGGGCTCCCAAATCCTGCCCAGCATCCTCTCCACTTCCTCCTCTGACATGCTGGGTGACAAGTGGAGTTGTGGGTGCTAAACCAGTGATGTCCTCCGGCTCTCAGCTGGCTGTGTGGCTGGGCCTCTCCCTGTGAGCCGGGTCGGCCCTTCCGCCAGCCCGGGCAGAACGTGGTTTTGAATCTGAGATTGCTGCTTGTTAGAAAAGTCAGGCAAGGGAGGGGACAGGCTGAAAACCTGCTTCTGTGATGCTGTAACAGAGAAAACCACGGACTGGCTCCCTCCTGGGGCGCGGCCGGGTGGCCGTGTGCCCTGGGTGCAGCTGTCAGTTGCATTCTGCTGTGGCCGAGAGCAGATGATGAAGGCTGCAAAGCCTGACCATTCAGATTTTCTGCCGGACGCTGAGGTGGCAAAATAAACCAACACAGAGAGGTGTGGGTCAGGCCCGGGATGTCTGGTTCCCGAAAGCGTCTGCCACTGACCAGGCGGAACACACGGGGCCCCCTCTGCTTGGCCGGGGGCGGCTGCCATGCTGGTCCCGATGGTCAGCCCTGGTTGGCTGAGCCACGCACATTGGACGTGCCAGCACGAGACAGCCCGGGGCAGGAGTGGTCACAGCGTGGGACCTGCCTGGATGCGGCGTGGATGCGGCCCCCCGGGTGAGGCCTGGGTGGGACTCCCCTTGCCACCCCTCCACTCCTTCCCTAGAACAGAGGAAGGTCACGGAAGCGTCCCCTGGGCTTGTGGCTGTGGTGCTGGGATGGCTTTGGGGCTTGTGTCTGGGAGGTCAGAATACCCGGCAGGGGCCAGAGACGGCAGGGCTGAGGAACGCTGTGGGTGAGGGGACAGATGGGACACAGAGAGACCAGGGTCTTGGGTAGAAAGTGCTGGAGCCAAGGCTGAAAGTGCAAAGGGGCCCCTGGGGGCTCTGCAGAGCAAGCGAGAGGCAGGCAGAGCCAGGGGCGGGAAGTCCAGTGGTGGGGTCTGCCGTGCCCTGGACACCGCCCAGGAGAGGCCCCGGGTTGCAGACCAGAGACCCCAGAGTGGCTTCTTGTGGTTCCCTGGAGTGGGGTGGGCTGCCCTCTCCTGAGGTCCCAAGGAGGCAGGCAGGGCCCTGCCGACGCCCCAGCCCTGACCCCTGTGCAGGCCGGGCTGTGGGTCTGGACACCCCCTGGGCTCCAGCAGCCACAGCCACTGTCCAGGGCAGTCCAGCCACACCCCACCCTTCTCTCCCATCGATTCCCACCCAGGACAGCTCTGACCCCGCCCCAACCAGGCACCCACTGCAGCTCGCCTGCGGTAGGACAGTCGGGGTCTGCTGCCACCTGGGGCTTCTGGGGGGACGTGGAGTCCTCAGCCCCCGGCTCGGGTCATCCTGCTGCAGTGGCAGTCGGGCGTGGTCTGTTTCTGAGAAGATGGTGTTTGAGGCAGGAAGCCGAGGGGGACGGAGCAGAGAGGGCTGCCACAGCTGCAGAACCAGCAGATGCCTTGCAGGCACTGAGGGCAGGTGTGGCCGGCACCTAGCGGGTGCAGCTGGGTGCGGAGGGCACAAGGAGAAGGCTCGGAAGTGCCACAGCCGCCTGATTTCTGGCCGCAGTCCAACCAGGCCGGCTGATAAGAGAATTCCAAACCTGCCTGAGAGCTCGGCAGCCCTCCTGCTGTTCACAGGCCGGGTCCCAACAGCAAATGACTCCCCAGCCCCGGCTGTGCCACTGCCAGGAAGTTGCCGAGAGGCCAGAGGTAGACAAGGCAGGGCCGCAGCGTGCCCCGCGGAGCCCTTCAGGCCACGGCCGCACGCGGCATCCTTGGGCTGAGAGTCCCCAGCTCACATCACCGGGGGCCCCTCAGGACATTCAGGGGCCAAGACAGCTTTGGCAGCTCCCACTCCTCTCCCAGTGGCCTCTGGGCTCAGACACCCGGACTGCGTCCTCAGGAGTGGAGCTCCCCGAGGAAAGAGTGCCTTTGCTTCCCTTGACGTGTCCTGCACTTTGTGTCAGCCAGCGCGGCAGCAAGAACGAGCACACGGGGACAGAAGCTCATCTGAACCTGCCGGCCCGTGTCGGTGTCCAGCGCGGAGGCGCTGTGTCCGCAGGGCACCTGCATCCTCATAAGCTGGACTGACTGCCGTGGGGCCCGGTGCCCCATGTCCAGTGCATCCCAGACTAGAACAAAGACTTGCACACGGCGTCCACCACAGCACAAGCCACAGCAGCCACGGGGGAGGCAGCCACGGGGGAGGCCGCCCAGCGCCATCGGCAGAGCACAGACACGCAAACTGTGGTCCCGCCACACGTGGACCTTGATTCCGCTTCAAGAGGAATGAGGCTGTGGCACAGGCCGTGGCGTGGACAAGCCTTGAAGACGGCATGTCAGTGAGAGAAGCCGGACACAAAGGCCTCGAGGTGCACGCTTCTGTTTATAGGGAACGTCCGGACAGGCAAATCCGCAGAGACAGAAATGCGACTGCAGCTGCTGAGGCTGGGGAGCATGCGGGGGACTGGGATGGCGTCTCCTTGAGAGGTGACAGGAACGCTCTGGAGCCAGAGAGCGGCGACGGTGGCTGCATGGCAGCATGAATGCGCTTAACCGCCGCTGAATCGTACACTTCGAAACAGTCCGCTTTATGTTACGTGGATTTCATTTCAACAAACAGCAAACAACCCCTTCAGGGCTTCTACTAGGAAAATAAATTTGAATAGATTTATCAACTACGTTTTGAGCTGCCCCAATGGACATGAATAAAGCTGCATTCTTTAAGCATTAAAAGAAAAAAAAATGGGGGCAGCTCTGGTGGCAGCTGCGAGCCGTGAGGGCCCCAGGTCCCTCCCAGCACACTGCCTGGGGCAGCCCCTTCCTGCACTCAGTCCTGGCCAGGCCGGCGGGGGCTGCTCCGGCCCCTAGCACTGAGAACCACGTGTGTGTCCCAGAAGTGGTGCTGCACTCGGGAAGGACAGGCCTGGCCCCTCGCCGGCAGCGTGGCCTTGGGAGGCTGCGTCACTCTCAGGCCTTGGCTTCGTTCCCCGGCAGAGGGGCCTCCCGGGGCTGGGCCAGCTCCCGACCCGCTTGGGAGGCTGCAGTTTCCCGAGTCCTCTGCCCACACCAGTGTCTCTCGCACAGCCCATCAGCCGCCCACCGCAGCAGGTGGCTGAGCGTCCCTCTGCTCCCAGACCCCTGGCCCCAGCCATCCTCCCTTCCCTCTGCTCCTGGTGCCCACAGGCCTGGCCACCACAGAACTGTGTCTTCCCCTGGGTCCTGGCTGTCCTCGGCCTCCACCGCAGCCAAGGAGGGGACCAGGAAGGCCCAGCCACCTGAAGGGGACAGGCAGAGGGCAGAGGACAGCAATGACTGTGACCCCATGAACCCGCCAGCTCAGGGTGGCATGTGGCCCCTGCAGCCATTGTGTCATGAACAAGCTGTAGTTCAGCCACCAACTATTTTGCCCACATTCCCAGCTCAAGTTACCTACAGACTGATAAGTGCCATTGTCAGGGAGGCATTGTCTGTCCTTGTCAGGGAGGAGAGCATGGGAATAGAGCCATGTGGCCCACTACTCCTGACTCCCCCTCCTCCAGGCACCATTGCACCCTGTGGACCTGGGAATGCAGCCCCCTGCCCACACTGAACCCCAGAAAGGAGTGTCTGGGCTGGGTTCAGAAGTGACCCCCACCCTGAATCTCTCCTCTGTGCCTTTGCCCTGAGCATGCTGCTCCTTCCTTCATCCAAGCCCTTCTCATCCTCCTCCAGGAAGCCCCCCCGACCACCTCCTCCCCACCTGACCTTCTGCTACAGGGATAAGAGAAGGGTGAACCTGGAACCGAGGCAGGATGACTAGGATGGCTGGGTGGGGCCCACTCTGAGGCTGAGAGGACAGTCAGATGGGGGTGGAAACCAATGGGTGGGGACTGTATACTATGAGGTAAGGGCTTTTCCTTTCTTTCTGTGGGTGTCCAATTCCAGTACTCTTTGTTGGAAAAGCTTTTCTTTCCCCCATTGACTTCTTTGGGACTCCTGTCAAAAATCAATGGACCATGGCTATGTAGGTCTATTTCTAGACTCTGTTTTTTCCATTGATCTGTGTATTATCCTTATGCAATAGCACCACATCTTCCCTGCTGTAGCTTTACAGCGGGTCCTGGAAGCAGGTAGTTAAGTACTTCAACTTTGTCCTTTTTCAAAATGCTTTCTGCTTTTCTAGGTTTGCTGCATTTCCATATACATTTTAGAATCAGCTGGTTGGTTTCTATGGAAAGGTCTGATGGAATCTGGGATTGCATTGAATGCATAGATTGGTTTGGGGAGAATTGACTTCTTAATATGAGTCTTCTAATCCATGAACATGGTATGCCCCTTCATTTATTTAGTTCTATTTAAATTTCAACAAAACTGGCCAGGCTTTGTGGCTCAAGCCTGTAATCCCAGCACTTTGGGAGGCCGAGGAGGGGAGATCACCTAAGGCCAGGAGTTCGAGACCAGCCTGGCCAACATGATGAAATCCCGTCTCTACTAAACATACAAAAATTAGCCAGGCATGGTGGCAGGCACCTGTAATCCCAGCTACTCAGGAGGCTGAGGCAGCAGAATTGCTTGAACCTGGGAGGGGGAGGTTGCACTGAGCTGAGATCTCGCCACTGCACTCCAGCCTGGGACAGAGCAAGACTTGGTCTCAAAAAAAAAAAATTTAACAAAATTTGCAGGATTTTTATTTTTATTTTTGCAGCAATAATTTTATGAGTAAATAGGTTTTGCAGATATTCATGAAAATTATCTGAAAGTGTTTCATGGTTGTGATGTTATTGTAAGTGGTATTTTTTATTTCTATTTCCAACTTTTCACTACTATTACATAGGCACAAAAATGATTTTTTCTTTTTTCTTATTGACTTCATTTTAAGATATTTACCTTGTTTTCCACAAAATTGATTTTTGATATTGCCTTTGTATCCTGCAAGCTTGCTATGCTTGCTTAGTAGTTCTAGTTATATATTTTGTAGGTTCCTCAGGATTTTCTAAACAAGCCTAGTCATCGTGTACGTGTCTAAAAACAGTTTTCCTTTTCCTTTCCATTCTCTATGCCTTTCCCCTATTATTGGCTGGGATCAGTCCTCTGGTACAATGCTGAAGAGATGATGAGATAGATATCCTTGCCTTTTTCTCAGGGGAAGCATTCATTCTTTTGCCATTAAGTATGATGGTAGCTGCAGGCTTTTCAGAGGTGCCCTTCCTTGGGTTAAGGAAATTCCCTTCTATCCTTAGTTTGCTATGAGTTTGTTTGTTTGAGATGGAATTTCACTCTTCTTGCCCAGGCTGGAGAGCAATGTTGTGATCTCGGCTCACTGCAACCTCCACCTCCCAGGTTCAAGTGATTCTCCTGCCTCAGCCTCTGGAGTAGCTGGAATTACAGGCGCTCACCATCACACCCGGCTAATTTTTTGTATTTTTAGTAGAGACAGGGTTTCACCATGTTGGCCAGGATGGTCTCGAACTCCTGACCTCGGGTGACCACCCACCTCAGCCTCTCCAAGTGCTGGGATTACAGGCATGAGCCATTGTGCCTGGCCTGCTATGAGTTTTGGTCTTTGTTTTCTGTTGTTATAACAGAAGACTAGAGGCTGGGTAATTTGTAAAGAAAAGAGGTTAATTTGGCTCACAATTTTGGCAGCTGAGAAATTCACGATTGGGCAGCTTCATCTAGTGAAGGCCTCAGGCTGCTTCCACTCATGGCCAAAAGCAGAAGGGCAGCCAGCATGTGCAGAGATCACATGGCAAGAGTGGAGAGAGAAACAGATGGATGGGGTGGGGAAGACTCTTGCAGTAGACTCTTTTTAACAACCCTTTAGGAAGGCATTAATATATTTATAAGGGATCTGCCCCGATGACCCAAACACCTCCCACTAGGCCCCACCTCCTGACACTACCACACTGGGAACCAAATTTCAACATGAGTTTTGGTGAGCACAAACCACATCCAAACTATAGCGGTTTTTACCACAAATAGTTCAGTTTTGTAAAATGCTTTATCTGTATCTATTGGGATGACCTCATGAGTTTTCTCCTTTATTCGGTTAATGTGGTGAATTACATTGACTCATTTTATTCAGTGTTTATGTATTTTATTTTGTTATGAATTTTGCAGTTCCCAGATAAAACACTATTTTCCACTGACTCATTTTTGAACGTTAAGTGAATGTTACATTCCTGGATACAATCCCCCCCCCACCTTCTATATATTGTTGAATCCAATTTGATTGCATTTTGTTAAACATTTTTGCATCTGTGTTCATTCCTGAGAGACACTGGACTGGCCTGTAGGTTTCTTTCTTTGTAATGTCTTTGTCTGGTTTTGGTATCAGTAGAATGCTGACTTCATAGACTAAGTTGGGAAGTATGTCTTCCTCCTCTGTTCTCTGAATGAGTTTGTATAGATTTGGTATTACTATTTCCTTGAAAGTTTGATAGATTTCAAAGTAAACCTGTCTGGAGTTTTTTAATCTTTGTTGTTGTTGTTTTGAGAAGGTTTTTAATTATAAGTTCCATTTATTTGATATAGTCCTATTCTGATATTTCAAAATTTCTTTATAAGTCAGTTTTGGTAATTTATGCCTTTCAAAGAATTTGTCTATTTTATGTAAATTATTAAAATTTTTGGCATAAAATTGTTCATAATATTCCTTATTATCCTTTTAATGCCTGTAAGTGCTGTTGTAACAGCTCCCCTTTTATTCTTGATATTGGTAATTTTTTCTTGAGTAGTCTACTTAGAAATCTATCAATTTTATTTATCTTTTCAAAAAACAAACTTTTGAGTCCATTGATTTTTCTCTATTTTTTATTCTATTGATTTAGGCTCTCCTCTGTATTTTCTTTCTTCAACTTACTTTGGGTTTAATTTACTCTTACTTTTTGGTCTTTTTTCTCTTCTAATGTAAGAAATTAAACCTATAATTTCTCCCTCTAAGCATCGTTCTGTCTCTCGCAAATTTTGACACATTGATGTTCATTTTAATCAAGTATTTCTAATTTACTTTGTGATTTTTTCTTTGACTCATGAGTTATTTTAGAAAAAAGTGTGTTATTTAATTTTCAAATAGCTGGGGGTGGGGGTAGTTGAGATTTTTTTTTCTGCAATTGAATTCTAATTTAATTCTATTCTGGTCAGAGAACATTGTATTATTTCAGTCTTTTTAAAATTTTTTTTTTATGATTCATAATATGGTCTATCTTTATGAATGTTTCATATGTACTTAATGATTTCTTCAGTATTTTCATGGAATATGCTATAAATATACATTAGATGAAGTTTGTTTTTTCAATCTTTTATATCTTTACTGATTTTATGTCTACTTGTTCTATCAATTACTGAAAGAGGAGTGTTGAGGTAGCCAATTATAATTGTGAATTTACCTATTTCTCCTTTTGTCAGTTTTTGTTTTATATATTTCCAAGTTCTGTTATTGTGTGCGTACATATTTGGGAACATTATATTTTCTTTTCTCTTTTTTATTTATTTATTTATTTTTTTTGAGATGGAGTCTCTCTCTGTCACCCAGGCTGGAGTGCAGTGGCGTGATCTCGGCTCACTGCCAGCTCTGCCTCCTGGGTTCACGCCATTCTCCTGCCTCAGCCTCCCAAGTAGCTGGGACTACAGGTGCCCACCACCACACCCAGATAATTTTTTGTATTTTTAGTAGAGATGGGGTTTCACCATGTTAGCCAGGATGGTCTCGATCTCCTGACCTCGTGATCCGCCCACCTCGGCCTCCCAAAGTGCTGGGATTACAGGCGTGAGCCACCGCACCCGGCCTATATTTTCTTAATACATAGAACCCTGTATCCATTATGGGCTGCTTTTCTTTTTCTCTGTTAATATTCCTTGTTCTGAAGTCTGCTTTGTCTAATGTTAGTATGGCCACATCAGCTTAATTATAATCAATGTTTGTATGTTGTATTATTTCCATCTTGTCACATTTAATCTATACGTGTCTTTATATGTAAAGTGGATTTATATACACAGTATATAGCTGAATATTGCCCTTTATTCAGTCTGAAAATATCTGCCTTTAATTTGGAATTTTTACATTTTAATTTATGTATACTACCTTGCTATTTGTTTTGTATTTTTTTCATTTATTCTTTGTTCCTTGTTTTTTTCTTTTCCTGATTTCTTTTGGATTGGTTGACTATCTTTAAGGAGTCCATGTTTTTGTCCTCTGTTGTGTTACCAGCAACATCTGTTTCAGTTTCACAGGTCCCTCCAGGGTTTGTGACGTGCAGTGTATCTCATCTCCACCAGCCTCTGAGTAACACACACCTCTGTAAATTAAGAAGCTCATGATAATTTACTTCTAGGTATGCCATAAGCCCCACCATGCATTGTTATTGTTTTAGCCTTAACAATTATTTTTATTATTTTTAAAATTACTATTGTTTTTTCTGAGATGGAGTCTTGCTCTGTTACCCAAGCTGGACTGCAGTGGTGCGGTCATGACCCACTGCAGCTTCAACCTCCCAAGCTCAAGCGATTCTCCTGCCTCAGCCTCCCCAGTAGCTGGGACTACAGGTGCCGTCTCCATGCCCAACTAATTATTATTTTTTAGAGATGGGGTCTTGCTATGTTGCCCAGGCTGGTCTCAAACTCCTGGGCTCAAGAGATCCTCTTGCCTCAGTCTCCCAAAGTGTTGGGATTACAGTGAGGCACAATTATTATAGAAATAAATGTTAAAATGAGTAAAGGGTCTTATTTACCAACATATTCATACTTCCAGCCCTCTGGGTCCCTAATGTAGATGGTGTTCCCATCTGGTGTCATTTTCATTTCCTGTGGACTGTTCAGCTCCCAACTCCCAGTCTTCCTGCCTGACTTTGTAGGGTTTTACATCCTATATCCCAGTACTTAGCAACATAGGGGAGGCCAAGGAAGATTTTCAGGGTTCCTTCTCCCCAGAGATCACTCCTGGCTGGGCTCTGCTTCAGGACCCCTGAACTCTGACCTCCTTCTGCTCCCCTCAGGGCCACTGTCCCATGCCACAGTGGCCTCAGCAGCGAGCCAGGAATGTGTGTCTCCCTCTTCTCAGGGCCCCTGTTCTATGCTGCATGCTCCTCAAGGTCCAAAAACAATTGTTTTGGCTGGGCGCAGTGGCTCAGGCCTGTAATCCCAGCGCGCTGGGAGGCTGAGGTGGGTGGATCACTTGAGATCAGGAGCTCAAGACCAGCCTGGCCAGCATGGTGGAACCCCTGTCTCTACCAAATATACAAAAATTAGCCGGGTGTGGTGGCACATGCCTGTAATCCTAGCTACTCAGGTGGCTGAGGCAGGAGAATCACCTGAGCCCGGGAGGCAGAGGTTGCAGTCAGCTGAGATCACGTCACTGCACTCCAGCCTGGGGGACAGAGTGAGACTCCATCTCAAAAACAAAAACAAATGGTTTTGCACATTTTGTTGAGTTTTTTAGTCTGGTCCCTGTCACTCCATCAAGGCTTCCCAGCAAGCATGGACAATGTGACTTGGCTGTGATGTGAGGGCCCCATGGGGACTGCTGTTCATGCCTCATGGATGATCCTAGCGTTTCAGCACCGAGCAGAGCAGGTGGTGGTGACAGGTCCCCAGGCGCCTTCCCAGAGCAAAGCCTGAAGTGAGGCCAGTGGGACATCTGGACGGAGGTGAGGTTTCCTGGGCTGGGGGTTGGCAGAGTTGCAGCAGGAACCACAGCAACCCCTCTACTTGGCCCAGGAAAGGAGTCTGGGCGTAGCCAGGGTCTCTGGATATGCAGCTCTATCAGTCTCTTCTCACACTGCTATAAAGAAATACCCAAGGCCGGGTGCGGTGGCTCATGCCTGTAATCCTAGCACTGTGGGAGGCTGAGGCGGGCAGACCACAATCTCAGGAGTTCAAGACCAGCCTGGCCAATATGGTGAAACCCCATCTCTACTAAAAATACAAAAAAAAAAAAAAAAAAATTAGCCGGGCATGGTGGCGTGTGCCTGTAATCCCAGCTACTCAGGAGGCTGAGACAGAAGAATCACTTGAACCTGGGAGGCGGAGGTTGCAGTGAGCCGAGATTGCTCCACTGACTCCAGCCTGAGCGACAGGTCAAGATTACATCTTAAAAAATAAATAAATAAATAAATAAATAAAGGTCGGGCATGGTGGCTCACGCCTGCAATCCTGTAATCCCAGCACTTTGGGAGGCTGAGGTGGGCAGATCACGAGGTCAGGAGATCGAGACCATCCTGGCTAACATGGTGAAACCCATCTCTACTAAAAATACAAAAAATTTGGTGGGCGTGGTGGCGGGTGCCTGTAGTCCCAGCTACTCGGGAGGCTGAGGCAGGAGAATGGCATGAACCTGGGAGGCAGAGCTTGCAGTGAGCTGAGATTGCACCACTGCACTCCAGCCTGGGGGACAGAGCGAGAGTCCGTCTCAAAAAAAAAAGAAATACCCAAGACTGGGTGATTTATAAAGGAAAGAGATTTAATTGACTCACAGTTCCCCATGGCTGGGTAGGTCTCAGGAAACTTACAATCATGGTGGAAGGGGAAGCAGGCACTTCCTCACAAGGCGACAGGAGAGACTGCACAAAGAGAGAAGAGCCTCACACTTATCAAACAGCCAGATCTTGTGAGCACTCACTCACCAGGGGGAAACCACCCCCAGGATCCAATCACCTCCCTCCCTCAACATGTGGGGATTACAATTCGAGATGAGATTCGGATGGGGATACAGAGCCAACCACATCAGCAGCTGAGGGGGCTGGCAGCAGGGACTTGGAGTTTGATCTTGGGGAAGTGCCAAGGCCAGAATGTGGGGGCTGTGCCGCATGGACCTGCCTCTTCTGGGCCCTTCTCCAGTCATTAGACCAACCGGAAGCCCCCTCTATCCTAATCTGAGGCCCATGACATCTACGGGGTCTGCAGCCTCTTCCACAAAGGGGGTGCCCTAGACCTGAGACCAGCATCCTCAGCTTGCGCATGACTGCCCGGCACACCTGGGGCTGGGGGCAGGTTCCCACCCCATCTGAAGGGGCTCTGATGCTGGTATGCGCACAGGGGCCACCCCCAACTGGCAGCACAGCCTCCCCCTGCCCTTGGGTTGCTGTGCTTTTCCTCAGAGCTCCTGGAGGTAGTGAAGGTGAGAACAGCCAGCTGCTGAGGCTGCTGCTGTTTCTTACCTAAGGTGAGGCCCGGCAGGACGCTCAGCAGCTCCAGGACTCGGTGGGCAAAGCTTTGGGGCAAGCCCTTTTGGAGAAAGCAGTTTGGGGCGGCCAGACGGTGGTCTGTGGCCCTGGAATCTTTGTCCAAACTGACAGAAGGAGGAGGAAATCGGTGTCCCTGCCATGCCCCCTGTGCCCAGGGGTCGCTGCCTGGATGAGGGTCTGGCATGGGGCTTAGACCTTCAGCTCCACCCAGGCCTGTGGGTGGGGTCGGCGCGCGGCTGCCTGGAGCTATGGCCACAGTGCAGGAGCGGGGATGAGCTCCTGGAGATGAAGACATAAGCAGGACTTCAGCCTCAGCTGACCTCAGCACTCAGCTTTTCTGCTAAAAGCAGCTCAGGGACAAAATCAGCCCCTCCCCCAGATCTGAACCTCATTCCAGCCACACTGGCCTCCTGCATGACTCAGTGCCCCCCTCATCTCCTTGCAGCCAAGTCCTCCCACTTGGAGGCCCACAGAGTTGGGGGGGGCCTCCATCTTGGGGCAGATGCCCACACCTCTGGGGTTGGCCTTCCTCAGAGCCCTGGAGCTCCCTGGGGGCACAGGGAGAGGAGGCCCATGGGAGCCCAGGGAGGTGGCCTGAGGGCAGCTGGACATCTGGGGGATGGGGGGGTGTCACGGGCCACCTGGAAAGCAGCCTGCTTAACCCACTGGAGCTTACTATTGAGGGTCTGAGCCCCCGCAGGACAGAAATGCAATCTGCACACGTTTGAGGAGCACAGTTTGAGGCATTTGACGCGTGCTTGCCTGAAGCCAGCACATCCTCCTCCGCCCACACCCGCCAGCCACGGATCTGCTGCTGGCCTGTCGCGGACTTCACATTTGCTGGAATTTTACACGAATGGAGTCGTTCACTACCTCCCTCCTTTTGATCTGGCCCCATTTACTGAGCTTGCTGCTCTTCTGACAGTATGGTTTGGATCTGTGTCCCCACCCAAATCTCCTGCCAAACTGTAATCGCCACATGTCAGGGGAGGGGCCTGCTGGGGGGTGACTAGATCCTGGGGCAGACTTCCCCTTGCTATTCTCCGGATAGTGAGTTCTCACAAGATCTGCTTGTTTGGAAGCGTGCAGCACTTTCCCCTTTTACTCACTCGCTCTCCCTCCTCCCACCAGCTAAGACGTGCCTGCTTCCCCTTCGCCTTCCGCCATGATTGTAACTTTCATGAGGCCTCCCCAGCTATGTGGAACTGTGAGTCCATTAATCCTCTTTTCTTTATAAATCACCCTGTCTGAGATATGTGTTTATAGCAGTGTGAGAACAGACTAACACACCTGGGCATGCCCTGTGCTGCAGTCACACCAGCAGCTCACCCCTCTCCATGCTGAGCAGGACCCCGTGGCGCCGTCACACCAGCAGCTCACCCCTCTCCATGCTGAGCAGGACCCCGTGGCGCCGTCACACCAGCAGCTCACCCCTCTCCATGCTGAGCAGGACCCCGTGGCGCCGTCACACCAGCAGCTCACCCCTCTCCATGCTGAGCAGGACCCCGTGGCGTGGACGCACACAGCTCCTTCGTATGTCCAGCTGTGCGTGGATCATGGGTTGTTCCTGAACACGTCTGTGTGGCCTTGCTCTTTCATTTCTCTTGGGTCAACACCTAGGAGCAGATTGCTAAACTGTGTACGAAATTTCTATTTTGCTTTTTTTTTTTCTTTTTGACATGGAGTTTTGCTCTTGTTGCTCAGGCTAGAGTGCAATGGCGCGATCTCGGCTCACTGCAA
This sequence comes from Homo sapiens, assembly GCF_000001405.40. Classification (NCBI taxonomy): domain Eukaryota; kingdom Metazoa; phylum Chordata; class Mammalia; order Primates; family Hominidae; genus Homo; species Homo sapiens. The sequence continues at coordinate 846,847 of NC_000004.12, forward strand.
CCTCCGCCTCTCAAGGTTCAAGCGATTCTCCTGCCTCAGCCTCCCGAGTAGCTGGGACTACAGGTGTGTGCCACCATGCCCGGCTAATTTTGTATTTTTAGTACAGACGGGGTTTCTCCATGTTGGTCAGGCTGGTCTCCAACTCCTGACCTCAGGTGATCCGCCTGCCTCCGCCTCCGCCTCCCGAAGTGTTGGGATTACAGGTGTGAGCCACCGCACCGGCGTCTATTTTGCTTTTTAAAAGACTGCCGGCCGGGCGCGGTGGCTCACACCTGTAATCCCAGCACTTTGGGAGGCCGAGGCGGGTGGATCACGAGGTCAGGAGATCGAGACCATCCCGGCTAACACGGTGAAACCCCGTCTCTACTAAAAATACAAAAAATTAGCCGGGCGTAGTGGCGGGCGCCTGTAGTCCCAGCTACTTGGGAGGCTGAGGCAGGAGAATGGCGTGAACCCGGGAGGCGGAGCTTGCAGTGAGCCGAGATCCCGCCACTGCACTCCAGCCTGGGCGACAGAGCGAGACTCCGTCTCAAAAAAAAAAAAAAAAAAGACTGCCAAGCGGTTTTCCAAAGCAGTTGTGCCATTTTAAGCTCCCACCCAGACTGCGTGAGGGTGTGGGCTTCTCCACATGCGTGGGGACACTTGGCTTGGTGGGTCTTGACTGGGTGCCCTAGTGGGTGCGGCAGCATCTTGCTGTGGCTCCAACTTGCATTTCCTCCAGGACCAGTGATGTGAGCATCGCTGCTTGGCCGCTGCCATTTGTATCTCCGTGAAGTCACCGAGAAGATGCTGTCACACAAGGGGGTGTCACACAGGTGCAGTCTCTCTTCAAGCTTCACGTGGTCTATGCATTACAACCCGGCAAGGATGACCTTGTGTCCACGTGCAGGACGGAGCATAGTCACAGGCTCGGTGACCGCAGACCCGGCTCCCACGTGCAGAATGGAGCCTCAGTGACTGTGGGTAGCACTCAGGCCAGTGGCCGGCTGGGAAGATGGTGCATCCTGGGCCTTTCACGTGTGGGTGTCCGGGTGGCGCCGTGCGTGACCCTGTGCAGCCGTGTCTGCGTGTGCGCAGGTGTCCGGGTGGCGCCATGCGTGACCCTGTGCAGCCGTCTGCATGTGCGCAGGTGTCCGGGTAACGCCGTGCGTGACCCTGTGCAGCCATGTCTGCGTGTGCGCAGGTGTCTGGGTGGCACCGTGTGTGACCTTGTGTAGCCGTCTGCGTGTGCGCACGGCTTGTACATGCCTGTGCACCTGCGTGTCTCCATGCTGAGCTGAATGGTTGGAAGAGGAGAAATTCTGGCGGTAGCATGGCCAGGTGGGGGCCACAGACTCCCTTCTGAGCTGGGTCAGCCTGGATGGGGGTTTTCCTGTCCTGCAACCCAGACCCCACCGTCCTGGCCTCCATTCTATGCACTCCATCTCAGCCTACCCCGGACCAGTGACCTGCTGCACTCCACACCTTCCTCCATCCTCCGCAGTCTCGGCCTAGCCTGGACCGGCCACCCGCTGCTCTCCACACATAACCAGAGGCTCAGGCCCCTGACGGAGGAAGGGTGTGCAGCCAGCCAGAGGGAGGTGGACTCACTTGTCCAGGCAGGGTGGCTGGGTTTGCCACAGGCCGGGGAGAAGCGACCCAAGCTTTCAGAGTTAAGGGTCTGGGGCGGGGTCTGGGGGATTAGTTTGGAGCTTGGGTGTGACGTGGGCGGCAGCAGGAGAGGAGGGGGCCGCACAGCACAGGGCTGAGGCTGGAGAGCCTAGAGGGAGCGTGGCCCGAGCTGCCCCCAGAGCAGGAGCATCTGAGTTGGGGTGGCCAGACCCGGAGCCGGAATCCAGACGACCTTGATGTGAAAATCTCAGCACCTATTTAGCTTCTCATTATTTTTTAAAAGAGCTAAAAATAGTGGCGGGTGCATAGCAAACGTGCAGTCATTATTCTCTGAAAACAGGAAGAGCCTGGCGGTGAGTTCAGGGCTATGATTCAGGGCCTCCTCGAGTCTGCTGTGGGGTGGGGGCTCACCATGGTCACCTTCTCCTTCCAGGGGCCCCTGGTCCTCCACCAGCCCGACAGCCCGGAGGCCACCTTGGCCCTGCGGGGATGGCACAGGGGCAGTGTGGAGCCCACCCTTGCTCCTAGGTCCAGGGCCCAGGGGCAGGGGCCAAGTGGAGAGGAGAGAGGAGTCCCGGGGCCGAGGGGAGGAAGGGGGTCTGGGGACTGCAGGGGCCCCCGCCCTTGGCCTTGCCCTGGCTGGGCTCTATGGCCCCCTGAAGAGCTGCCCAGAGCCGCTGCAGCCCCGGGACCCGCTTCTCCTCTCCACTCGGCCCCTGCAACAATCCAACCACGGCAAGGTTGCTGAGGAAGCACAGCCTTGTGCCCCAGCTGGTGAACGGCACCTGGGCGAGTGGATCCACACTGGAGACACAGCAGTCATCGGAAAATAGTTTAATTCTGTACAGACAACCACGGGACTGATTACAAAGTGCGGTGCAAACACCAGGGCCCATGAGCGCCAGCAGCGTGGCCCACCACGTGCCGGGGCTCCAGAGGCCACGCCCGAAACACCAAATAAATCACAGACGTGACAATTGCGGGAGGAGCATGAATCAGCTGTTCCTTCGGGAGGAGAAAAAGGAAACAACAATCAGAGGCTTTGGAATGCTTTCTCTTCATGTGCCTGGAACGCTGGGCGGGCGGTGACCCGGGGCTCGGAGCCCCACCCTGGCCACACCTGCTGTCGCCCACGGGGTCCTCACGGTGGGGACCCAGGTCCCACGACGGCTCCCAACCTGTGGAGCTGTGTGCGCAGCCACCACCACTGCGGCCTCAGAAGAGGGGCCGGGAGCCCTGGTTCTCAAACTCCGACCAGGCGTCATTCAGCTCCATGAAGATCATCTTGGCGTGCTGCTCGTACGGCTGCCCCGCAGCCTATGGGTGACAGGCGGTGTAAGCGCCTCTTATAAGCATGCGGGGGCGGGCGGGGCAGGACCCCCCCCCCGCCCCGCCCCTGAAGGCCTCAAGCGGCCGCCTGGCAGCTCTGCTCACCTTGTCGGGGTGCACAGCCAGCACCGCGCGGCGATAGTGCTTCTTCACTTGCTCCGGAGCCACCAGGTCGGCCATGCCCACGGGCGTCCAGCGGCTCTCCCCGTCCCACAGCACTGTGTGCAGCGTGGACAGCAGGGCCCGGATGTTCCGCTCCTTGCCCTCAATCCAGTCCAGGAGCTGCGGGAGACACGGAGCTTGCCGAGCCCTGGGCACCTGCCTGCCCTCCTCCTCTGCACCGCGGAAACTGAGGCACGACGCTGAGGAAGTGCCTGGTCACGTGGGGTGGGCTCAGCCCGGCTCACAGACACTGTCCCACTGCACGCCCTGCCCTCAACTATATAGAGCCCACTCCGGACGACACAGGGCCAGGTGGTCTTCATGTTTCAGGGCCTGGGGCCAGAGGGACCCTCGTCTCAGCCAGATGTTCACCGAGGACACAAACCCTGGTTCTGGTGGTGCAACCCCTTGGCCCATCCCAGGCCCCAGACTCCGAGGGAGAAGGGGATGGTCCCTGGTGCCTGTGAAAGGACCCCAAGGTCACAGGCGCATGTGGCCTGCAGAGCTGGGCATCGGCCAAGCCACAGAGCAGGGCGTGTCTCAGGGCCGGCACAGTGACAGCCTGACCGCTGCATCCTCACCCCCCAGTGAGCGTCCTGGGTTGGGAGGCTCAGTACCCAGAGCAGCCCCCAAGAGACGCCTGCCCTCAACAGTCTCTGCAAACACCCCGGGGCACTCACTCCTGTAACGCCCGCCCACCCCACCCCCACCAGCGCTGAGCCATCTGGGCACGTGGGGAGCAGCACAGCCTGGGGCCTGACTCTGCCCTGCCCCCCTGGCCTCAGGCCACCCTGTCCTTGAGGGCTGCCAGGCCCATCGGCAGTGACAGGTCCCTGTCTGGAGACGCCGGCTCCATGTGGTACAGCAGATGCTCCAGGGGTGAAAGGTTGCTGTCTGGAGACGCCGGCTCCATAAGGCACAGCAGATGCTCCAGGGGCCATGGGTTGAGGCCTCTGGGCTCCCAGGAAGAGCTGCCCACCCACCCACCTTCAGCTTGAGTGGGTCCGTGTCTTTAGCCAGGTCCTGCTTCCTCATCTCTGCAATGGTCTTTGGCCCTTTCTTGTCAGACCTGGAGGAGAAGCCTTGATTGGACAACAGATCTTCAAAGTCGTTCTCAGAGACTTTTGGCTTTTGAGCTAGAAAAGAACAGAAACTTTTTTTTGTTTGAGACAGGGTCTCCACTCTGTCACCCAGGCCAGAGTGCAATGGCGTGATCTCAGCTCTCTGCAGCCTTTGCCTCCCGGCCTCAAGCGATCCTCTTGCCTCAGCCTCCCAAGTAGCTGGGACCACAGGCATGCGCCACCATGCCTGGCTAATTTTTACATTTTTTGTAGAGAGGAGGTATCACTGTTGCCCAAGCTGGTCTTGAACTCCTGGGCTCCAGCGATCTGTCCGCCTCAGCCTCCCAAAGTGCTGGGATTATAGGCGTGAGCCACAAAGCCCAGTTAAGAACAGAAACTTTCTGCAGAGACACACAGGCCCAATTCCACCTGCTGCCCCCGGGAACAGGGCTACCATCCTGATGCCTCCAGAGTAAAGAAGAGGGAAGACAAGACAGGGTTGCAAAGGCCATTTGTTAAAAACAGGTCAAGAAGGTGTCACTGGAACAAGAGGGACCCAGAGGCCTGACCCAGAGAGAGACCAGTGAACACACATCGGAAACCGCGTCGTTCTCTGAGTGGCTTGGCCGTGCCTGTCCCAGGACTGGGCTCTGAGATGAAGAAAACAACATAGGTTCTACCTTTAGCCAATTCAGGGAGGTCTCTGCAAACTCCACAGCAACAGAGAGTGGGGGACTCACCAAAGCTGGGTGCGCGGACCCCCCGCTCCTCCCGCGCCCCGATCACACTGAAGTTCGAGGCATAGTTAGGCCTTGGCTGTGTGCAGGCTTTGGGGGGCGGCTTGGCCTGAGGGGGCCATGAGGCGCCCTGGGCTGGCGGCCGACTTGTCTGCCAGGAGCTGCTGCCTTTGGGCGTGGTGGCCGTTTTGGGAATGAAGCCCCCAGGAGGGAATCCAGCTGGTGAGCCTGTGGAGATGGAGATCGGAAACTCGGCATCTGGTTGTCCATGAGGGGCAACTACTGTTTCTATAACGCAGAGCACCACGTATATTGGAAAACATGCGCTTGCAAAATAGAACACCGATCACTCGAGGCCGTCCAGAGGTGCCGGCTCCACCCACACGTGTGAAGGTCTCCAGGGGCTGGAGCACAGGCCAGGTGCTGGGGCGACGGGAACACTCTGGATGGAGGGCAGACACCAGGACAGGGCAGCTGTGGAGGCAGCACCCCACCCCCAGGAGCCAAGGCAGACCCAGGGCTTGTCCACGGGGGTTGGGGCAGTGTCCCCACGTCACCCCCAGGAGCCAAGGCAGACCCGGGGCTTGTCCACGGGGGTTGGGGCAGTGTCCCCACGTCTGTAGCGTCCTAGAGGGCCACCACCATCTGTCACGTGGCCACTGCCTCTCGCAGCACATCAAATCAGGGCTGATCCCGTAACTTTTTTTTTTTGAGACGGAATCTCGCTCTGTCACCCAGGCTGGAGTGCAGTGGTGTGATCTCAGCTCACTTCAAGCTCCACCTCCCGGATTCTCACCATTCTCCTGCCTCAGCCTCCCAAGTAGCTGGGACTACAGGCGCCCACCACCACGCACGGTTAATTTTTTTTGTATTTTTTAGTAGAGGTGGGATTTCACCATGTTAGCCAGGATGGTCTCCATCTCCTGACCTCGTGATCTGCCCACCTCGGCCTCCCAAAGTGCTGGGATTACAGGCGTGAGCCACCGTGCCTGGCCCGATCCTTTAACTTTTTATTTTGGAATAATCAGAATAGCAGGAAGCTGTAAATACCCTGAGCACCTGCGCCCAGCATCCCCCAGGGAGGGCGTCTCTCATAACCTCAGAGAAGCACTGAGCCCGGGCAGCCGCGCCACCTACAGATGCACCAGACGTGGCCAGCTGGACTCGTGTGTGTGAGTGCGGGGCCGCGCCACTGACCGCACCACGGATTCCTCTCAGCACCACAGCAATCACGACCTGAATGCTTCACTACAGTTCTGTCATCTTTTTTTTTTTTTGGAGATGGTCTCACTATGGCTGGTCTCAAACTCCTAGGCTTAAGAGACCCGCTGGCCTCACCTCCCACAGGGCTGGGATGGTAGGTGTGAGCCACCATGCCCAGACTGTCATCTTAGTTATGTTCTAGAAGGGGACCAACAGCTGCAGCCTCTGGACTGGCACTCTTCACTAGGGCTCGGGGCATCCGCCACTCCCCCTCCCTGCCAAGGGCCATCTCGTGGTGTGCAGACCACCTATTGAACCGTTCACCTGTAGGACACCTGGGTTGATGCCACTGTTTGGCTACAACAGACACGTCTCTGAACGCCTGTTACGGACTTGTGTGTGAATGAGAGTTTCCGTTTCTCTGGGATAAATGTCCCACGGTAGCTCAGTAGCTGTGTGTTTAGCTTCGTAGGAAACCGACCACCTGTTCTCCAGAGCGGCCCTGCCACTTGTCACTCCCTGGGAATGCCTGAGAGACACGGCTCAACCCTGGCAATGCATGAGACACAGCTCGCCCCCGGGGCAATGCGCGAGACACGCGGCTCGTCCCCCCGGCAAGGCGTGAGGCACGCGGCTCGTCCCCCGGCAAGTCCCCCCGGCAAGGCATGAGGCACGCGGCTCGCCCCCCGGGCAATGCGTGAGACACACGCTCCAGCCTCCTCCGTGTTCGGGCCTCCTCCGCGCTCCGGCCTCCTCCGCGCCAGCATTCGGTGATGCTGGGTGTCTCAGCCTGTGCTTCCTGGCCATCGGATGTCAATGTGCTGGAGGTCTCTTCATGTCTCTTGCCCATTTTCTTTTTTTTTTTTTGAGACAGAGTCTTGCTCTGTCGCCCAGGCTGGAGTGCAGTGGCAAGATCTCGGCTGACGCAACCTCCGCCTCCCGGGTTCCAGCGATTCTCCTGCCTCAACCTCCCGAGTAGCTGGGATTACAGGCCTGTGCCACCACGTCCAGCTAATTTTTGTATTTTTAGTAGAGACAGGGTTTCTCCATGTTGGTCAGGCTGGTCGCGAACTCCCGACCTCAGGTGATCCGCCTGCCTCAGCCTCCCAAAGTGCTGGGATTACAGGCATGAGCCACCATGCCCGGCCGTCTCTCGCCCATTTTCTTTCTTTTTTTTTTTTTTTTAATTGATCATTCTTGGGTGTTTCTCGCAGAGGGGGATTTGGCAGGGTCACAGGACAATAGTGGAGGGAAGGTCAGCAGATAAACAAGTGAACAAAGGTCTCTGGTTTTCGTAGGCAGAGGACCCTGCGCTCTCGCCCATTTTCTAACTGGATTGCTTTCAGTTTGTTTTTGACTGTATTTTTATATTCTGTAGATGAGTCCTTTGTCAAATAGGTGGTTTGGAAATATCTTCTCCCAGTCCGCAGCTCAGATGCTCAGAGCTCTGAAGTTGGGTCCACCTGTCCTCTTATGGGTGTGGTTTGGGTGGCGAGTCTACGAACTCTGCCCAGCCCCAGGCCACAAAGGTTTTCACCTAAAGGCCCTGCATTCTGATGAGCTGTTCTGTAGAACGAGGGCTTAGGGCTTTGCCTACCGCTGCCCAGGTGCTCCAGACCATCTGATGAACGGGTTTTCTGCCTCTGTCAAAGCTCCGCTGGTCTCTCTTGTGTGGCCTGAGTCCTCTCTTCTCTCCACAGACGCGTCTGTCTGCCATCGCCGCAATGTTGATTTGTGGCTTCAGAGTAAGCCTCAAAGCCAGGAACAGTGACTTCTCCCATTTCATTTTTCCATTACAAAAATATTCCAGGCATGGCTGGGTGCGGTGGCTCACGCCTGTAATCCCAGCACTTTGGGAGGCCGAGGCGGGCGGATCACGAGGTCAGGAGATCAAGACCATCCTGACTAACACGGTGAAACCCCATCTCTACTAAAAATACAAAAAATTAGCTGGGCGTGGTGGCGGGTGCCTGTAGTCCCAGCTACTCAGGAGGCTGAGGCAGGAGAATGGCGTGAACCCGGTAAGGGAACTTGCAGTGAGCCGAGATCAGGCCACTGCACTCCAGCCTGGGCGACAGAGCGAGGCTCCATCTCAAAAAAATAAACTATTCCAGGCATCTAGTCCATCTGTCTTTCAAATACACTGTACAGTAAGCTCATTTGTATCTAGGAAAATCCCTGCTGAGGCGTTGGTAGGAACTGCGTTAGGCTACAGATGCACACAGGAGAACGGCCACCTTACTCGGGAGCCTCCAGGCCGTGAGTGCAGCGTCCGTCCCTTCACTCGCATCTCCTCTGGTCTCTTTCGCCACGGTTGGTTTTGTAGTCCCACCACACAAGCCCTAGACATGTCTGGTCAGATTTATACCTAAATGTTTATTTTTTCTAAAAAAAAAAAAGGTGATTGTAAATGGTACTGTTTTAAATGTTGGCTTCCTTATATAATTGCAAGTAAACAGAAATAGGACAGATTTTTGTGTGTTGACCTGGTATCCTGCGACCTTACTGAACTCATAGTTCTAAAAGATCTTTGTAGATTGCTTCAGAGTCCCTGCGCAGACAATCGTGTCATCTGCAGACAGGAGTAATTTTATTTCTCCCTTTGTAGTGCGTGTAACTTTGATCTCCTTTTCTTGCCAAATGGCAGCAGCTGGGACTTCCGACAAGTACAAGTGGAGAAAAGACACTCCTGCCCTGTTCCTGATTTTAGGAGGATGGTTAAAAATGATATTGGCTTGGCCAGGCAGGGTGGCTCATACCTGTAATCCCAGCACTTTGGGAGGTCACTTGAGATCAGGAGTTTGAGACCAGCCTGGCCAACATGGTGAAACCATGTCTCTACTAAAAATACAAAAATTAGCTGGGCATGGTGGTGCATGCCTGTAATCCCAGCTACTCAGGAGGCTGAGGCGGGAGAATTGCTTGAAACTGGGAGGTGGAGGTTGCAGTGAGCCAAGATTATGCCACTGCACTCCAGCCAGGGCAACAGAGCAAGACTCTTGTCTCAAAACAAACAAACAAAAAAAAGATGTTGGCTGCAGGTTTCTGGAGACAGGGTCTTGCTCTGCTGCCCAGACTGGAGTGCAGTGATGCAATAATAGCTCAGGCCAGCCTTGACCTCCTGGGCTCAAGCGATCCAAGTGATCTTCCCACCTCAGCTTGCTGAGTAGCTGGGACCACACCTGCTCACCACAGCTGCTCACCACACCTGCTCACCACCACAGCTGCTCACACCTGCTCACCACAGCTGCTCACACCTGCTCACCACAGCTGCTCACCACCACAGCTGCTCACACCTGCTCACCACAGCTGCTCACAACTGCTCACACCTCACCACAGCTGCTCACCCCTGCTCACCACAGCTGCTCACACCTGCTCACCACAGCTGCTCACACCTGCTCACACCTGCTCACCACAGCTGCTCACCACAGCTGCTCACACCTGCTCACCACCACAGCTGCTCACCACAGCTGCTCACACCTGCTCACCACAGCTGCTCACTACAGCTGCTCACCACAGCTGCTCACCACCACAGCTGCTCACACCTACTCACCACCACAGCTGCTCACACCTGCTCACCACCACAGCTGCTCACACCTGCTCACCACCACAGCTGCTCACCACAGCTGCTCACCACCACAGGTGCTCACAGCTGCTCACCACAGGTGCTCACACCTGCTCACCACAGCTGCTCACACCTGCTCACCATAGCTCACCACAGCTGCTCACACCTGCTCACCACAGCTGCCCACATTTGCTCACCACCACAGCTGCTCACCACAGCTGCTCACCACCACAGCTGGCTAATTCTTACAGGGGTCTCACTATATTGCTCAAGCTGGTTTCAAACTCCTGGGTTCAGGAAATCCTCCCACGTTGGCCTCCCAGAGCACTGGGGTTACGGTGTGAGCCACTCCGCCTGGCCTGGCTGTGGGTCTCTAGACATGCTTGTTACCAAGCTGACGACGTTCTGCTCATGACTGGCTGACAGTGCTGCCATAAAAGGTGCTGACTTTCTGAATTTTGTTAAATGCCTTTTCTGCCTTGTTGATGTGACCACATGACTCTTCAGCCAGTTAATATGATATCAGATTAGTGCAAAAGTAATTACGGTTTTTGTGATTACTTTCAATGGCAAAACCACAATTACTTTCGCAGCAACCTAAATAGATTTTGTTAACAATTCTGAAATGTCAGCCTTGGATTCCTGGAATAAATCTTACTTGATCTTGGTGTAGAATTCTCTTTATATACCGATAAATCCTATTTGCTGAAGTTTGGTTGAGGATCTGTGTGTATATTCATGGGGAATATAGTCCCAGTTTCCCTTTCCGGTGCTGTTTCTGTCTGATTTTGGTATCAGGGTGATAGTATGAGCTTCGTAAAATCAATTAGAAAGTGCTCCGTCTCTCCTGCTTCCTGTGAGAGGGTGGAATTGGCATTCTCTTTCAACATTCGGTGAAATTCTCCAGTGGCCCAGGTGGGTCCGCAGGTTTCCTTTTTGGGAAGTTTTTAATTATGAATTTATTTTCTTTGTATTTATAGAATTTTTCAAAGGATCTACTTGATATTGGGTAAGTTGTGGCAGGAACTGGTTTTGAGGAATTTATCAATTTCACGTAAGTCGTCAAGCATACTGCACAGAGGCGCCTGCACCCGTGACCCTCGTAGAGCCTGCGGGGTCTGCAGTGGTGCCTCCTGCACCATCCCCCATATCGATGACCTGGGTCACTCTTCCCAGCAGCCCCGGGAGAGGTCTGTGGGCTTCAGAACTGGCCTCTGTCCCTGTGTTCCACTGCACTGCCCGTGGCTCCTCATTCTTTCTTTCCTTCCGCTTGCTGTAGGCTTATTTCGCTCCCTTTTTTTCCCCCCAAATGTCTTGTGCAGAGAGCTCAGGTTACTGCTGGGGCATTCCAGCTTTTCCACAGCAAGCCCCCACGGCTGCGGGTGTCTCCACACTGCCTGATGGGGCCCTGGGCTTTCCTAGGCTGCACTTGCATCTTCACTCAGCTCCACGCATCGTCTCCCTTGAGACCTCCTCTCTGGCCCAGGTGTCGTTTGAAAGTGTGCTGTTTTGTTCCCAAGTGTGAAGATTCTTCCGTTCTATTTCATTGTGGTCAGACGGCATGCTGCAGAATCCTAGTTCTCTGAGGACAGGGCCTGTGTGGAGGAGGCTCCCACGGTGCATGGAAAGGTCCGTGCCTGCAGCTGGTGGGCCCTGCTGGCTGGCGCCTCTGCCCTTCTACATCCTTGCAGCCTTCAGTACAGCTGCTCCGTCATGTGTCGGGACAGCAGTGCTGACGTCGCCAGCTATGATTTGGGTTTGTCTATTTTTTCCTTCAGTTGTATCGGCTTTGCTCTTCCAGAATTGCTGTCTTCCTAGAAGGCAGGATGGTTTCAGGCCGCCCACCGAGCCAGCAGGCGGAGGGCTGGGGCTGTGTCTGGGACACAAACGGCGGGGATCCCTGGGAGTCCACTCCTTCTGCCCCAGTGCCGGCTGCCCAGGGCAGTCAAGGCACACGCAGGTCTCCTCCCGAGGGCACGGCCCTCGCAACCCCACCGTGCTCTCAGACAACACAAGACAGAGGCCACAAAGGGAAATAAAATACAAAACCACACCGACAGAAACGCTCATGGATGTCCTCAAGACATAGTAAATCCCCAAAACCACCTGAAACATAAAAAGAACATTCAAAGACGAAAAAACTCTTGGGACTTCATGACAGAACAGAAGGCACTTCAGATGTGAGCTCGCAAGAGCAGAGTGAGGACTCAAAGCCAGCCCGGGAGAGAGTGAGGACTCGAAGCCAGCCCTAGAGATCCAACGCCGACACCTGCTCACAGGAATTTGAGGCACTCAGGGAAGGACAGGAGAAACGATGAGGAGACGGGAAATGCTCCCGGAGCTGAGCAGGAGCAGATGCCATAGCCTGGGGCTGCATGCTGGAGCGTCCGGGGGTCACCGGCACCAACAAGCATCCCAAGGTGGAGCCACTTCCCACCCAGCATTCCACCCGACGGCCAGGCAAGTGCAAGGGAGGCCCCTTCAGATGATCATCCCCCCGCCGCCGACGCTTCTTCTGAGAAGCCACAGGGACCCCAGGGGGATGCATCTTGGGAGTGAACCCAGAGACCCAGGGGCATCAGGTCAGCCCAAGGAGACTTGAAGCCACAGCGCCCGGGGCCGGGCCTGAGGCAGACGTGGGACCGGAGACTCAGACCACAGCGCCCGGGCCGGGCCTGAGGCAGACGCAGGACTGGAGAGGGTGGGCTCGGTTCTTGTGGCCGACAGCTAGCACGCTCCGAGCACAGCCTCGGGGACTGAGCAGAGCCCAGCTACACCCCACTTCCATGCAGAGACCCCGCCTCCCCGATGGCCCCCATGGCCCTGAGGACAGGATGGATCACGCACCACAATGCCGGTGGGGGCTGGCAGCAGTGCCAGTGTCAGCAACTCCCGGTTTTAGCTTGCCAGTTGGCAGTCGCCTGGAACAGGTGCAGACACGCTGTCCCCTTGGGCTCACTGTGCTCTGGGCTTGGGGGTCTTAGTGAACAGAGGCAAAGACTTCACTTTGGGCAGCTCAGAGTCAGATAGACGAGAATAAACCTCCTACAAGGAAACAGCTTCCACACCCCCAAAGTGCCCTCCACGTTACCTTGGAGGCCGGAGCTGAGGTCGCCAAGGTCAGCAAATGGGTCCGGGTTCTGAGACTTGGTCCAGCTGGCCTGAGAGCCACAAGGGGCCGGCTGACCTCCAGGAGAGAAGAGGGGGCCTGGAGAAGGGGCACAGGGCATTAGAACAAGCACCATCTGAAGCGAAACACATCCTCCTGGGACCTCCGATGGCGCCTCCTTACGACATGACAGCCTCACTCCTGCCTGAGAGCTGGCACCTGCATGGCTTGCGTGCACGAGACCAGCCAGGACAGAGGTGTGTGTGGCGGACGCTGCCTCCATGCCCCATGCTGCTCCTCAGGGAAAACAGCTTCACAGCTCACACCCAGAACCAAACCATGCTCATATCATTATGATTATGATTCTGCAGTACCACTTTCTGGAATCTATCTAAAATGTGAATGCTCTTCAGGATACTCTTTATAATAGCATAAATTTGAGAATATCCTAAGTATAAAATCATAAAATACAGGCTGGGCAACATAGAAATACCCTGTCTCTACAAAAAATAAAAAAATCATCCAGGCACGGTGGTTCATGCATGTGGTCCCAGCTACCCAGGGGGGCTGCGGTGGGAGGATCGCTCCAGCCCAGGGGTTGACGGCCCCAGCTACCCAGGGGGGCTGCGGTGGGAGGATCGCTCCAGCCCAGGGGTTGACGGCTGCAGTGAGCCAAAATGATGCCACTGCACTCAGCCCCAGTGACAGAATGACACTCTGTCTCAAAAAAAAAAAAAACCGTGGTAGAGCTACTTGATAGAGTGCCATGCAGTCATTAAAACCAGGCTCTTCATGTATAAAGAGCCCTCGTGGATCTATTTGAGGAAAAAGATGAATTCCTGAGGCCAAAAAATAAGCAAAGAACATGAAATGATTCTCAAAAGAAATACACGTAACCAAAACCACTCAAACTAAGAGTCAACCTCATTCATAAGAAAGAAATCAAACTGGCGAGACACCTTCACAGTGATCATCCAACCAGGAGACAAACCGGAGATGGCAGTTGCCCCTGGGCAAAGACGTCCTGAAGCGCACTTGAGGGGACGGGCACCCAGGCCCTGGCGCACCTCGCACTGTGCACACGGGGAGAAGGGCACCCAGGCCCTGGCGCACCTCGCACTGTGCACTCGAGGGGACGGGCACCCAGGCCCTGGCGCACCTCGCACTGTGCACTCGAGGGGACGGGCACCCAGGCCCTGGCACATCGTGCACTGTGCCTCCCGGAGCTCTGCAGACAGTGTGTGTTCCACCTGCTGAGGGCTGTGTCAACTCTGTCCGGCACCATTTTCCGCACGCCATGTGCACTCTGTGTCCCTGTGCCCCATTTTGGGAACTGTAATGATATTTCAAACTTCTTCATGATTGCATCTGCTTTGGTGATGTGTGTCCCATGAGTTGATGCTGCTGCTCTAATTGTTTTGGGGTGCCATGGACTGTGCCCATAGAAGACGGCGAGCTTAACTGACAACACGCTGTGGCTGCTCCACAGACCAGCCACTCCCCGTCTCGCTCCTTCTCAAGCCTCCCTATTCCCCGAGACACAACTTTACTGAAATCAGTCCAATTCAGAACCTACAACGGCCTATAAGCGTTCAGGTGAACACAAGAGTTGCAAGTGTCTCACTTGAAATCAAAAGCTAGGAACAACTGAGCTTAGTGAGCAAGGCACGTCAAAAGCAGAGGAAGGCCGGGTGCAGCAGCTCATGCCTGTGTTCCCAGCACAGTGGGCAGCTGAGGAAGGAGGGTGCTTGAGCCCAGGAGTTCAAGGTCGGCCTGGACAACACGGACCCCATCTCTACAAAAAATAAATTTAAAAAATTAGATGGGCATGGTGATGAGTGCCTGTAGTCCCAGCTACCCAGGAGGCTGAGGTGGGAGGATCCCTTGAGCTCAGGAGGTTGAGGCTGCAGTGAGCCATGATCGTGCCACTGCACTCCAGCCACAACAAGAGCAAGACCCTGTCTCTAAAAAAAAGAAAGCTGAGATAAGCTACAAGCTAGGCCTCTTGCACCAGCAAGCCAAATTGTGAATGCAAAGGAAAAGTTCCTGAAGGAAATGAGAATGCCACTCCAGTGAACACACGAATGATACGAACACAAACCAGCCCTATTGCTGATACAGAGGAAGTTCGGGTGATCTGGAGAGAAGGTCGGACCAGCCCCACTGCCCATACAGAGGAAGTTCGGGTGATCTGGAGAGAAGGTCAAACTAGCCACAACATCCTCCTAAGCCAAAGCCTAATCCATAGCAAGGTCTCAACTCTTTCAATTCTATGAAGGTGGAAAGAGGTGAAGACGCTGCAGAAGAAAAGTGAAGCCAGCAGGGGCTGAGGCTGAAGGAAAGATGCCGTCTCTGCAACGTACAAGTGCAAGGTGAAGCAGCAAGCGCTGACGGGGAAGCTGCAGTAAGTCATCTGCTAAGATGCAGCTGAGACCACTGATGAAGAGGCTGCACCCGCCAGACTCTCCATGCAGACGAGACGGCCTAAGTCATCCGCTAAGATCCAGCTGAGACCACTGACGAAGGGGCTGCACCCGCCAGACTCTCCATGCAGATATGAGACGGCCTAAGTCATCCGCTAAGATCCGGCTGAGATCACTGATGAAGGGGCTGCACCCGCCAGACTCTCCATGCAGATATAAGACGGCCTAAGTCATCCGCTAAGATCCGGCTGAGACCACTGATGAAGCGGCTGCACCCGCCAGACTCTCCATGCAGATATAAGACGGCCTAAGTCATCTGCTAAGATCCGGCTGAGATCACTGATGATCTCACGCCTGTAATCCCAGCACTTTGGGAGGCTGAGGCGGGCGGATCACGAGGTCAGGAGATCGAGACCATCCTGGCTAACACAGTGAAACCCCGTCTCTAGGGGTTTCAAAAAATTAGCCGGGCGTGGTGGCAGGCGCCTGTAGTCCCAGCTACTTGGGAGGCTGAGGCAGGAGAATGGTGTCAACCCGGGAGGCGGAGCTTGCAGTGAGCCAAGATCACACCACTGCACTCCAGCCTGGGCGACAAAGAGAGACTCTGTCTCAAAAAAAAAAAAAAGGATTCTAAATTGACTCGGCTTGTGCCATAGAAATGGCACAGCAAAGCCTGGATGGCAGCCATCTGTGTACAGCATGGTTTATGGAATATTTTAAGTCCACTGTTGAGATCTACAGCTCAGAAAAAAGATTCCTTTCAAAATATGACTGTTCGCTGACAATACGGACAATGCAGCTGGTCACCCAAAAGCTCTGACAGAGACGTACGCAGACAGTCACGCTGCTTTCATGCCTGCTAACACAACATCTGTTCTGCAGCCCTTGGATCAAGGAGTCGTGTCGACTTCCAAGTCTCCCTATTTAAGAAACACATTTCTAAGGCTATAGCGGCCAGATTCCTCTGATGGATCTGGGTAAAGTTCACTGACAACCTTCTGGAAAGGATTCACCATTCTAGATGCCATTAAGAACATTCACGATTCACAGGAAGAGGTTAAAACAGCAACATGAACAAGAGTTTGGGAGAAGCTGATCTCAACCCTCAAGGATGACTTTGAGGAGTTGAAGACTTCAGTGCAGGAAGTCTCTGCAGATGTGGTGGAAACAGCAAGAGAACTCGAATTAGAAGTGGAGCCTGCAGATGGGACCGAATTACTGCAATCTCAGGATGAAACCTGAATGGATGAGGAGTTGCTTCTTACGGATGAGCAAAGAAAGTAGTTTACTGAGATGGAATCGAGTCCTGGTGAAGATGCTGTGAACACTGAAATGAGGCCAAGGGTTTAGAATATTCCTTAAACTTAGTTGACACAGCAGTGGCAGGTTTGGGAGGACGGAAGAAGCTCCATGTGGGTAAACGCTATCCAAGAGCACTGCGTGCCATAGGGAACCTTTTGTGAAAGGGAGAGACAATCACGTGGCAAACTTCATCGTCTTATTTTCAGAAATGGCCACAGCCACCCCAGCCTTCAGGAATCAGCACCCTGATCAGTCAGCAGCCATCCACATTGAGGCAAGACCCCCACCAGCAAGATCAGGATCGTTAGCATTTTTTAGCAATGAAGTATTTCTAAATCAAGGTAACTATATTTATTTTTTAGACATAATGCTATTGCACGCTTAACAGACTATGGCCAGGCCGTGGTGGCTCACGCCTGTAATCCCAGCACTTTGGGAGGCCGAGGCGGGTGGATCACAAGGTCAGGAGTTCGAGACCAGCCCGACCAACATAGTGAAACCTCATCTCTACTAAAAATACAAAAATTAGTTGGGCGTGGTGGCAGGCACCTGTAATCCCAGCTACTCAGGAGGCTGAGGCAGGAGAATCACTTGAACCCAGGACGTGGAGGATGCAGTGAGCCGAGATTGCACCACTGCGCTCCACAGCCTGTGCAACAGAACAAGACTCCATCTCCCAAAGAAACAAACAAAAAACCAGACTACAGTATAATGTAAATATAACTTTTAGCTGGGTGCAGTGGCTCACGCCTGTAATCCCAGCACCCTGAGAGGCTGAGGTGCATGCATCGCCTAAGCCCGGGAGTTCTAGACCAGCCTGAGCAACATGGCAAAACTTTGTCTCCACAAAAAAATTTTAAAACTTAGCTGGGCATGGTGGCACATGCCTGTAGTCCCAGTTACTCAGGAGGCTGGGGTGGGAGGATCGCTTGAGCCCAGGAGGTCAATGCTGAAGTGAGTAGAGATTGCGCCACTATGCTCCAGCCTGGGTGACAGAGCAAGACCCTGTCTCAAAAACAAAAACAAAAACAAAACCCCACACAAAAAACCCCCTTAACTCTTATGCTTACTGGGAAAACAAAATCTGACTGGCTTTCTAGGGGTGTTCGCTTTGACTGTGGTCTGGAAGCAAACCCGCGACATCGCTGAGGCCGGCCCAAGACGCAGCTGCAGCATACGCATCCGCGCTACCAGACGCCGCGGGAGGGCCGGCTCCAGGGTGACGGGAAGGACAGACGCTCACAGACACGACTGCTGTACGTGACCCCCTTCCTGACAGGGCACGGGGCGTCGCAAACACGACTGCTGTACATGACCCCCTTCCTGACAGGGCATGGGGCATCGGCCGCAACACCGAGACAAGACCCATGGGGTCGGCCTCAGTCACAAACCCCTTCAGGAGGGAAGAGCCACGGGGTGCTACAGGCAGAGCCAGCACGTGGTCCACAGAGTGTGGGGCATGAAATCGCATCACAGACGCAGACGCCCTGCCGGGTGGGAGGAGGACCCTTCGGGGGTGCTGCTGATGCTCAGGAGCCACTGCAGCTCTGGGACACCAAGTCTGTGTCCCCACGTACCCCAGGCACACCGGGTGAGTGAGGCCGCTGCAGTCATACCACAGCCTTGTGTGCGGAGCCCGCACCACCAAGCACGCCCCAGCCCTTCCTTCCTTCTCTGCGCAGAGAGGGCCCTGTTACAGGTACGTGTGAAATAGAGACGGGCCACAGCAGCTGCACGTCTGGGAGCCCTGTCCTTGGTGGGTGGTGGCCATACCTTCTGTGGCTGGCGTGGGGGCCACTGCCGATGCTGCAGTCTCGGTCCAGGCAGCCCATCCTCCCAGCAGGTCTGGGTTGCTGGACGAGGCTGTCATCTTGCTGGGCTCTCCTGGCAGATCCCCTGGGAAGAAGGAACCAGAAGAGAGCACAGTTTGGTGTCTCAGCAGCAGGCAAATGTGGCGGGGCGCCAGGCTGTGCTCAGGGCCCTAGGAGCGGACACCTCTTGCACCCAGGCTGAGCTGAGGCTGGGCTGACGGCCTCTCTCTTCCTGAAGGGTCCTGAGGATGCATCCCATCACACAGAACTGAGCGAGTGGACGTAGGGGCACCAGCAGGCGGAGCAGCTCGCAGGCCAGGCTGAGAACAAGCATCTGCGCATTCCCATCCAAAAGGGTTTGTCAGGACCCCACTTTCTGCCGCCATCCCCACAGCCTGCGTTCCCGCCTCTCCTAAAACCCACCAGAGCCCGAGGTGGCTCCACCTGGCTGAGCTGCCTTCGGCAGACAGAGGGCCCAGCAGGTCCTGTCTGCCCTGGCTCTGGCCACGCAGCACACCTCTGGCGGCACCCGCCCCAACGCTGCAAGGCTGCACTCCACACACCCGCCCACAAGCCATCCTGCAATGGTCACCATCATCACCCCAGAGTACGCCGTGGACCACGCTGCTGCCTCCTCAGGAGAGAGAACCCAGGCTCCTTCCCCTAGGACCACACTGGAGGGGCGCGCAGCCCTCTCCCAGGGCCTGGCCCCACCGGCGTCTGTCTAAACAAGCCATGCTGTGCCCCGGCGCCTGACCTCCTCCCCATGGATACGGTGCCCCACGGCCCCTGCTACACCCAGACCAGGTCAGCTTCCCGGACCCTGGGTCCCCCAGCTGCCTCCCTCTGACCTCTGGTCCCTACACAAGCTCTGGGTGCAGGTGGCCTTCTCTGCTAACAGCTGCAAGGCCTGGGCCTGAGGAGGCCTGGAGAAACACCTGTTGCCAGTCACAGACGACTGAGGCACTGCAGGGCCCCACAACCTGTTCCAGGTTTGGGGATGGTTTGGGGAGACAGAGCAGGGAGCAGTCTGTCCTGACCTCTGGGACGTCCTGCAGGATGCTTGGGCCGCAAGGAGCGCACCCGGAGGCCACACAGTCCAGCCCCACCACTGCCTGAGACCCACAGCTCTGTTTCCCACCAGAGGCTGCGGTCCTGAGGGAGGCGGCCATGGAGAGCTGGCTGCCAGGCGAGAGGCACTTACCCAGGTGCAGGAAGTCGGCGCTGCAGGATGGGGGCGGAGCACTGTGGGCAGACGGGAAGGATGGTGGGACGGTCACAGAGTCCGAATTGAGAAATTCGCCGAAGAGATCAGGATTGGAGCAGGGCTGGGAGTTGTTGCCTGAAGACGGCAGAAGCGGGCCAAAGGGGTCAGCTGTGGGGACAGGCGGGCATGGGGAGGACTCAGCCCGGCTGCCTGAAGACAAAGGAGCCCAGCTCTGGAGTCAGGCCTGCCCAAGAGGCCACTCCAGCTGGGCAGCCCAGACCCCACGGCTGCCCTCGCAGGGGCACTGAGGCAGTCAGCCCAGGGGCTCCCCGTGCCCCACGCCTCAGGATGACTTTCCCAGGGACACAGCAACACTGCTGAGATGGAGAAGCCAGTAGCTCCCGGCCCGTGAGCTCAGGTGGGCAGCACAGAACCCTGACATGACCCCGAGGCTGCTCCTGGGGGAGGTGGGGGAAGGGCACGTTCCCTTCCTGCAAGCACCTTCGAAACACGCCCATGCAGTGAGAATGACTCAGCCTCATCACTCATCTACTGTGAAGCCACTCGCCTTCAGAACAGAAACACGTACCAGCGGCAGGGGGCCCTCCTCTTGGGGTGCTCTGCACGCTCAGGGGAGGGGCCGGGCTTGCCAGGAGCAGCGGGTCCTCGCTGAGCAGATCCTCCGGGGGCCCCTGGGAGGCGGCCTCAGGGGGCCCAAGGAGGCAGCTGAGCAGGTCGGTGTTGCTGGAGGGGGCCTTGCAGGCCTGCGGGGGTACAGCTGGCCCTGCGCCCACCTCGGAGTGCAGGCCCAGGAGGTCGACCCCGTCTTCCTGTGGCACAGGCTCTGGCAGCACAGCCGGTGTCTCCACCTCAAAAACCAAGTCCTGCTGCACCAGCCCTGCTGCCAGGCCGGGGGGCTCTGGGTCGGCCCTGGGTTCCTGGCCCTCGCTGGAGATCGGGGATCCCCCTTCATCTGACACCTCACTCTCGTCTCTGTCCTCCATCAGGGCAGACTCGCTCTCCTTGGAAGAGGCATTTTCTGCACCAGTCTCTGCCTCCTTCTCTTCTGCGAAAAGGAAACAAAACCACAGGCTAGTGAGACCACACGGCCAGCACCAGGGTCCCCACGGCGCGTCCCTTCAGGGCCTCCTCGGCCCAGGGCCTTGGTGAACACACGTGGCCAGCACCAGGGTCCCCACGGCGCGTCCCTTCAGGGCCTCCTCGGCCCAGGGCCTTGGTGAACACACGTGGCCAGCACCAGGGTCCCCATGGCATGGCCCCTCGGCACCTCCTCGGCCCAGGGCCTTGGCAAGTGCTGCAGGAACACCAGGGTCCCCACGGCGCGTCCCCTCAGCCCAGGGCCTTGGCGAACCCACATGGCCAGCACCAATGTCCCCATGGCACGGCCCCTCAGCGCCTCCTTGGCCCAGGGCCCTGGCGAGTGCTGCAGAAGCTTCTGGGCGGGCGGTGGGGTGTTGTTCCTGAGGCGTCTCCAGCACACCCACCTCCAGCCTCTGCCTCAAGGGTCTGCCTGTGGCTCTCTCCGCCTGGGCCTCTGCGGTGCCTCAGGCTGAGTCAAGTGGGGGCCACATGGCAGCACTAGGGGGTAGGAACACCAATCAAGGGTGCTCTGGGAACAGGCGGCAGAAGGGACGAGCCCGATGGGAAGGCCAGGGGTGCTGGGACAGGAAGTGGCAGGTGCATCCCTTGGGGTGTGTCTGGGGTGAGGTCCAGTGATGGCGCCCAGGTGTTTTCCTGAAAAGCCTCAGAGGGGCTGGGAGCCCACTGGGGGTGTGGGCAAAGAGAGGTGTGGGATCCCCAGGTGGTGACAGTCTGTCCCTCCGCCCAGGCCCTTCCCCTGTACCCAGGGGCCCCGCCAGCATGGCCCATGCTGCCAGCCTCCCCAGGCCCACAGACTGGGATGAAGAGCGAGGGTTGTTATTTCAGACTTTGTGGGCATGTTCTTTTTTTTTCACCTTTAAAAAGATATGAAATCATTCTTAGCTCGTGAGCCATTAAAGAACAGGCTGACATGCCGGGTGCACAGCCCCACTGAGGTGCAACTCAGCTCTGCCGGAGGCCCGTCTCCCAAGACGCTTGCCCTGCCCCAGGGGCACCTCCAGACCAGGGGCCTGCCCTCTGCAAGTGGCCAGGTCCAGGGACGCTGCCTACCCTGCCAGTCCAGCGTGTGCAGGAAGCGACTGGCGTCCGCGCTGCTGCTTGGCGGTGAGTCAGAGTCTGTGGGTTCGGCTTCCGGGGACCCTGCCCCAGCATCATACTGAGCCGTGGAGCCAGGCTGCCGGGGAAGCTCCGGCTTCCCTGCAGGAGAGGGAGGGCGTCAGGGCACTGGCACTGGCCAGCAGCCTCGGGGCAACACTGACCCCAGAGCTGGGAAGTGCAGCCAGGCGGGCGCCAGCACCGTGGCAGGCCAGGCCATCGGTAAAGCAGACCAATGACATGACGGGGAGGGGCTCTCTGAACAGATTCCTGCTATCCACTCGGATGCCACTCTGGGCCATGCGTGCACACTTGGGCACAGCACACGCACACATGAACACGCACAAGGAACCCACCACTGAGGCATCAAACGCCACACATATGCAGGGTACACATGAATGCACACACACAGCTGCACGGTACACACGAATGCATAGAGCACACACACAGGCGCACAGTACACACAAATGCACACACACAGATGCAGGGTACACACGAATGCACACACAGCACACACAGATGCACAGTATACACGAATGCACAGACAGCACACACATAGATGCAGGGTACACATGAATACACACAGCACACACAGATGCACAGTACACATGAATGCACACACAGATGCATGGTACACACGGATGCACAGACAGCACACACACAGATGCAGGGTACACATGAATGCACACACAGCACACACACAGATGCACAGTACACATGAATGCACACACAGCACACAGATGCACAGTACACACGAATGCACACACAGCACATACACACATGCAGGGTACACACGAATGCAAAGCACACACAGATGCACGGTACACATGAATGCACACACAGCACAAATGCACAGTACACAGGAATGCACACACAGCACACACAGATGCATGGTACACAGGAATGCACACACACAGATGCACAGTACACACGAATGCACACACAGCACATACACACATGCAGGGTACACATGAATGCACACACACAGATGCACAGTACACACGAATGCACACACAGCACATACACACATGCAGGGTACACATGAATGCACACACACAGATGCACAGTACACACGAATGCACACACAGCACATACACACATGCAGGGTACACATGAATGCACACACAGCACACACAGATGCACAGTACACATGAATGCACACAGTACACACAGATGCACAGTACACACGAATGCACACACAGCAGAGATGCATGGTACACACAAATGCACACACACAGGCACAGTACACATGAATGCACACAGCACACATAGATGCAGGGTACACATGAATGCACGCACACAGATGCACGGTACACACACATGCACACACTCGGATGCACAGTACACATGCATGCACACACACAAATGGACGGTACACACGAACGCACACACAGCACATACCGATGCATGGTACACACGAACGCACACACAGCACACACAGATGCACTGTACACACGAATGCACACAGCACACAGATACACAGTACACATGAATGCACACACCACTCGTGCACACACACACACGGCACACACCACCCACGGACACATACACAGCACGCACAGGTCACACATACAGCCTCTTTCAGGGACGCTGAAGATGCTCAGAAAGAAAAAGCAAACACTGCAAACCAAGAGCCGAGAACAAGCGTGGCATGAGCAGTGGACGGCCCTGGGCCCACCTGCCAGCACTTCCTGGGCTGCCGTTTCGAAACTGCTCGGAAGTGAAGAGCGACAGGAGCGAGGGTTCTGTTCCACATGCTGCCAGCAGGCCTGAGGCTCACAGTGAGAGTGGACGTGTGTCCAGCACACATGACAAAAATCTGACCCAGACACACGCCTGGGACAAAACCCCGCTTCGCTCCAGGAGCCTGGGTTTTCCTCCCTCTGCCTCCGTCCCTGCCCATGGGCCTCAGAAATTGCAGCCTGCGAGTCCTTCTCTGGTGTAGCTGGTGGTGGTGTCCAACATCCACGACGGAGTTTCCAAAACCTCCTGCAGCCCAAGCTGCTCAGGGCCTGGGTGCAGCAGCAGGCGTGGGGCCCAGCCCTGCCAGAGCTCAGCCAAAGGTGTCTCTCTCCACAGAGACACTCACCAGAACAGGGTTCACCTAATTCACCTGCGGGATCTTACCAAACTTAGACAGAATGTCTTGCTGCTCCTCCCGGCTGGAAAACAGGATTTTGGGGTTCAGCCCCCTCATGCTCGAGTTCTCCCATGGTGGGGCTTCCCGGCTCGGCCTGTCCCTGGGCTCCACCTCCACTTCCAGGTTCACTTGAAATAAATCCGGGTATTTTTCTTGAATGTCACACGCGTCCAGGTCATACCTGCGGTTACAAGTAGACACCACTTAGGAAGGCCACCCAAGTAGTCTGTAAGTCCTTGGACATTCACTAAAGAAACGTGCATGGAAACAGGTGGCAGCTGCAGGCAGCGGGGCGAGAACAACCAGGGCAGCCGGCCACCCCCGCCTGCGGAAGCTGGAGCCCTGTGAGCTGACCCAGCAGCTGTCCCAGGAACCCACAGGGCACCAGCACCCCCGGTCACGGCCCCAGAAGAGCATCATTTCACTCGCTCCTCGGACGTCACAGTGGGGATGCCCGCGACTGTGTTCAAGGCAGAGGGGCACCGGGCGGGGCCGCCATGTTTCCTGCAACTCCAGGGGAGGCCACGTGCTCAGAGCAGACGGGACAACATCCCACAGCTGGAGACTCCGGCACCCAGGCAGGCAGCTCTGAGGTGGGACCCCAGGGTTCCAAGGCAGGCGCTGGCCCTCACTACCCAGCACACACAGACTGCAGCCACCCGGCAGCTCAGAGCACGCACTCTGGGATACTAAATGTGTTTTCCATAAAAATGACGACGTCCGCCCTGACAAAAATCCACAACTGTCAACAGATGCCCATAAAACCAAGACCTCTAGAATCCGGCTGCCAGGGAATTGGGAACATGATTCCGGGGGAAACAAAGCTGTGTTCACTGTGGGGCTGGGGAGGCAGCCCAGGCTGAGCTGTGGGGAGCAGGGCAGAGGTCAGCAGGGCCTGCCTTGGGGTGTCGGCCGTGCGGGTGGGGAGCAGGGCAGGGGTCAGCAGGGCCCACCTTGGGGTGTCGGCCATGTGGGTGGGGAGCAGGGGCAGGGGTCAGCAGGGCCCGCCTTGGGGTGTTGGCCGCACGGGGAGGCAGGTGTGACCTGACACTGACCATTTCCCAGCCCCACAGCTCTCTAAGGAATTCCAGGCTATTTCACACATTTCCTATGATCATCTCTGATCCCACTGTCATAAACTGCACTGATAAGCCTGGGCTCTCCAGCGGGCAGCAGGCTCCCCATGCCTGTCTTATTTTACGCCACCTAAAATCTCTACATGTTGAATGTTATACACCTAAGAAAATAAAGAAGAAACACAAAAGAGTGGCGGCCAGTTCCTGGGAAACCCAGGCTGCCAGTGTCTGCAGGGCCAGGAACACCCAGAGCAGAGTGGGATCCGCCGAGGGAGGGCAGGGAGACGGGCCCGGCGGCCTGTGTGGGTCAGAGCCACGGCTGGTTTTAACTGTCACTTCTCTGAGCTCCACACATGCCTGTGATGTGTGAAAGGCCTCTAGTTCACCCCTTCCTGCTCACCCTCTAAAACATCCTCTCCCTGCACGAGGGGAGAGCACCCTGTGCCCGCCCTGAGGGGTGGCCAACCTCACGCAGAGCAGCGCCCCCTCAATGCCCACTCAAGGCTCTGGGCGGAGGTGGCCACGGCCGAAGCCGGGACTGATGTGCACTCCAGCCGGGGCCAACACGAGCTTCCCCCTGCGCCCGAGCCTCTTTGCGTGCCGCTGTCTGTCGTCAGGGGTGGCAGGGACTGCACAGCGGTGGCACAGCTGGCGTGGAGATGTGGAGGAGGCAACGTCTGCAGAGGAGCCTGCAGGCACCAGCAGAGAATCCGACGGCCACCGCAGCGGAGGCTCAGACCGGCCACGACCGAGGGCGGAGAGGCACAGTGGGAGGGGCACGGAGGGAGGGAGTGTGCAGGGAGCCAGGTCGGCCAGACGGGCTTGGGTCCTGGGACAGACCGAACTTGGGCAGCCCCAGAGGGAGTGCCGCTCATGCCCAGCCTCCCTCCCCCAGCTGCCCCTTGAGATGGCCCTGGGCACTGGGCCTGCAGGCTCGGCTCACCCAGCCTGGCGCTGAGGGCACAATGAGGTCTGTGAGCAGGGCTGGCCACTCCCGAGAGCCCTGGACTGCAGAGGACACTGCCCGCAGGCTCCTGCCAGACTAGCTCCAACAGGGCAGAGCGGACTCCTGACAGGCTCAGCTGTTACATCTGTGCCATGGCTGCAACCCTGTGCTCCTCTCGCCCAGGCACGGCGCAGGCTCACCACGCAGGGAACACGCCTCTCGCCCAGGCACGGCGCAGGCTCACCACGCAGGGAACACGCCTCTCGCCCAGGCACGGCGCAGGCTCACCACGCAGGGAACACGCCTCTCGCCCACAGCGCAGCCTTGATCTCGCAGGTTCAAGCAATCCTCCTGCCTCCCAAAGTGTTGGAATTACAGCTGTAAGCCACTGTGCGCAACCAACCTTTCTTCCTTTTAATGTATGCATTTGAAGTTACACATTTCCTCTAAACCCTGCTTCAGATGCACCCCACACATCTGGTAAGTGGTATTTTGATTATCAATGTGTTTAAAATATTTTCTCATTTCAACAGTGATTTCCTTTTTGGCACACAGGTCACTTAACGAGCATACGGTCTCTGGGTGTTTTCCTGTCACTGATTCCCACTTTAATCCACTGTTGAGATGCCTTGAGACTTGCTGTATGACCCAACGTGGAGTCCACTTTAATAAACGCCCACTTGAACAGATGCCATTTCTCCAAGTATTCGCTGAAGTTTGCAAAACTCAGGTCAAGTTGGTTAAACCTTGTAAAAAAAAAAAAACTATATCCTGTTCTTGTCTACCTGTTCCACTGCCTGGGGAGAGAGGCGGCCATCAGCGTGGGCCTGTCAACTTCACCCCTCCTTCTGCCCTTTGTGCTGCCTGTACTGAAGCCATGTCACTGCCCTCGCCCCTGCAACGTCACCCGTCACCTCCTGCCTTGGTCTATCCCACCTGATATGGACAGTGACACCAGCCTTCTTCCTGTTATGGTCTGCATGGTAAGCAATTTCCAATTATTCCACTTCAGCCTTGCTAGGTCTTCGTGTGCAAGGGTTTTGAAGTATGGCTCCTGTAAGCAGTATAGACTTGAGTTTTGTGTGAGCTTGGTTTTTAATCCAGCCCGATTAACTGGAGTGTGTCTTCTATCCACCTTCAATGGGATGACTGACAGGCACAGCAGGGCGTCGGTCTACCAGCTGGCTGTTTTCTATCTATATCCCACCTGGGTTTGTTTGTTTATCTCTACGTTGTTCTGGCGAATTCATCACATATTTTTTGTTCCATTTTTCTTCTTGATTGCATCTTTAATCTGCCCTAGGGATTGGTACATTCTCTGCTTCCTGGTGATGGAGCTCCTGAAACACATTCACTCGGTTAATCCCCTCCTCGGCTGTGTGTGTGTGTGCGCGCTGGTGCTTGTGTGTGTGTACATGCACACGTGTGTTGGTGCTCCTGCTGTCTGTGTGTGCGCACGCGCTGGTGCTCCTGCTGTCAGATATGTTACTACCAAACAGGTTTTAAAACCCACAGGACGTTAGTATTGGTGTTTTAAGCAGCTGGTGCTGGTGTCATTTCACCACAGAGTCATGCATTCCAGCCTCCCTGCCCTTCCTTCCCTAGGCTGCAGGCTTTGCAGGCTTGCCTTGGATACTTGCTGAAATGGAGCAGTTCTGCCAACAATCAACTCTCTCATCCTTTGCTTGGCTGAAGACATCCTTAACTGGCTTTCATATTTCAAGGATAATTTCACTGGATATAGAATTCCCGTATTTTTCTCTCAGCACTTTAGAGACGGCGCGCCTCAGCTGCCTTCGGGTGTCACTCTGCAGGTCATGCATTCCCACCCCGTCCTGTCCTCGGGCTGGAGATTGTTCTCTTCGGGTTCCAGCAATTCAACCAGGATGCTCTGAGGTACTGAACCTCTTTTCTTCTTTTTGTTAAAAAAAAAAAAAGTATCCTCTTTGGCGTCTGCAGAGCTTGATTTCGTGGTTCTGACGTCCTCCATCAGTTTAGGAAAATTTTTGGCCAATGATTTTTCAAGTATTATTTCTGTTCCACTCTCTCTCTTCTCCTAGAACTTCAAGTAAAAGCATGCCAGGCCCCTGCAGTGCCACAGTCTCTCTCGTGACCCTCTCTGTACGTGTCTTCTTCCATCCTTTCTTCTCTGCGCTGCTGTCAGAAGATCTTTTCTACCAATTCAGAGTCTGTTCTGCTGTGCCTATTCCACTGTTAATCATGTACTGAAGCCTTCATTTCGGCTGTAATATTTTTCAGTTCTAGAATTCACATCTGTCTCCTTTTTATGTTCCAGATCTCTGGTGAAATTCCCATCATTCCCCCGACTTTCTTGAATAATCAATCAGTTACCAAAGTCCCTGCCTCCTGCCTCCAGCATTTAAGTCCCCGACAGGTCCTTCACCGACATTTTCCTCTTCATCATCAGTACCTTGGTCTTTAAAACACTATTTTAAGCACCGCCTCCACCGTGGCTGAAAACTCTAAGAGCACTGGGTGTTTTTCTTCCTCCAAAGGAGGAAAAAAGAAACAAAATTATTAAAGTTGCGAATATGTGAGTTAAAAAAAGAAAAGCGTAAGACACAACAAAGACAAGAGATGTAAAAAAAGAATCACAGAGACAGAAAAACACAAGAAGACACCCCGGTCTCCCGGTGCAGGCCGTCCCTGACAGCAGCAGGCGCCAGCTCTTCCTGAGCTCACCCAGGCCAGGCCAGCACCCCTCCCAAGGTGCAGAGTCCGCCAGCATCCCCGTGGGGCTGGCCCAAGGCTTCCCTTTGTTTACTGGGTAGGAACCAAGAGCACAGAGCCTGGAACACAGCAGGCCCTGCAGCCACAGCCTCTGTCTTGGGAGCCCCCGTGGGTGCCCCCTCTGACTCCTGGAACAATGTTTGTTCCACTGTGTCTTGGCAGATAAGCCTGCCTGTGATTGAGTAGAAAGATCTCCAGTTAAATGGGAGGCCGAGGCAGGTGGATCACTTGAGGTCAGGAATTCAAGACCAGCCTGGCCAACATAGTGAAACCCATCTCTACTAAAAATACAAAACTTAGCCATGCGTGGTGGTGCAGATCTGTAATCCCAGCTACTCAGGAGGCTGAGGCGAGAGAATCGCTTGAGCCTGGTGGGTGGAGTTGCAGTGAGCCGAGATTGCGCCATTGCACTCCGGCCTGGGCGTTAGAGCGAGACTCTGTCTCAAAAAAAAAGACAGACCTCCAGTTAGAATCAGGACGCCCGGGTGTGAGAGCCTGCTCTGCTGCTCACCGCATCTGCACCTGAGCCTGCAGAGGGCAGGGTATGCGCTGTTGGGCACCAACGTCAAGAGGACAGAGAGCTAACAGGTGCTGGGCATGGCAGGGGTGGGGGCCATCCCGTGGCTGCGCTTGTTTACAGAGGGAGCTAACAACAGAGTGTGAGCTTCCAGACAGGACTGCCCCGCATCATCTCCAGCCTCCGCCTGGCAGGGCACTCTGCACACAGCAGGCTCAGGAACGTTTGCTAAGATGCAGCCGCCACCCGCTCACCTGCTTACGCCACGCCCGGGTGTGAGGGCTAAATTCTAACAGACACACACACCAACGGGGGGGCAGAGCAGCAGCCACCGGGTCCACCCCAGCAGCCTACACACGCGCAGCTCCAGGATGGCCCAGGAACAGGCCCAGAGCCACCAAGCAGCAGTCACACAGCCCGCCACTCCCCCTGGGGCTCCCACGACCGGCCCACATGCAGGTGCTGCGGCACAGGGCACCTGTCCCTCCCCACCGAGCACAAGCGGTACCAACGTACTTGGCAAATTTCACAGTGGTGGCGTTCCGAGGCACAAACCCCGTGTGGAACTGAATCTGGAACATCTTCATGGATGCCATCTGCAAAGAGAGCAAACACGACACCCCACGTGGAGGGTGAATCCAGATCCTGGGGCCACAGGCCAATTTTTCCCAATGGGCGAGATCTGAGAGCGGCTCATGGTGCTGGAGGCATGGACGGCGCCCCCGTGCCACATGTTGTGGGGGAAGCGGGAGAGGGTCTGTGTGTGGCAGGTAACCCTGAGGAGAACGCATGGGCCCACAAGCTGCTTCACGGGACTGCCGTGGGGGCTGCCCCAAGTGGACCCTCAAACTCAGTCTCGATGGAAACGCCAGGCTTTTCAGGTTGAGATCCTGCCGCGTCAAGTGCACGGGGCAAGCAGGGGGCGCTGTGGGGCAGTCGCCACATGAGAGCCCACGGCACTCACCAAACAGCGAGCACCCTGGACCCTCGGTGAGAAGTGAGCGCACTGTGGCCCCCAGCCCCCCATGAGCCTAGGCGTGAGTGGGGAGCACCGGGCAAGCCACAGGCTCTCTCACCTTGGCCTGCAGCCGGCCGCCCAGAGTGGACCGGGCGTGATAGATGACGATGAGCACGTCTCCTTGCACCGTGACGCCCAGGGGAATCACCGCTTTGCCATCTTCAATCTTAAAGTCCCTAAGGACAGAATGACAAGAGAAAAATTTTAAAAACCCCCAAAACCAACCAAACAAAAACAACAAAAAACAGAATGAGAAATTGTCCACTTAGCTAAAATGTGTAATAACCAATAAAGAATAACCCCCATGAAGAGCCTCACAAGAATTCTAAAGTCTCCTGGGCACTCGGATCCCTGTGACCTCCTGCTGCTGACCAGGATCCCATTCTCAAGTCTCCTGGACACTCGGATCCCTGTGACCTCCTGCTGCTGACCAGGATCCCAAGTGACCTGCCACAGACGCCACAGTTCCAAACACGTCCGCCTCAGCAAGCGCCTGTCCCCGGCAAGGCCAGGGTTCCTCTTTAACGGTTTTCCGGAGGGGTGAGGAGGAGGGAGCACAGCGTGGGGCTGCAGCTGCACTCACCGCATCTTGTCGTACTCCTGGGAGGTGCTGGCCACACGCTCGTCCCCCACGTAGACCTCGCAGAAGGGCCTGCAGCCGCTCCTCTGCTTGCTGAACAGCGGCACGGGTGTCATGACCACGGCCCTCACCAGGATGGGCTTGCTGTGGGGTGTGATGGGCTCCTCCGCCACCATGTCACACATGTACTCGATGTACCTGGGGGCAGACGTGCCGCGTCACCACGTGACGTGCCCTGAGAGGGGACCACACAGCTGATTTTGTCTTTCGAATAGAAGTTTTTCATGCTAGAAATTTCCCTTGTAGCAATGTTTTAGTTGCTCCTAACAAATCTGATGTTATAATTTTCATTTAGTTATATATATATGTGTGTGTGTATACATATATGTATTTTTAAGACAGAGTCTTAAAAATACGCCCTAGTTGAAGATATTTTTAAATTTCTCGTGATACTCCCACTTTTACTCATGGGTTATTTAGAAGTTGCTTAATTTTGAGGCCAGGCGCGGTGGCTCACGCCTGTAATCCTAGCACTTTGGGAGGCCAAGGCAGGTGGATCACAAGGTCAGGAGTTTGAGACCAGCCTGGGCAACACGGTGAAACCCTCTCTCTACTAAAAATGCAAAAATCAGCCGGACTTGGTGGTGTGCACCTGTAATCCCAGCTACTCGGGAGGGCTAAGGCAGGAGAACTGCTTAAACCTGGGAGGTGGAGATTTAGAGAGTTTTCCAGATATTCTTCTGGTATTGATTTCAATTTTTATTCCACTGTGGCCTGACAGCATAGTTTGTCTGATTTCAAATTTTAAAAATGTATTGAGGTGTGTTTATAGCCCCAAATCTGATCTTTCTCCTTGCATATTCCATGTGCATTTGAAAGAAATAAATGTGTGTTTTTCTATTGTTGGGTGGAACGTCCTAGAACGCTCTACAGCTGTGTCAGCCTTCATGGGTTGGCACATTCGGTTCTTCTATATCCCTGCTGGTGGTCTGTCTACTTGTTCTACGGATTACTGAGACGAAAATATTGAGGTCTACCCTACAAATGAGTTGTCTGGTTCTCCTTTCAATTTGATCAGTTTTTGCCTGATGGATGTGGAATGGAATCTGTTTTCTCTGACCTTGGTAGCACAGCTCTGGCTTTCCCGTGGCTGGCGTTCCCGTGGTGCCTCTGTGGAGCATAAACCCCCCAGAGTCTGCCTCCCACCTCGTGGCACCCATGCCCTGCAGGAGGCCCTCTCCCGGAGCTTGTGCGGGCCAGGCAGGTGACACCACTTCTATGGTGACGGTGCAGACCCCATCTTCCCAGCCACAGGACACTGTGGCCCAGCTCAGTCAGCAGGGAGCCAGGACAGCCGGTCCTTCAGCCACAACAAATAAATCCTGCCAACAGCCCGAGTGGCCAAGGAAGCAGATTCAGAAATGAAAGAGAAATCGGCTTTCTCAGAGTCAGTGCGGCCAACACCTTGAACGGAGGAGAGGGCCCAGCTAAGCCTCAAGGTCCAGGGAGACCACGAGAGAATGGATGTGTGTGGTTCTAAGCCCGAGTGTGTTGTGTCGGGTCATGTAGCAATGACTAGTACGCTCTTCCCCCACCATCCTGTTCTGAACCCACCTCTGCCTCCGTGCTGAAAGAGGACTTCCTGCAGTGTATGGCCGAGCTGTGCGTTTCTGTCCCATATGGCAATGCCTGTCTTTTAAACAAAACCACTCATGTTCAGCCTGAACACTGATGTGGCTGGATTAAAATCTACCATCTTGCTGGCTGTTTCCTACTTGTTTGATCTGTTCTTGGTTTCTTTTTTCTTCTTTTCGCCTTCTCTTGACAAGGTTTATGTTTTCCTTTTACTTCCTGTTGACTTCTTAATTACAGCACCGAAGAAAAACCCTTACTGTTTGTTCTAGGCTTTCTGACGAGAACCTTGCGGCTGACATCTTTCTTTTTGTACCTGATGCATCTTCTTCTGGCCACCTCCAACACTTCCTCTGTGCTCGGTTTGCAGGAGTTCTGACCGGTATGCACCCGAGTGGGTTTTCATGTGTTCATCTTGCTTTCATCCTGCTTGGTGACCTCTGAGCTTCTTGAACCTGTGGACTGGTATCTGTTACTCATTCTGGGAAATTCTCAGCCATGATTTCTTCACTGCTCCCGCTTCCCTCTTCCCTTTCTGGGCTCCACGTGTGTGTGCCCCTGCCTGAGGTGGAGGCAGCTCTTGGGTGCTTGTTCTACCCCACGCTTTCTCTCTGTGATTCAGTTTCAGTATCTCTCGACCTGGCTCCAAAGGCCACTGACTCAGCCTCAGCGATGTCGAAGGCGTTCTCATTTCGGGGATTTCCATTTGCTTATTTCCTGGCATTTCCACGGCTCTGAAGAGTGGCCCACTGGACCGCGCACCTGCCTGAGGGTCCTCTTTCCACAGCTCTGACGAATGCCCCACTGGACCATGCACCCTGCATGAGGGTCCTCTTTCCACAGCTCTGACATGTGGACCACTGGACCACGCACCCTGCATGAGGGTCCTCTTTCCATGGCTCTGACATGTGGACCACTGGACCATGCACCCTGCATGAGGGTCCTCTCTCCACAGCTCTGACGAACGCCCCACTGGACCGTGCACCCTGCATGAGGGTCCTCTCTCCACAGCTCTGACATGTGGATCACTGGACCACGCACCCTGCATGAGGGTCCTCTTTCCACGGCTCTGACGAATGCCCCACTGGACCGTGCACTCTGCATGAGCGTCCTCAGCACATCAATTAGTTACTTCAGTTTCCCCCAGAGTCACAGAGTGCAGCTCTTTCTCTCGTCTCCTCCATCTGGAGGCAGAAGAAAGGGTCTCGGCCAGGTCTGGGCCTCCCTTATAGTAGCTGCGCCCCCTTGCCCGGCCCTCACTCTCCCATCTGTCCTGTGGGTGCCCACAGAGACTGTGCCTTCCAGAGGGCAAGGACCCTTCCAGTCCTGCAACCCTGAAGGCTTCACTCGCCCACTGAGACACCTGGCCTCCACCGGTTGGACTCTTTCTGGCCTCCTTCTCTTCTGGGGTCCAGTTACGTCCACCCCAGACAGCACACACACACCTCCTCCCACAGGCACCTGACTCTCCTTAGATTCTGGGCCAGTGATGTGAAAAGGCCATGAACTTGAAGCTGGTCCAGCTAGCTGCCCGGTGGGAGCAGCACTCTGCACATCTCTCTGCTCCTCCAAGGAAGGAGCTGTGGGATTTGGGGGTCATGGAAGCCCAGCCACATGCCACAGGGAAAGAGACTCCCTGGTTCTCAGACGCCCCCTGCTGAACAGGCCCCACCGCACCTGGCCTGGGGGTGCCAATGGCTTTCAGCTCAATGTGTGGAGGGGCTCCCAACTTTGCACTCCTCTTGCCGGGGGTCACACAGAAGACAAAGCTGGATGGGGCGGCAATGATCTCCTCCCCCCAAGGCTGTGAGCAAACGAGGTGGGGCCCTCCCTGGGGATCCACAGCAGCAGGAATGGCCTCCTGACCCTCGCCCCGTCCACAGGCTGTGCGCCCCATCCAGAGGGGATAAAGAATGGGGAGTCCCCTGACGCTTGGGTCCCTCCTCTTCCCTCCCGCCACGGTGGGGCCACGGGGCCGGCCTTTGCTCCTGGGCCCTAACCCTTGGGGCCTCTGTGGTCCAGGTCAAGACCTGCTCTTTCAGAGGCTAGGAGGCTGCTCCAGCCTCACCAGGTCCTCATGGAGACCAAGGCCAGGGGAGGCTTTCTGCTGGGGTGGACTCCTCGGGCGTGGACACCTGCAGCCCCGAGAAACAGGGAGAGCCCTAAACACGCTGTGACCACACTCCCGTTTGAGAAACAGCCTCCTCCACACGGCCAGGGAGAGCCTGCTGCGCGCTGAGGTGGAGCGGCACAGAAGCCTGTATTTGGCAGGGCCCTAAACACGCTGTGACTGTACTCATGTCTGAGCAGCGTCAGGTGCTCCACACGGCACCTGTGTCAGGTGCTCCACACGGCATTTTCACGTGCATTATCCACCAGAGCCCACCACATACATGGCATTTGTCAGAGAACCTAGGATCCATGCACAAGCTGGGCAGGTGCTGCCCCACAGCAGTCAGGACTACCGCGGCTGAGGGCCCATCCTCCCCGGGCTCTGCGGCCGTAAGCCCAGGGCTCAGCCATGGCTCCGCGAGGCCGGGCCTGCCTTTCCCACCAGCGCCTGCAGCGGCACCGACTGGCCCTCCAGGAGACACCACAGCGGGGGCGGCAGTGCCACACGGGCCCACAGAGCTGTCCCCTGTCCCCGGAGGGCCACGCAGTACCTTTTGTGGGATGGCCAGATGCCTGGTGGGCAGCGCTTCATGCTGAACATGTACACGGCGGCCTCCGCGGTGCTGAAGAGACGGCAGAAGCACAGGAAGGAGCAGACGGCCACAGCAGACGCGGCTCTCCCGTCCTAGGACAGACAGACACGTCTCGCGTGCGCCTCGCACTCATGCAGGACAAGGGCTCGCGGGGTCCTCGGGCATCCTACCCACCCTGTGGCTGCAGGGACGCAGGGCTGTTCCTCTCTGAAGCTGGGATATGTTTAGGGAGCTACATAACGTGCCTGCCGAGGCAAGAATGGAGCCCAACAGAGACTGAAGGTTCCCTAACGAAGAACAGGGCTAGGGCCACTCCAACAGGCTCTGCTGGTGCCCCGTACCCCGCAAAAGACCCCTCATGGAAACCTCAACTCCATCACCCACAGTGGCAGCTGCCACACCCTGGGAGGCTCAAGCACCACTAAGCCTCGAGCTGCAGATCGGGAAACTGGAAGTGACTCTTAGGTGGCCACCGAGCAGGAGGGGAGGTGGGCTCCCCACACAGCGGAGTGGCCTCCACACGGGCATGCAGGTCAAGGCCAGGAAGGGCCACATGGGGAGGGAAGGGCGGGGCCATCTGTCATCTGTCCCCTCCAGACCCAAAGACACCAAGCACAGGGACTTTCTTCCGTGTCCCAGGGTGAAGAACAGGCCCCAGCTCATGACTGGCGCTCAGATCCTGTTGAACTATGCATGAAATAATGAACTTTGACAGAAGACGGCGCCAGCCCACGGCCCTCGAGCTCACCATGCAGTGCACGACGCAGACGTTCTTGTGGTCCTGCCGCAGCCAGGCGTGCATGTTCCTGCAGATGTTGTACAGGGTGTGCAGGTGTGGGGCCCGCCGTGCTGCCCAGCCACACTCGGAGACCTGTGGGGACAGGGCACGGTGGCACGGACGGCAGAGGAGCCCCGCCCCAGCCTTGGTCAGCTAGGAGGGACAGCCTGCCTGCAGTGCGGGGGCCTCCGCCAGCTGGTGTCATGAACAGGCGTCCACCTGCGCGAGACCTGAGCACCAGGGCTGCCACTGGCCTTGCAGACAGAGCTCAGTCAGCTGTTCCTGGGCTTTGGGTCCCTTTGCATACTGACAAGTGTCGTGTCTGGAAGGAATGCCTCGGCCTCGAGCACCCTCTGGCTGGTGGGAAGCAGTGAGGAGCTGGGGCCTCCAGAGTTCCCGGCAAGCGGCATCCTCAGAGCAACAGAGACCCCACCTCGCCCCCTCCTGTCCCACGCTCTGCAGCCCCTCAGGAGACCTCCGGCCGCCCCCATCACAGCCCCACCCTGGCCAAAGCCCTCAGCTATGCCCCTGCACTGGAGCGGAAGGAAGCTCCAGAGTGGCACCAAGACAAAGCCTGTGGCCACACACCCGGTTGTGGAACCTGGAGGGCCGGTAGGTCCTCGGGGACAGGTTGTAGACGGCATAGTGCCCTGGGTGCTTGGAGTCCAGGAACAACCGCACATCTTCGATGTTGTTTTTGAGCGCTGACTCCACACCTTCTGCTGGGAATGACATCACTGAAACAAGCAGACCTGCGTCAGCACCTGGGAGATGCGCACCTCGTGGCCAGGCTGCTGCTGCGGCCTCGCTGCTCCTGACGCCCCCGGGCAAGCGCAGCCTCCGGCAGCTCCACCAGCCACTGCCCACACAGCCGGCCCCCTCACCCTCCGTGGACTCCCAGCCTGGGTGGACCTAGGAGCATGGACCCAGCCACACGCCCATCAGCCGGTGGCTGGGACTTCCTGAGACAGCTTTCTGACACCTGCCCTGTCTCCAGGTGTCGGGATGAGTGACTGGGATGCCTGGTGCACAGAGGCCCTGGTTTTCCACGGACACGGCCTTGTGTTGTTCCTGGCATGACCTCAGGGAGCCATGGGAGGCCAGGCTGGCGCTGACCCTGTCCACTGCTGCGCCTGGAGGTGCTGAGCACAGGCCGCCTGCCTGCCAAGGGGCCCCAGGTCACCCCTGTGAGTCTGTGG
The DNA here is from genome assembly GCF_000001405.40 of Homo sapiens. NCBI lineage: Eukaryota > Metazoa > Chordata > Mammalia > Primates > Hominidae > Homo > Homo sapiens. The sequence goes on from NC_000004.12 coordinate 883,926, forward strand.
CCACAGAGAAGGCTGGAGCAGAGGCACCTGTGCCCTGACACACAACAGGGACTCACTGGGCACACAGGGAAGGGCCGGGGCGCGTCCCACAGCCTCATGTGGCACGCATACCTGCAATTCTGGATGTGATGTAAGATATGTCCAGGTCACCCTTTGCATAACTGGAATTAAAAAGAAGAGAACTTGGTTATGACAAGAAACACTCCGCAGTTAGGTCACAGGGCTTAAGCCAGAGCCCGAGGCCTGGAGAAGCCGTGGGGCTCTCACTGTAGAGGCCGCATCCCAGGAGGAACGTGTGTGTGCACAGGCGTGTGGGCAGCTTCCCGGCTGTGTGCGTGCTGTGGAGCTGACCCCTACATCAGAAACGGATGGAAATGACAGCCTGCAGCTGGTGGAGGCATGGGTGAGACAGGAGAGACATCCGCTGTCTGACTGCCCCTTCCCCTGCGCTCTCCAGGGAGGCACGGCCCAGGAGTGGGCTGGGAGAGGGATGGCAACACCGGTGGAAGGGGAGGGCTGGAGAGCAAGGGTGGCTTGGACGATGGTCACGGGTCATGCCAGGCTCCACGCGCTGCCCAGGCCTGGTGGTTGTAGCAGTGCGACTCCAGCAGACGCCGCTGGAGGCAGAGAGGGCCCCCTGCCCTGAGTGCCTAGAAGCCCCTGCTGTGGCCACAGCCAACTCTCTACAGACCAACTGCCCCCAACACTGGGTCCACGGAATCGGTAACACAGAGATCAAAACCCTCAATAACTCTGCAAGGACCCTGACAGGTTTATCCCACAATTCACTGGCAGCAGCAGCTGTGTAAGAATGGCCAAGCTGTTCTTGTGAGGGAAGGAGCAGAAGGGAGCCTCCCTCCCAGGACAGAGCAGGCCGGAGGCTGCGGGGACCAGAAAGGCTGGGCTAGGAGCAACCTCAGCTAGGCACATCGCAGAGGTGCTGTCCCCATCAGAGGAAAGCCTGGATAAAGGTCCAGAGAGATGAATGACCCAAATACACACGACCGAACCATCGCCTGAAAGTGACCATGCGTTCAAACGTTTTAAAAGCCGTCTAAACCCGCAGAGCAGGTGCTGACATAGGATGCGGGTCTTCCGTGCGTTCAAACGTTTTAAAAGCCGTCTAAACCCACCGAGCAGGTGCTGACTCAGGATGCGGGTCTTCCGTGCGTTCAAACGTTTTAAAAGGCGTCTAAACCCACCGAGCAGGTGCTGACACAGGATGCGGGTCTTCCAAAGCAACAAGGGAAGACGGGGAGGCACGGTGAGCCTGACGCTTGGCCACTTTTGCAGCAAGAGACAAACAGGCCACACAAAGCATGGCTACTGGACCTATAATCTAATCACCGGTAGAAAAACAAAAATAGGGGCCAGGTGCGGTGGCTCATGCCTGTAATCTCAGCACTTTGGGAGGCCGAGGCAGAGAGATCACCTGAGGTTGGGAGTTTGAGACCAGCCTGACCAACATGGTGAAACCCCCACTGCTCCTGTACCACGGCAGGCAGCGGCAAGCACAGCAAGCTGACACGCCTTAAGCAAAGGTGGGCATTGAGTGCCACAGGATCCACGCACATCTCACCCACCCCAGCAGCCCTGCGGGGGCCCCATGGACCTGGCTGTGTAGGCCTCAGGCACGTGTACCACAGGTGTGTGTGTGCTAGGGCTGCACCGGATGCTGACGGGACAGAAACCAGGGCCCAGACACAGGGCTCAGGCCCCGAGGCCCTGGCTTCAGAACAGCAAGCACCAGGGCAGCCAGGGGCTCATGGCCACCCAGGTCCTGACTCCTGGGCTTGTCCGTGGGGGAGAGCCAGAAGCACAAATGAATTCACTGTCCTTTTTTTTTTTTCATTTTTTAAATTGAGGCAGGGTCTTGCTCACTCCAGGCCAGAGTGCAGTGGCACAATCACAACTCACTGCAGCCTCAACCTCCTGGGCTCAAGCGATCCTCCCACCTCAGGCCCCAGTGTAGCTGGGACCACAGGTGCACGCCACCTCGCCCAGCTAATTTTTTATTTTTGTAGAGACAGGGTCTTGCTGTGTTGTTGTGTTGTCCAGGCTCGTCTCAATCTTCAAGTGATCCTCCCTCCTCGGCCCCCCGAAGTGCTGGGATTACACGAGCCACCGTGCCCAGCCATCTTTTGAGCCTCCAGGCCCAACCAGAACTCACTGTTGCTTCTAAGTCAACTTTACAAACACGAGGTTATGCAGCTTCATCTGCCTCAAGCACGTGATGTGAACAGAAGGCAGAGCAAAACAAACAGCAGGGCTGCCCTCAGCTGGAACCTGGGGGTGTCAGGAGGGTTCCCACCATCCCCTAACAAGCAGCAGCTAGCTGTGCCTGAGTGCCATGCAAGCAGCGCCTGCTCAAGCCAAACTGTGTCCTCCTAGGGCCTGGAACCCATGGGTCCCAGCAGAGCCATTTCTAGAACCAGCCCCTGCGGCCTTAGGCTTCCAGCAGACAGCAGCTCCCACCATCCCCACAGCTGCTGGGGAGGGAGCGTGGCCTGGAGTCCCCCAGGGAGGACTCTGGAGCTGTGCCCGGCTCCCTGAACGCCCCACATGCCTCCTCCCTCTGCTGACTCCACTCTGCCTGTCCCCACAATGTGCTGCGGCCATGGAGACCATTTTCACTGATGCCGAAAGTGACCGTTCCTAGTGACTTTCACTTATGGCTTTGCTGCCGCATCCTCTCTGTCTTGTTTCCACTCTGATCCCAACATCACTCTCACCAAGATGACGCTGGAGAGTCTCTCACCCCCCTGGGTCCATGGCTAGCCCTGCTGACGCTCCACACGCAGTGTCACCTGTCAGGACCCTGCAGGAGCCACAGCCCTGGGCCCAGTGGGCGGTGCGCTGGCACCAGACAGACAGAGCTGCCTCTGATCTTCTGTCAGCCACAACTCAGGCAGGAGGCGTCACAGAGGAGGTGCCCAGAGGTGCGAGTGGGCTCACGTCCTGCTCTGGGGATATGCAGGCCCACTAAGAGCAGGTTTCTTTCCAAAAGGTTGCACAAGGACAAGGCACACAGGTAATGGAACCACACAGCCAAACATGCAGCACACACAGAGGCACACAGCTCACACACACAGGCACTCACACAGCACTCCTACACATGCACGCGGCCCACACGCACTCACAGGCACACAGCTCACACACACAGGCGCTCGCACAGCACTCCTACACACGCTTACACATGCACGCGGCTCACACACATGCGTACACATGCACGCGGCTCACGCGCACACACGCGTACACATGCACGCGGCTCGCGCACTCACGCGTACACATGCACGCGGCTCACGCGCACTCACGTGTACACATGCACGCGGCTCACGCGCACTCACGTGTACACATGCACGCGGCTCACGCGCACTCACACGTGTACACATGCACGCGGCTCATGCTCACTCACAGGCACTCCTACGCATGCATACATGTGCACACAGCTCAGGCACAGGCACTCGCGCGCATGTGCACACATGCATGCGGCTCACATGCACTCACAGGCACTCGCACACATGCATACACATGCACGCAGCTCACGCACACAGGCACTTGTGTGCATGCGTACACATGCATGTGGCTCACACACACTTGCATGCGTGTGTACACATGCACGCAGCTCACGCACACTCACAGGCACTCCTACTCATGCGTACACATGCACGCGGCTCATACAGGCACTCGCGCGCATGCGTACACATGCATGCAGTTCACGTGCACTCACAGGCACTCGCACACGTGTACACATGCACACAGCTCACGCGCACTCACAAGCACTCCTACACATGCATACACATGCACACACGCATACATGCTCCAACATGCACATGTGCTCATACACGTGCCTGCACACAATACGAGCACTCAGCTCACACAAGGATTCACAAGCACAAGGACTCACAAGCACCAGCACACATGCTCATACCAGCAATCACACACGCCTATGCACATACTCACACCAGCATTTACACACACATGCACACATGTTCACATATGTATGTTAACACACCCATTCCCTCACATGCACACATGCTCAAAGACACATGCACCCACGCTCACATGTGCAGACGCTGCGGTACATGCAGGCACAAGTGCACACACGTCTACCTGGTGCTGGGGACACAAAACAGTGATCACAGCACAGAACAAAAAACATAAGAAAAAGCCCGAAGGTGTCGCCAGCTGTGGAAGGAACGTGGGCCCACCAGGGGCCGCAGTTCCTGCATCACGGGCACCAGTCCAGCCCAGCTCCTAGGCTGTTTCCTGACATAGCCGACGCCCTTGAGCTGGTGCGACCGCAGGGCCAGATGAGCAGCCAGCGTGCTCCTGGGCGTTCAGCTCCTCAGAAGAGCCAGCGCATGGACCCCGCAACGCAGAGGGGCCGCACTCTGGAACATTCCCAGTGTTCCGTGAGCAGAGGCTGCCGGGCCTGTGGGCCGATGTCGGGGCCACCCCCGCACAGACGCGCCCTTGGACAGCCCACCCAGAGGGAGACTTTCTCCCACCACAGGCTGGGACTCACCTGGTCTAAGTCTGAGTAACTAGGGCTTTAACTCAAGGACTGGCTCAGTGAGGCGCCACCACCGAGGTTTCACCCAATTTACAGAGTCCCGGGAACAAGCCAGGAACGCCCCAGAGTGAGGGGCGACATTGCAGCAAGGGAGGGGAGGGCCCAGGCATCTCCTCAGCAGGGCCTTGCCCCCCAGGCGATGAAAGGAAAGGGATCTGCCTGGCTCTGTGGGATGCTGGGCTCATTCCGACTCCCTGGGAGAAGCGGGTGATGCTGTCCCACTGCCTCAGGGGCCCCTGTGGGGCCTGATGACCAGCTGTTCCACCGCAGCCAGGAAGCAAGGGCCGGGGCTGCAGCCTGGAACGAGCGTGCGGCAGGTCCAGGGCTCTGGAGCCTCACACTCACTTAGCGACGGACTGGATGACCTTGGAGGAGGTGTCCTTGAGGTTGGTGAAGAGCCGCTCTGTCCCACCCCGCAGAATGTCCAGGAAGCCGCCATACGGCTGGTCGTACTCCGCCAGCGCCAGGCCTGCAGGGAGACACAGTCTCAGCAGGCCCCAGGTGCTCGGTCCCACCTCCCCAGGTGCGGGTTGCTGGCTGGGCCCAGGCCCCAGGCGCTCGGTCCCACCTCCCCAGGCGCTCGGTCCCACCTCCCCAGGTGCAGGTTGCTGGCTGGGCCCAGGCAGCAGGAGCAGGGAGTGGGTGGTATGGCCAGGCCCCTGACCCACACGTACCCAGCGGGAAGCCAGGCCTCAGCACTGGCAGGTCTACCCTGTCCTCAGCCTTTCCAGAGACCCAGGAAATGGTCAATCTGGGTGCGGAAGGGCTATGTGGCCGCCTCAGCACAGCTGGGGCTGGGACTCTGTCTGTGGGGATAGTCCGGCCTCACGGCCACAGCTTCAGGCCACCATGACCCTGGACGTGAAGGCAGAGTGGTGGCCCCTGGCCTGGTGGGTCCTGCGAGTGAGGTCTTCACAGGCGGCTTTGGTGGCACAAGTGGTGTTAAAAAAAAAACACCTGGCCAAAGTCCCTCATGCAGACAGGAGACCGAGGCCCAGGCAGCACCGAGCAGATGGGGGCACTGCAGAACCCAGCAGCTCGAGGACTCACCCTTCCTCCAGCCAGCAGAGACCCAGCCAGCCACTACACCTGCATGTGTGGGACCCACACTGCACGGACCGGGGTGCCCCAGACATGGAGCTGAGCTCCTCCCTGGGAAGCGGAGGTGAAGGACCCAGGTGAAACCTCCCACACCGCAGTGGGGATGCGGGGCGAGGTCGGGAGGGGTCAGCGCCATGCAGAGCTGCAGACCCAGCCGCTGCCTGTCAGGGCCATGTCCTCGACGGCTCACCCGGAACCTTCTGGAACACTCCCGGCACGGAGTTCCAAGAGCATGCAGCGTCTGTCTCCAGGGCCCTCTCCACTCCTCACCAGCTGAGGGCCCTCCAGGGACACCCAGGCCCATCACAGGTGCCCACTCCTCATGCGGCAGAAGGGGCCACCTCACACTAGCGGCAGAACTGTCTTCCCCCACCGCCCTCCACTGTCCAATGCCTGCTCCTGCCCCCTGGCCTCAGGGTCGCTACTGTAGTAAATGGTTCACCTTGCCCACAGCAGGCCTGGCCCTTCATTCCCAGCTCCTGGGAAGGAACCTGGGATGCCCCCTCCAGCCCCAAAAGGGGTGTCTGTTTCCCTGGGGCCTTGGGCTGTGCCAGACACGACAATGTGATCTATGCTGGGGTCTTGGCCACGGCGCAGGCTGCCTCCCACATAACCCCTGAGCGAGGCCGCCTGGTCACTCGGGCCCGGTCTCCTGGGCCCTGCCCTGGAGCCTCTTCCCTTGGCTGGCTTTAGTCCGAATCCTGACCCCCTCCTGAACTGCACCAAGACACCAGCTTTGCTGAGCTCTGTGAGCCCCAGGGAACTGCCGAACCTGAGGGTGTGCTCAGGGACCCTGACCTCACAGTCATCTCTGGTGGGAGAGGAGGCCCCGGGAGAGAAGGACCCCAGACTCCATCCCAATGTGCTGCGGGTGCCCGGGGTGCAGCAGGAGCGAGGGACAGGTGGCGGGCACAGGACAGGGCACTCACCTCCACTGTAGCCACTGCCAGCGGGGCCCACGGGAGGGGGTGGCCCTCGGGACAGTGTGGCGCTCCCGTAGCCTCCATTCTGCTCCAGGAGCTGTGACAATGAAAATGCAGAGGTCAGTTCTCTAAACTGACAACTCACGCCTGCCCACGTCGGGCAGAGGTACGGTATGGGTGCCCTCAGAGCCCATCCTTCTGCCCCCTGATCTATGACACAGTGCAAGGGAGGAACTTCCCACAGGCTGAAGCATCAGCTGGAACTCAACAAACGCACGCAGCCCTCATCCCCTCACCCCGCGGCCTGCCTCGCTTGGGGCTGTTGCAGGTGCTCAGCACTCCAGCCCAGCTTTTCAGACTCTTGGGCTACAGCTTCTGTTCCTTTTCCTTTTCTCTCTCTTCCCAGTCTGTCCAACCAACATTTTTTTTTTTTTTTTTGGTAGAGACAGAGTCTTGCTCTGTGACCCAGGCTGCAGTGCTGGAGGGCTGTGGCACGATCTCAGCTCACCGCAACCTCCGCCTCATGAGTTCAAGCAATTCTCCTGCCTCAGCCTCCCAGAGTAGCTGGGACTACAGGCATGCGCCACCACGCCTGGCTAATTTGTTTTGTATTTTAGTAGAGATGGGGTTTCACCACGTTGCCCAGGCTGGTCTTGAACTCCTGAGCTGAGGCAATTCGCCTGCCTCGGCTTCCCAAAGTGCTAGGATTACAGGCGTGAGCCACTGCACCCAGGCTTTTTTTCTTTTTTTTTTTTTTGAAACGGAGTCTCACTCTGTCTCCCAGGCTGGAGTGCAGTGGCATGATCTGGGCTCACTGCAGCCTCCACCTCGCATGCCCAACCATATTAAGCAGACACATGGCCTGTCTGTCCCAGGATGTTCCATCACTTCAGCTCCTGGGTTCTGGGGGCCACCCTGTGAGGCTCACTACCTCCTGGGGGCAGTATTTTATTTCATTGTGAACTCAGCTCCATCATGGACTGTGTTTTCTGGGGGAGTCGGTTGGCTTAAGCAGGGGTCTAACGTCTGTCCCCACGGGGTCCCGGCCTAGAAGCACTCAGATGAGAAGCACTGAGGACCCCGCCCCATCACTAGGGGCCTGATTCTGCCCATCTGCCCAGCGGCACCTCCTCCCGCCCCATCAAGAATCCCTCCAGCGCACTCGACAAAGCAAGAGGCCCACACCCCCCTGCGAGCCCACTGTCCTCTGTGACCTCCGGGGGAGTGGGCAGGCATTTTCTGTAAAGAGCCACCAAGCGAGGGGGACACGAGGCCCAGGCTGCTAAAGAGCAGGACGGCCCAGGAGTGATCCCTTCCTGCCGCTCTCTGACAGCCCCAGGGAAGCTTGCTGAGAGGCCACCAGTGACATCAACTCTCCCGCCTCAGAGCGCCCCACACCTCAAAATGCTTCCAGCACCCAGCACCAGGGCTCCCTCTGCTGGTGCACCCACCATGATGGCCGCCAGAGAGGGGCACCACAGCCTCTCCCCGTCTGCACTGGGCTTCCCAGCACTTCCCTGCTCCCAGGTCTCTGTACCCACGCGGCCCCCAAGGAACTGCAAACCCTCCACACAGCCCAAACCTTCCTTGTCCCACAGGGTCCTGTCCTCAGACAGGGACTCCGGGCAGCAGCTCTGACCTTCTCCCCACGCTCCACACCCACCGCCTGGGTCAGCTCCACTGCAGTGGCCCCTGGAAGTTCCGGCTTCCAGCTACCAGGGAGTGGAAACGACCCAAGGGCTGAAAAGGGGACAAAATGCAGGAGCCAAGAGTCCTGGGTCCTTGGACACAGACCCCTGCGAGATCTGCAGAGGGGCCCTGCGTGTCCTGACTGGGCCCTGAGCTGGGATGCCCAGGGGCCTCCCTGCTCCCCGTGGGTGAGGGCCGGGCCGCGTGTCTGCTCTGCCTCGAGGATCTGGTGATGGAGATGCTGCACCCTGTCCACGGCTGGGTCAGAAAAGACTCTGAGGAAAGCATCTTCCAGCCAACACGTGCTGCTCCCTCCCAGGCCTCACACTTCCACAAAGCACACGGCCCTGTGGGCCTCAGTCTCCCAGCCCCCAGGCCCTGATGCTGCCAGCAGCCACCGGTGCCTGGGAGTGGACCCTGGCCAGGCCCAGCCCTGACACAACTGCAACCAGGACGCCCAGAGCTGAGCTGAGGGTCAGAAACACAGACGCAGAGCAACTCAGGACACCCCAGGACGCCCAGAGCTGAGGGCTGGCTGACCTGGCTTGGACACCAGACCCCAGAAACAAAGACACAGGAGCAATTCATGCTGTCCTGTCAGGGGAAGAATCTAGAAAGGCGCCTGCAAACCTCAAGGAGGCCAGAGGAGCGCGTGCAGAGTGCGAAGACCTTGGCAATGGTCCCAGCATGCCCCCGGGGTCTCGGCCCTGGGCTGCGGTGGTGACCCTGCTCCTGCAGGAGCCCAGGGCCCTCAAGAGCTTGTGGCTCCCCACTGAAGTGGGCAGAGACCCCCAGGGTGCAGGGTCCGGACGAAGCAGCACAGCCACATGCCACCCTCCTCTCTGTGGGGGGATTTGGGGCTCACATGTGCCTCCCTCCCCTCTGTGATAGGAAACTTGGGGTTCAGGTGTGCCTCCCGCCCCTCTGTGATAGGAGACTTGGGGTTCACATGTGCCTCCCTCCCCTCTGCGGGGGATCTGGGGCTCACGTGTGCCTCCCTCCCCTCTGTGATAGGAGACTTAGGGTTCACGTGTGCCTCCCTCCCTTCTGCAGGGGATCTGGGGCTCACATGTGCCTCCCTCCCCTCTGCGGGGGATCTGGGGCTCATGTGTGCCTCCTTCACCACTGCGGGGGATTTGGGGCTCACGTGTGCCTCCCTCACCTCTGTGATGGGAGACTTGGGGTTCACGTTGCGGGCGGCCGCGATCTCCTGCAGCTGGTGCACCACCTCGGCGATGGACAGCCGCTCCTCCGGGTTCACCTGCAGCATGGCGCCTGCAGCAGAAGCACAGCGCGCTCGGCCCCACGGTTCCCCAGGCGGGTCAGCACCCCCTGCACTGGCAGAGGTCACAGACCACCAGAGGCCACTCCCTCTACACACATCAGTGACGTCAGAAGCAAGAAGGGAGCGGCAAAGGGAAGAACAAAAACCGAACAAAATGATCAAAAATCACCACTCAGAGCACCGCAAATTCACCAGCGGGGTGGGCGGCAGGGGAGCTCTCTGGAAACCCCCCCCCCAGGGATGTTGTCAAAACTATGGTGACGGGCGGGAGTGGGGCCAGGTGAGCAGTGCCCCAAGGGGAGCGGGGTCTCCAGAGCCACGCGGGGTCTGTGCTCCAGGGTCCTGCCCCACGCACGCATTCCACCGGGACTTACGGATGAGGCTGTGGAAGACCGTGTACTGCGTGTCGTGCGGGGGGATCGAGTACTTCCCATTGACTATTCGAAGTTTCGCTCCATCCTCAAAAGGGTGCTGCCGGAAGCACAGCAGGTACAAGATGCAGCCCAGGGCCTGCGGGGAGAGCAGGGGTGATGCCTAGGCCCACGGGGAGCGCAGGGGTGACGCCTGGGCCTGCGGGGAGAGCAGGGGTGATGCCCAGGCCCACGGGGAATGCAGGGGTGACATCGGAGCCGTGGGGAGCGCAGGGGTGACACTGGGGACTGCAGGGAACACAGGGGTGATATCGGGAACATGGGAAATGCAGGGGTGACACCGGGGCCTGCGGGAACAACAGGGGTGACACCCGGGCCGCGGGGAGCGCAGGGGTGACGTTGGGGCCGTGGGGAGCGCAGGGGTGACGCCTGGGCCTGTGGGGAGTGCAGGGGTGACACCCAGGCCTGCGGGGAATGCAGGGGTGACGTCGGAGCCGTGGGGAGCGCAGGGGTGACTCCTGGGCCTGCGGGGAGTGCAGGGGTGACTCCCAGGTCTGAGGGGAGAGCAGGGGTGATGCCCGAGCCCAAGGGGACAAGGGCGTGAGAGGAGCACCGCAGACATGGTGACTGGCCGAGGGGTGGCTCCTTCCTTGGGGATCCTAGGGGTATAGTCGGTGGTTACACAAACATCACTTGACTGTGCGGAGCTGGCGGCGTGCTTCCCACGGCACGGGGAGGCCTGGATGCTCCACTTCTATTCACCGCAAAGAACTGTCCAGGTGACAGTGTTAAACGGACTCTAGGCTCTTAAGATTAAAAAGTTCCGTTCAGGCCGGGCGCAGTGGCTCACGCCTGTAATCCCAGCACTTTGGGAGGCCGAGGCGGGTGGATGACAAGGTCAGGAGTTCAAGACCAGCCTGGCCAACATGGTGAAATCCCGTCTCTACTAAAAATACAAAAATTAGCCAGGCGTGGTGGTGCATGCCTGTAGTCCCAGCTACTCAGGAGGCTGAGGCAAAGAACTGCTTGAACCCGGGAGGCAGAGGTTGCAGTGCGCCGAGATCGCGCCACTGCCCTCCAGCCTAGCAACAAAGCGAGACTCTGTCTCAAATAAATAAATAAATAAATAAATAAATAAATAAATAAAGGTTCCTTTCAAAATTCCGGGGTTCCCACACTCATGCACTGAAGATCTATGAGCTGGTGGGACCAGCACAGACCCTGCTGTGTGCTATGCGAGGGGCAAGGCACCTGTCCTGTCCTTGGCAACAGCAGAGACCCACTTTTCAGAACTGACCCCATATGCAGGGTGTAGGGCACAGGGCAGAAGCTGCAGGAAGCAGCCTCCTCAGTCTGCTCAGGATTTTCGCAGAACTGGCCTTGAACAATCAGCGACTTCTCGTCAATCACCCAATATGTGAGCCCAGAGAAGGGACTGGTGATTACTTCGGCATCAGGATCTTATCCAGCCAAGAGTAAGAGCTCACACCGGGACCCCAGGCCGAGCAAGAGCCGGCCAGGAGTGTCCTCGTGCGGGATGTGCAGAGGACCAGTCACCAGGGTGGGCCAAGAACACAGGCAATGACCACACACGTGGCCCCATCCTTCCACACTCCTCAAGGGACACAGGGCCTCAGCCTACAGCCCACATACTGTCTCAGCCTGCAGCCCCACGTGCTGTCTCAGCCTTCAGCCCATGTGCTGTGGCTGATGGCACGGCTGACCCGGTCCGTAGGCAAATACACTACGGAGGGCCAACTGCCGCACCTGGTGGCTGAATGACGGGGTAAGGGGACGTCAAAAGAACCACAAGGCAGGACACCCTCCACGCGTGGTCACCCTCGGTCAATGGGGACATGGCCTTGGAGAGATGCAGGGATGAGGGAGGACGCAGGAGACCACCCCAGCCATCAGGCTCAGCCCTCACTCTGGCCTGGCTCTGAGCGCAGCAAGGCTGGGGTGTGGCAGGGACACTCCTGGGCCAAGGCACTCAGGGCCAGATGCACAACAAGCCATGGACGGGGCCGAGGGGAGCCTCAGGCAGACCCAGCCGCACAGGACGCCCCCAACTGCTACTCGACTCATCCCTATTAGAAGTAGTCAAGGTTGGGCAGGGTGCAGTGGCTCAAGCCTGTAATCGCAGCACTTTGGGAGGCTGAGGCAGGTGGACCGCTTGAGCTCAGGAGTTCGAGACCGGCCTGGGCGACATGGTGAGACCACCCCTTCTACCAAAAATACAAAATAATAGCCGGGCATGGTGGTGAGCACCTGTGGTCCCAGCTACTCGGGAGGCTGAGGTGGGAGGATCCCTTGAGCCCAGGGGCGGGAGGCTGCGGTGAGCCTGAGCCGAGGTCACACCACTGCACTCCAGCCTGGGTGACAGAGGAAGACCCTGTCTCCAAAAAAACCCAAAAAAACAGTGGCAGCCACAGTGATTCTTAAGGAAAGGAAAAAGAAAAGGGGACGGGAGGGGAAGAGGGGGTGGAGGAGGCAGGCCAGTTCCGAGTGGCAGGTGCCCGGCCCACGCCGCCTCAGGTTAAGTAGGGCGCACGGAGCCAGGCACTGCCACTGAGAGGCGCCAGACCTCACCCAGATATCCTGCTTCTCGCCGATCGGGAAGTTGGAATACAAGTCTATGATTTCTGGTGTTCTATACATTGGTGTTGTATTCCTCGTGATCTGAAAAAATACAAACATTTCAAAGGAAAAGTTGCATCCCACAAACAGTATTTTTTATGTTGCACCACTTCCGTGCAGCTTTCCAAATGCACAGCAGACTGAGGGGCAGCCTGTCCCGCACACTATGCCCCGGGATGACCTCAGGCCAGTCGGCCCCATGCACCAGCTCCGCTGCTCATCTTCGGCCTCAGCGCGCTCCTTACGATGAGGACTGAGTCATTCACCTCCCTCAATCTCCTACGGCCTCCCGTGCTTCATGGCATGTCGGCACCGACGTATTGGCCTGCTGCGCACCAAGTCCGCTTGCTGAGGAGAAGGGTGTCTCACCTGGCACAAGGGCCCCGCTCCAGAGTGGCCGCACCCAGAGCAGCTTCTGTGACACCCAGAACCCCAGGGTACGTGAGGGTATCTGGGAGGAGGAAGCCGTCCACCCAAGCTCACCCGACTGGTTCAAGGTTAACAATGGAGAGCCTCACAAACACACGGAGGCACTTGCGAGAGGCAGAGGCTGGGGCCACAGAGCTGTGAGGAGAGAGTGAATCTCCGTGCATGGCAGACATGTTGTGAGAGGCAGAGGCTGGGGCCGCAGAGCTGTGAGGAGACAGTGAATCTCCGTGCACGGCAGACACACAAACCCCATCCTCAGCTGCAGATTCACAGGAGAGCAGGGGGCAAGTGGGCTCTGCAGTTATACAGCAGGACAGCGCACGGCCTTGGGCAGGCCACAATTTCTTAAAGGGAATGGGAAAATGAGAGCTTACGGAAAGCAGGATAAAGCGCCCTCCACTCATGCTGAAAAGCACGAAGACCTGCTTTCCAGGAATGACCTGCCTGAGGCCGGGACAGTCAGCTACCAATGCAAGACACAAGAGCAAGAAGGCCCAAGTGCAGAGAGCGCAAGTTAACTCCTCCAGCTCCAAGACACAGGGTGAGAGCAGGCTACGTGTGGGCAGAGACGGCATCTATCTGCCCATCTCTGGGAAAAGAAGCTTCGGAGGAGAGCCAAGGACGTGAGGGGCTCAGAGGAAGGAGGGGCTGTGAGAGGGCATGGATGGGGCCACCCTGTGTTTTCAGCTCCACTTCCTGTTACCTTCAACTGCTCTAAAAAATAAAGTCTGTTTATTACATTGCTCACGCCTGTAATCCCAGCACTTTGGGAGGCTGACGCGGGTGGATCACAAATGACGTCAAGAGATAGAGACCATCCTGGCCAACACGGTGAAACCCCGTCCCTACCAAAAACACAAAAATTAGCTGGGCGTGGTGGTGTGTGCCTGTAACCCCAGCTACTCGGGAGGCAGAGGCAGAAGAATCGCTTGAACCCAGGAGGCGGAGGTTGCAGTGAGCCGGGATTGCACCACTGCACTCCAGCCTGGTGACAGAGCGAGACTCAAAGCACCCCGGCGGAAAACAGCACTCCGCACTCAGGGCGTGGAATGTGGGAAGGGCCAGCTTCCCCCAGCATAGGCCCCACTCAGCTCACCTCTTCCTCCACCAGGGCTCGCCTCTGGGCGCTCCAGCTGTAGTCAGGGTAGTGCGAGATGGTCGTGGCACTGCCAAAGTCACACAGCTTAATGGTCCCTTGGTTACTAAGCAACAAGTTCTCAACCTGTAAAATTCCACAAGACAGCCCCGTGAACTTGGCGTAGACAGAGATGGGACTTCAGGGAAAACGAACGGGTGTGAGACACAGCCAGGGCCCTTCGCAGACAGCACTCGCCCAGGGCCACGGCTGCCGGGTGCCTGCAGCACCTCACACCTGCGGACACAGCCAGCTCTGCACCAGCAGCTCGGGGTGCAGGGGCCGCTCCAGGCCTAGGCAGAGGGGCCCTGGCGGGTGGGCCGGCCTGAGAAGCGGGCCCCGAGGGGCTGAGGGATTTCACAGAGTTCAGTAAATGAGCCTTCCTCAAAGATGTCTTAAATTACTTCTGATCAAATGTAATATGTGTAATTCAGAAAAATAAAAAGCAGAAAATTAAAAACCACCCATAAATCAAAGAAAGATAATCCAGTTAATAATGGGGCTCACAGGCCGGGCGTGGTGGCTCACGCCTGTAATCCCAGCACTTTGGGAGGCCAAGGCGGGCGGATCACCTGAGGTCAGGAGTTCGAGACACGCCTGACCAACATGGTAAAACCTCGTCTCTACTAAAAAATACAAAAATTAGCCAGGCATGGTGGCGGGCGCCTGTAGTCCCAGCTACTCAGGAGGCTGAGGCAGGAGAATCGCTTGAACTTGGGAGGCGGAGGCTGCAGTGAACCGAGATTGCGCCGCTGCACTCCAGCCTGGGTGACAGGGCAAGACTCCGACTCAAAAAAAAAAAAGTATACAGAGACACAAAGAACTAGAAAGGGCCACACAATTGTGAAGCCCACATTACACCTTCTGGCGCAGCTCTGATAACAGGGCATGGGAGCTCGGGCCAAACAGGGAATCCAGCGAGTGCTGCTGAGAAGCCACGGACGCCAGAGGCTGCACGCGTGACAAGGCAGCAACGCAGTGACTCAGCCCCACAGTGCTCACGCCCCACACAACACCCATCTTAATGGCAGAGCCATGGCAAAACAGCTGCCAGCACCAGGCATCCATGTGGAACGAAAGGAGAAAGCCTCGCCCCCAGCTCACACAATCAAGGAAGCCTCAGCCCCAACATTTAGGCAAACCACAGATCTTTCGGAAGATGGCCCAGAGGAGCTCCTTCTGAGATAGGGAAGGAGCGGCTTCTTCAACAAGACAGACAGCACAGACGTGGCAGGATGGCCAGCACAGGCATCCCTCTGGAGAGGAAGAACAATGCCAGCACAGGGCTCCAAGAGGGCAGCACGCCAGCCACAGATGGAAGGTGCTCGGCACACACGCGGTCAGTACGGGCTCCCACAGGCAGCACAGGGCTCCGAGAGGGCAGCACACCAGCCACGGACGGAAGGTGCTCGGCATGCACGCGGTCAGTATGGGCTCACACAGGCAGCGAGAGGAAGGCAAGTCGAGGAAAGGCAGGCATTTTCCCAGAGGAAGCCCAAGTTCTGATAAGCCAGCCTCATCGACAGGAGAAAAAATGCAAACTAAGGCCATGGGCACCCAGGACAGGCTGAGGGAGCAGCACCCGCCATGCCCCAGGACAGCAAAGTGCAGAGCCGTGGCATCCAAGAGTGCAAGGGGACGCCCAGGGTTAGATGCAGACGCTCTCCAACCACAGCGCCCTGCAGACCCCAGTCCTAGAGAGGACGCCTGCTCCGCGGACCAGCAAGCTGAACAGGCTGTCCACGTGGTGCAGACAGGATGGCTCACCATAAACAAGGGAAAGAAACGGACACACATGCCACCCATGGCCGACCAGAGAAACCCAGTGAAGCCTAAGGCCACCACTGGCCCCCGAGGAGATGCGGGCCACATACAGGACCGGGGCCTCTGAACCACAGGGCTGAGCAAGAAAATCAGATGCAGAGCGTGGGGCGAGGCTCCCCTCACAGGACGCCCAGAGAAAAGATCAGCGACCCTGGCTCGGATGCAGAGCACACAGCGGGGAGATGCAGTGGCACACGGCCACTGAAGGCCCAGGAGTGCCCATCCCCTCGCGTGTGCCCGTTCCCATTCTACAGCCAACAGAGACGAAGCTGTGCGCACAGCAGGACGATGCACAGGGCAGGCGAGTGGGGCCACCTGTGCCCGTTCCCATTCTACAGCCAACAGAGACGAAGCTGTGCGCACAGCAGGACGACGCACGGGGCAGGCGAGTGGGGCCACGTGTGCTGCCTGCCCCTCCGCAAACAGCCGTCCAGACTCCCACGGCGGAGGCCACAGGTGAACACACGCGGGCTGCAGGGCTGGCCTGGGTTCCCGCCACGCCGCTGTGGAGCAGCAGCAAGGCCAGTGCTGTGAAGTGCAGGCCTGGCTCACAGACACGGATTCTTCACCAATTCAACCCTTCTGTTTCTGTTCTCCTTAAAATACACACTCAAGCCCCGCTACACGACCCATCACACTTCAAAAATGCGAACCAGGAGGGTCTCGGTGTCATGAGAAAATCCACCACTCAGAGACTCCTCAGGAAGAACCACCCAGACAGCAAACAGCACCTTCCACGGGCAGGACTGGCCCCTCATGGAGCCCTGCAGCCCCTTCCGTCAGAATGGGGCCTCAGGCGCATGGGTTTCTGGAAACCAGGGGTCTTGCTTGCAACCTTGAAGAAGCTTCCCTCAAAAGCAACCCTGTGTGCTGGGCAGAATGTACTTTTAGAAAAGTAAAATACAAGGAAAGAAGAAACAGAAGGAAGAGAGGGAGGGAGGAAAGGAAGGAGAAGGGGTGAAAGGGCCTGGGGCATGGCTCAGGAGCAGGCTCCACAGCGGTGGCCATGGGAGCGAAAGGGCCTGGGGCTCAGGAGCAGGCTCTATGGCGGTGCCCACAGGCTTCTGCCATGGGGCATCTGTCCAGTCGGCCACCTTACACCCTGGCATTCTAGGCCCTCTGAGTTCAGGGGACAAACGAAAAAGGCCACACTTACCCATTTTCAAAATCTACGTGAAGACACCTGTGCTATAAAGTAGGAGTGTACAGCCAAGTAGAGAAAAGGCAGCCCTAACCAGAGAAACACAGAGGGAAGCTGCCTGCCAGAGCCTTGGCCCTGGGTGGGCTGAGGCAGGCTGAGGCGGAATGAGCCTGTGCAGTTAAGAACAGCTCAGCATGGGTGCCCACGGCTTAGGCACCCCCACCCAGGGCACACAGGGAGAGCCACGGCCTTGGATCCCCCACCCAGGGCACACGGGGAGAGCCACGGCCTTGGATCCCCCACCCAGGGCACACGTGGAGAGCCACGGCCTTGGGCCTCCCACCCGGGGCACACGTGGAGAGCCACGGCCTTGGATCCCCCACCTAGGGCACACGGGGAGAGCTGGGGGGCTCTGAGGCCTCCTAGGCACCCACGAGCAGACGCTGGAGAGGAGGCGGGGCCCAGGTGGCTGCATGGGCAGACATGAGCTGATGCACGGGGTGCAGGGCCAGGTAGACACAAGGATACAGCTCCCACCTCAGGTCACACAAGGTCAATTCCAGATGAACGAAACCTCTGGACACAGGCCAGGTAGATTTCAGCAGCTGGAGGAGCAGCTGAGGCGGGTGCTGGGAGCAGGATCTGAAACACAGCTCCGTGCTCCACAAGAGACGCCACGGGGCTGGGGCCTCACTGGCCTCCTCGTCCCCTTGGCCTGGGCAGTGGCGGGGAGCCAAGGACAGCACAGGGCATCCTCCACAAGCCGTGGCCAGAGGCGCCGCTCCCGATTAGCGAGGTCTGAGAGAAGCCACACTTTGGGAAAACCAGGGAAGGCTGAGAACAGGAGGGCAAGAGACAAGGCTCGGTTCCTCCCACCTCACTGCGGATAATGGTGTCAAAACCACATAAAAAATGTCCTGGCCGGGCGTGGTGTCTCACGCCTGTAATCCCAGCACTGTGGGAGGCCAAGGCGGGAGGGTGACTTGAGGTCAGGAGTTCGAAACCAGCCTAGACAACATGGTGAAACCCTGTCTCTACTAAAAGTACAAAAATTAGCCCGGCGTGGTGGCATATGCCTGTAATCCCAGCTACTCGGGAGGCTGAGGTAGGAGAATCGCTGGAACCCAGGAGGCAGAGGCTGCATGAGCCGAGATCGTGCCACTGCACTCCAGCCTGGGCAACAGAGCAAGACTCCGCCTAAAAAAAAAAAAAAAACAGAAATGTCCTCACGTCCCCAGAGACATGGACAAAAGTATCTGGGAGTGATAAGGCTTTAAAACTTTGGCAGCCTGGGAGCGGTGGCTCACACCTGGAATCGACCCCTTTCAGAGGCTGAGGCGGGTGGATCACTCGAGCTCAGGAGTTCTGGACCAGCTTGGGCAACATGGTGAAACCCCATTTCTACTGAAAATACAAAAACTAGGCAGGCGTGGTGTGCGCCTGTGGTCCCAGCTACTCAGGAGGCTCAGGTGGGAGATCACCTGGGCCAAGTCGGCCGAGGCGGCAGTGAGCCCCGTCAGTGCCGCTGCACTCCAGCCTGGGCTGTAGAGTGACTGACTCAAAAAAAAAAAAAAAAAACCCCAAAAAACCTCTTCAGCAAAAGCCTCAGCACGGAGGACGAGGCCCACCATGGGCAGGCCAGGCACAGGCTTCACAGATAATGGAGAAGCCTCACAACGTCCTAGGTTTTTTAAAAAACACAACAGCAGGAGTGAAAACTGGGCCACAAACCAGAAGACGCCGGCAGCACAGGCGACACTTAGCAGATTATGAGAATACACAAGCTGCTCCAACGAACCAAACACACAAGCCAGTGGAAAATCTTTGAAAAAGGCAAGAAACAAAAGGAAGTTTACTGAAGAGCAAGACCCGAATGACTATAACAAACATTCAACTTCATTAACATCAGGAAAAGGCAAAATCACAACCCGTCAGACTATACTCCCCACCAGGCCAGCCAAAATCAACACAGGCAGCTCAGGGCATGGACAGCCCACGGGGCAGGAGTGTCCTCTGTGGGGCTGTGGGAAGCAGCCACATCACATGGAAACCGCGCAGTGCCGGCAGCAGCACGGAGCGCAGGCCCAGCCCCGGCCCAGAACCACCTGTGTGGCGGTGTGGTGGGCAGGGATGGAGCGCGAGCCCAGCCCCAGTCTAGAAGCATCTGTGTGGCAGTGTGGTGGGCAGGACGGCCCTTTTACATGCAGCCAGTGGCTCATGCCCACATCACGCCAACCCCGGGATGCCACGCCTCGGAGAAACCCGTGGTGACAGGAGAGATGGGCAGGAGAGTCTGCCGGTGAACGGAAGGGGAGGTGCAGTGGGGGGACAGTCAGGAAGTGCAAAGAGCTCCCCTCAAGCTGAGTAGGCAAGGGGTCCGGCCCCCGACCCCAGCGCCTGAGACAGGGCCAGGCAGAGGAGCGCCAGGCTTCCTCCCAGCTCCAAGAGGCCGAACCAGGGAGGCACTGTGGGGTCCAGGACTGCCCAGGGGCCAAGGAAGGGGCACTGGGTGAGCAGGAGTTGGGGGCCTGGGCCAACACCACTGGGGGGCTGAGGAAGGAGCGTGGGATGAGCAGGAATGCGGGGCCTGAACTGACACCACCAGGGGACTGAGGAAGGAGCGTGGGGTGAGCAGGAGTGCGGGGCCTATAGTGACACCACCGGGGGGCGGTGGGGGGGCGGCCGAGGAAGGAGTGTGGGGTGAGCAGGAATAGGGTCCTGAACTGACACCACCGGCGGGCACCCTCGTCCACAGCTCCCCACGGAAACTGGAGTGAGCAAGCATCCAGCATGGGGACCTGGTATTCCAGACGGAAGCTCCAGGCTGTGAGCACCCCCAACTGGG
Organism: Homo sapiens; assembly: GCF_000001405.40. Classification (NCBI taxonomy): domain Eukaryota; kingdom Metazoa; phylum Chordata; class Mammalia; order Primates; family Hominidae; genus Homo; species Homo sapiens. The sequence continues at coordinate 903,882 of NC_000004.12, forward strand.
CGTGAAGGCCCCCAGCAGGGAGGCGGGGCCATCCCGGGATCTCTGTCGGCAAAGGCCTGTGAGACAGATGCTAATTTTCTTCAGGGCTGGAAAAGCAACGTTTCTGGAAGATCCGCTTCCACTGTTGAGAGGCTCACGCACATCTTCTAGGTGAGATGGTGTAGCCTCACCTGCTCTCACCCCTGCATCCTAACTGAGCGGGAGCCCCCCACAGAGGCTGTGAACCGCGTGTGGAGGGAGCCACTACCTTGTGGTCCCTGTGGATGATGGGCGGCTCCTAACCGAGTGGGACCCGCACACAGAGGCCTTGGCAGCTGCGTGTGGAGGGAGCCACTACCTTGTGGTCCCTGTGGATGATGGGCGGCTCCTAACCGAGCGGGACCCGCACACAGAGGCCTTGGCAGCCGCGTGTGGAGGGAGCCACGACCTTGTGGTCCCTGTGGATGATGGGCGGCTCCTAACCGAGCGGGACCCGCACACAGAGGCCTTGGCAGCCGCGTGTGGAGGGAGCCACTACCTTGAGGTCCCTGTGGATGATGGGCGGCTCCTAACCGAGCGGGACCCGCACACAGAGGCCTCAGCAGCCGCTACCTTGAGGTCCCTGTGGATGATGGGCGGCTCCTAACCGAGCGGGACCCGCACACAGAGGCCTCAGCAGCCGCTACCTTGAGGTCCCTGTGGATGATGGGCGGCTCCTAACCGAGTGGGACCCGCACACAGAGGCCTTGGCAGCCGCGTGTGGAGGGAGCCACTACCTTGAGGTCCCTGTGGATGATGGGCGGCTTCTGCCGGTGCATGTGCTGCACGGCGCGGCACGTCTGGTAGAAGATCTTCAGAACCGTGTCGCACGAAAGGGGGCCTCGAGATTCCATTTTCTTCAAAAATTCCACCAGCTGCCCTAAAAGAGAATGAAACTCACATGGAGGCAGGAGAACAGGGTCCGGAGACAGGGAACCTAGGGCTGTTTCACGCGGACTTCCCAGAACTAAATGGAAAGGAAAACCCTGACTTTCCACACCTAAGTAACAAAACGACCAGAGGTGACTCCCTTTGACCTTTTCTGCCTGGCAGATGGGAAACTGCCTGACTGCAGATCTCCTCTTCGTTTGCAACTCTGTAACTTCACCCTGTCTTCTGATTGCTTTTCGTAACCAATCAGATGTTTGCACAGGAGTGTGACCTTCTGGTTGGCTGCTTTCTGCAACCATTAGGCTGATGGCGGGCTACCACTTCGTTTACATGAGGTGAGCACAAAGTGGCCAGTGGGAAACCTCTAGGGGGTATTTGGACCCGAGAAGATTCTGCATCTGGGCCCTTGAGCCGCTGCTTGGGCCACCCCCACACCGTGGAGTGTACTTTTGTTTTCAATAAATTCCCGCTTTCGTTCTTTTGTTGCTTCATTCTTTCTTTGTTTCGCTGGGCGTTCTGTCCAGTTTGTTCAAAATGCCAAGAACCTGGACAACTTGCAGTCACGACTCTCTACGGTTAACATCATCACCGTGGAGCAATCAGTGCTCTGCCCTCCCTGGCCCCAGGCCACGCTACAGACTCTGCCACGCCGCGCCACGCTAGGGGCTCCGCCACGCCCCATGCCATGCTACGGACTCCGCCACGCCCCATGCCACGCTACGGACTCCGCCACGCCCCATGCCACGCTACGGACTCCGCCACGCCCCAGGCCATGCTACGGACTTCGCCACGCCCCAGGCCACGTTACGGACTCCGCCAAACCAGGCCACGCTTCGGACTCTGCCACGCCCCAGGCCATGCCACGGACTCTGCCACGTTGGGCCACATTACAGACGCCACACCACACTTTGAACTCTGCCATGCCCCAGGCCATGCTACGGACTCCGCCACACCCCAGGCCACGTTACTGCAGACGCCACCACACCAGGCCACGCTGCCTTTTCCAGCCACAGTCCCAGTTAAGCCCACCCTGAGTGCCGCTCCCACCTTTCCTTCCTTCAGCTGCTGCAGAAAGGGCTGCAGGTATGAGGATGCCCACCTCAGCCCCGTGTGTGGGACCACCACCCAGTGGCAGGGGTGGGCTCGGAGCAGCCCCACAGTCAAGTCACACACAGAGCAGAGGCCAGGGGGCAAGACGCCCAAGCGTCACCGAAGCAACAACCGCGTCAGCATCCCAGCAGCTGAGCTGGCATGCCGTTAACGTGAGAACCACATCGGCATCCCAGCAGTTGAGCTGGCGTGCCGTTAACATGAGAACTACATTGGCGTCCCAGCAGCCGAGGTGGCAAGCCATTAACGTGAGAACCACACTGGCATCTCAGCAGCCGAGCCGGCGAGCCGTTAACGTGAGAATCACATCTGTGTCCTGGCAACCGAGCCAGGCATGTCATTAACATGGATACAAAGAGAAATGACTACAAATACACAAGTGCTCAAACCTCTAAGTGAACACTCAGTGTCCTCAGATGACAAATGATCATTCTCACATTCACGACAGTATCAGTGCCTGTGCGTGACCCACACCCCAGGGAGCCCGTCCTGCCATGGCTGGCACCTTCCAGGCACCCTAGCCCTGGCCCAACCAGGAAACCAGGGATGTGGGGCCGGGGCAGCACGCAGGGCTGAGGACCTGCTGGGGACTGAAGCATTCACACTGCCAGTCACCCCAGCACCCCTATGCAGCCCCCACAGACGTGCAGACCCAACCCATCCTGCTCCTACCCTGATCTTACCCTGGGTCTTGCCCACTTCAGCTGGCCACAGTCCATGTGTGGCATCATCCCTGGGGCCTCTGCATCTTGTGCCCCATCTTTTCAGCCCCGTGCTCCTGCCTCTGCTCTCTACAGAGCAGCCACCGTCACCCTCTGCTCATCCCACTCCACACCCCTGAAGGCCACGACCCCTGCAGCCCCAGAGCCAAGGCCAGTACCACCACCCACGGAACCCACACTCAGGGTCTCCCCCACGCTGCCAGAGCTTGCGCTCCCAGCCACACTGGCCTCCCTTCCTCCCTGCCTCAGGACCCCTCACAAGCTGCTTCTGCGGCCAGGATGCCTCCCAGACCGCCCCTTCTGCTCACCTCCCAAGGAACCAACTCTGCCCACACCACCTAAACGTGCACCCTTCTCCTGGGACTCATTCTCTCCCTGGCTCTTCGAGCCACCCAACCACCTGCCATGGGCATGGATCAGCTGTGTCTGGCGAGTCACTGAGCCCCCGATGCCTGCACACAGCAGAGCGTGTAGCCGACTCAATTCCACTGACAATGAAGGCATGGTGTGAGAGCCGGTCGGGACCTGCCACAGCTCAGGCTGGGCCACGCTAGAATCGACTCACAGACCGGACCCACCTGCGTGTCCCCAGCACAGCCCAGCACTGCCCCCACCTGCACCCAGCTGAGGGGCCCTCCCACTCCCCCAGCTCTGCCGGCCCTGGCCCTCAACCCCAGGTGAAAGCCCTCTCAGCCCTCACCACAGCTCCCTCAAAAGCTTTGTGCTGACCCTCTGAGAAACAGGGGGGCTCTCAGGAAAAATGAGGGGCACCCATAGAAGGAATGGGGTGCTCAGAAAGAGAGGAACAGACCCGGGAGAGGCTGAGGCCAGGCCCGGGGAGTCAGAGTGGGGGTGACTTGCCCTCTACGCTGGCCATCATGGATGGGCGAGTCTGTTTCAGTGGTAACTGGGCCCCCTGTTCAGTGCCTCATTCTCAGTGAGAATAAATGGGGTTTTTAAAAGTAAAAATTCTGTATGTGGCTGAGTGGGGAACCGGTATGTGGCTCTTCCCTCAGAGGACACTGGAGGGGTTGCCTCATGGGAGGGACCGGGCACATCCCCGGAGCCCGACCTCCAGGCCTCCTCCAGTGAGCCCTGAACCTGCAGCTGCACGGGGGAGCCCACATCCCTCCCGCTTCTCAGAGATGCCACGGCTCTCCCCTGGCACAGCTGTGCCATCCACAGAGCCCTGCAGCTCAGCTCTCAGCCGCACATGCTGCTCCAGACAGGCAGTCCCCAGGAGTGAGCTGGCGCGCGCATGCGTTAGTCTGCCTCGTGTATTTATGACTTGAGGGGCTGGGCCCGGCCCCTCTCCTTCCCACACCACCCCATGCAGGGTCAGCGATGAGCCGCTGGCCCCGGCCCTGTCCCCGCCGCTCCCTCGTGCACATATCCTGGGAACACACTGGACGCCGAGCAGCTTCAGTTTTCACACCCGTCCTGCTCAAGCCTTCCAAAGCCGGAATGTCTAGAACCAAGATTTACCCCTCGCAAAGGCTTTCTGATCTCGGAAATGACAAACGAGGGAGATAATCAGCAAAACATCCATCACTAGACCCACAGGAAGCCCCGTCTGGCCTTTATCCAAGTTACTCCAAGTGTGCTGGGCAGAGGGTGCGGCAAGGCTCACACAGCAGGCAGGCTGCAGCTCCAGGAGAAAGCCCGCAGGCCTCAAACAGAAGACGCAGTGATGCATCCACACCAGGAAAACCAAGCAGCCTTCTGGATGGAACGAAGCGACCGCACCACGTGGAAAGAGGCCTGAGCAGGGTGCTCTCGCCAGCGATCCCAGCGCCTCAGGAGGCCTTGGTGGGAGGATCACCTGAGCCCAGGAGTTCAAGACCAGCCTGGGCAACACAGCAAGACACCATCTCTACAAAAAATACAAAACTTAGCCAGGCACAGGGGCCAACACCTGTAATCCCAGTGCTACAGGTGTTGCTTGAGCTCGCGTGTTCAAGACCGGCCTGGCAACATAGTGAGACTCTGTCTCTAAGAAAAGTTTACTCTTTAAAATTAGCTGGGCATGGTGGTGCACACCTGAAGTCCCAGCTACTCCAGAGGCTAAGGCGGGAGGACTGCTTGAGCCCAGGAGTTTGAAGCTACAGTGAGCTATGAATCACTGCACTCCAGCTTGGGCAACAAAGCAAGACCCTGTCTCCAAAAAAAATACGCCTGATACGGTCAATTTTTTTAAAAAGGAAAATTATATAAAGTAAAATCCCATTTTTATAAGCACTCATAAAACTCTGGGTTGTTGTTGGTTTTTTTTGAGACAAGAGTCTCGGCTCACTGCAACCTCCACCTCCCAGGTTCAAGCAACTCTCCTGCCTCAGCCTCCCGAGTAGCTGGGATTACAGGCCCCCACTACCATGCCTGGCTAATTTTTGTATTTTTACAATACAAAAGAGACGGGGTTTAGCCATGTTGGCCAGGCTAGTCTCGAACTCCTCACCTCAAGCGATGCACCCGCCTCGGCCTCCCAAAGTGCTAGGATTACAGGCGTGAGCCACCGTGCCTGGCCTAACTCTGTGTTATTTGTATTTTGTCAATCAGCATGTATTCTTTTATAATGAAAACTGACAAGTAACACCACGAGCGGGAGGCCCCACGGCGTGATGCGTGCTCCCGACAAATCTTAATCCCACTGGTTTCAGCACCTCCCAGCTCTGGAGGAGGCCCTAGAAGCGCAGCGCAGGAGCGGGTGTCAGAGTCCAGGGACATCCAGAGAAAACAGTGCCATGAACAACAAGAGATTGACTGACAGACACCTCAACCGAACACACACAGGAGCCTTGACGAGGCCCCGGTATGCGCACGGGAAGGGCCGGGTGCGACGTGTCAGGGATGGGGGAGACAGCCCAGCACGGACTGCATGGACGCACGGGAGGGGCCGGGAGCGGCGTGTCAGGGATGGGAGAGACAGGGACGGGAAGGGCCCAGCACGGACCACACAGCACAGCCTCACCAAATCGCGAGGATCTTCTCAGGGGCACAAACACCAGTGGCCATCATGGAATTTCTCTCAGGCTGTATAGAGTTATGAGGCTTTCTGGTCTTGACGTCTGCGACTTATTTTTAAACGGTTAGAATGGAGAGAGGGAAAGCCGCCGTGGGACACGCTCAAGTCTGGGGAACCCCATGAGCAGGAAGTGGACAATGGACGCCCCTTGTGCTGCCTTCAACTTTTCCGCCAGTTTGACGTTTCAGAACACAACACTGAGAAACACAAGCGGCACATCCCCACAGTGTCAGATGAAGAACTGGGGCTACCTGGCAGCATCTCCTCAGCCTGCAGGCGGCTCTGACCACCCCCAACCCCCGAGACTTCTCGGCCACGTCAAGCACCCATCCGCCACCCACGTCAGGACAACCCTGGCAACAGGCGCTGGAGGGCCGCAGAGGGGCCTGGGCCAGCTGCCAGGTGTGGCATCAAGGAAGGGCCAGGTGGGACCCCCAGGCAGAGAAGCATGGGCAGAGCCAGGGGCCCGCAGGCAGTCAGGTCTCACCCAGCTCCTCCCAGGCACAGCTGCAGAGAAGAGACCCTGCCCAACAGGGCACTGACAGGTGCAGCCGCTATATCCAAGCAGCTTACACCCCACAGTCCACCCTCCCTCACTCAGCACAGGGCTCCCCCAGCTCAGCACAGGGACACCTACCCTCAGCCCTCAGCAGTACAGAGCCCCCCGCTAAGTGCAGTCCCCCTCCATGAAGCTCAGGGCCCCCCCAACTAAATGCAGGCCCCCCACAAAGCACGGGATGCCCCCATCCCACTAAGTGCAGTCCCCCCTCCACTAAGCACAGGGCCCCTTCCACGACGCTCAGGGCCCTGCTCAGTGCAGGGGTCCCCCCTCAGCTCAGAACCCCCTTGCTCGCCCTCCATTTCTGGACACATGCCCCTCCTGCTGCCCTCTCTGCTAACCTGCTGCCCCACCCCTACCTGTCCCTTCAGGCCTGCGCTAGCCGGCCTGCGGGAACAGCTCCTCCTGGCTGCTGAGCAGGGGCTGGCTTGTGGACGACAGATCTCACGCGGCTACAGGTGCCCTCCCCACAGGCTTCCTTCTGTGGGACTCCCTGCCTCAGTCTCCCCTGCTGCTCCCGGCCTCTCCTCTCCCCTCTCTCCCTGCCTGGGGGACAGACGCAGGGGTCACTAGTGTCACCACCCCCTCACCGGCCAGGCCACAGCTCTGAGGCCTCCCCGAGTGCTCGACTTCCCCTCGTCACCTGGCACAGGAGTTCTGGAGGGCATCGGCACGAGGCAGGGCTGGGGGTGGAGCCGCCCTCTGAGGCACAGGTCTTGTTTCCCCTTTGCAGACACAGCCTGAGGCTCAGCAGGGTCAGGCCAGGTCTCCGGCCAGTCAGCGTGGGCTCCGGTGACACCAACACGACATCCCCCGCAGTCACTCACACAGACCACTCTGCCCCTAGAACTCTCCGAAAGCACCACCCCAACCCACCGGCCTCTCTTCCTGTCCTGACAAACGGACCATGGAGTCGTTGTGCCATCTTCCTGGGCTCAACCCTGATGAGGCTGGGCACCCACAGAGGGACCTGGAGTTGTCCACCTCTGCGGCCTCTCTTCTCCTTGCCAGGACCCCAGAGCCCCTGACAAGGACGGACAGCAGCACTCCTCCACCCTGCTCAACACCGCTCATGGAAGGCCACCACGCTCCACCCCACAGGGACCCCAGAGCCCTGAGAAGGACAGACGCTCCTCCACCCCTGCTAAACACCACTCACGGAAGGCCACCACGCTCTACCCCGTGCTGCCACTGGAGACAGGCAGGATGGGAGCCCGGCTCTCTGGCTGCCCGCAGCTCCACGAGGAGACGATGCAGGTGGCCCACCGGGACAGTGGGAAGCTCACTGGGCGTCAGCGTGGGCCTCTCACAGAACTACTGTCAGAGAGCTGCCCGCGCTTCCCGCTAAGACCAACACAGCTTGAGAGAAGATGCCGGGCATGTTTCACAGCCATGCAGCTGGGTTAGGAGGCATCAAGCCGGCCTCTGCTGGGTTAGATGGCACCAAGCCGGCCTTCACAGGACGTTACCTTTACAGAGCTCTGTGAGCAAGAGGAACTCAGCCTGCCCCGTGTCTGACTCCTCTTTTCCTATAGACGCTGCAGAACAAAACTGGACAATGTTCGGGTGGCCGGAAAGCTTTTTCTGCAGTTGTCTTGTTAAAGGAGAACGTACATAACCATGTCCACAGTTCTGTGCACTTCAAAATAAATGTAGACAATATTAACACACTGAAGTCAGAATACTTGAATCGAACCCTTACAATTTTAGACGTCAGAGCGGAAGATGAGGGAGAGAGCAGTGGACGACCGAGAGAAAGGCAGACAGAGGCAGGAGGAGCTGCAGGAGAGGGCGGGGACAAAGGCAGGCACACCGGCCACACACACCTGACCACAGCGACACCAAAGTCCATCCCGCGCGTGGCAGGAGGAGGCAGGGCCCTCAGGGGGCTGTGCGCAGGGAGGCTGCGGCGTGGCTGTGTCCACCCGAACCCACACTCAGGCAGCCGGCGGGCTCTCCGAGTGAACAGAGCTAGGAGAGGAAAGAGAGGCAGAGTCTGAGGGCAGCCAGGGCCGAAGACTCCAGGCTCAGGAGGGACATGTGGCAGTGGACAGGGAGTGCAGCCCCCAGATCCTCTGTCAGCGCCGGGAGATGCCCCGCCCAGTCATGCTGGGACAGCCTGAGAAGGGACGAGAGGGGCGGCTGAGAAGCCACATCGGGGCCTGTGGGAGCCAGGCCATCTGCACGGCTCTCAGCCAGGTCTCCGGAGGAGCTGAGGGGGCCGGGCCGGGCAAGGGCCCCCTGTGGTAACCAGCCCATCCACTGGGCAGGGAGACCTCTTGGGTAGGAACAACTTCATTCCCAACACTTCTGAATCTTCTACTATTACCCTGGCAGTAAAAAAAAAACAGAAAAAACTGCTTCTTCCTAGAAGTCGCCTACAACTAGGTTTGGTAAAAGCAAAAAGCCGATTTTAACACATGAAAGACAACGTCACGGAGCAGCCTCTTGGCCACTGGCGGTCACAGCTTGACGCAGGCCTGTGCCTGCCAAAGCCACCGTGCTGGCTCCTGGTTCCAGGAAAAGGATACCATGAAGCAAACTTCTTGAATGATGGCTCTGTTCTTTTCCTCTTCATTGGATAATAGCCTCTGTATCAGGAAACAGCACACACAAAAGATGAAAGCAAGTTTACCTTCCTACTCCACCCGATGCATCATCTCAGACATAAGCACGCAACAGAGCAATGCAATGTGTCTAATACAGCTCCCCCCGTTTCGTGTGTCTCCACCTCTGACCCCTGTAAAAACGTGCTGGGGGTTCAAGACCCTCAAAAGATCTTTGTGATGCAAGGACACAAGAAAAGTCAAAAGCAGGAGCCTTTCCCCAAATGGGCCAGAGTAAAATGAGACAGACAAGAAGGAAGAGCGGCAATGCTCTGCAGACACGGGGGCAGCAGGCGTGCAGACCACGACAACAGGCCCACTCATGCCCACTCTCAAAGGCGGGGCCACCCTGGTGCCCAGCGTGGTGACAGCAAATGGGGCCTTCTTACGTCTCAGGACAAAACTGCACAGTACAGACCCTCCCACAGTGACCCCTATTTACAGAAATGCTAGCAACAAATATTTTTTACAAGCAGCTTTTAAACTCCTTGTATTCATAGAGCCCTTATTTTGGCACATGGAGGCCAAGAGGGCATGACCCCACCATGAGGTCACCCCCAGCACAGCCCCTGCCACAGGGCAGGCAGGGCCACAGGAGTGTGAAGCCCAAAGCTGGAGACCAAGGCTCCTGCAGTGCCCAAGGCTGCTGAGATTCAGCAGAAGCAAAAGGGACAAGTATGTCCAGGCTGTAAAAGGAAACAAAGTACGTAACAGGGACGCATCCCTGAAAAGACTGTCACCAGACAGTCCCTTTACATACGTCAGAAATCCAGAGAAGGCGTTAAATGGTTCATTACCTTTAATGCATACTCTCTGCCACTCCCCACATCTTGAGCTTCATACACAAATGCAAACCCTCCTGAAAATTAAAAAGACTTGTCAGTTCAATGCTATGATTTTATTTAACATATCAGGCTTTAAAAATACCTTCACTAAGTAAAATACAAATTGACTTGTGGCGTGGCCAGCAGTTTTCTACAAAACATAATGGCCCCAGCGTACACGCCCCCCGCAAACACAGCCCCAGCATACATGCCCCCACACACACAGCCCCAGCGTGCACGGCCCCCCCACACACACACAGCCCCAGCGTGCACGGCCCCACACACACACACAGCCCCAGCGTGCACGGCCCCACACACACACAGCCCCAGCGTGCACGGCCCCCACACACACAGCCCCAGCGTGCACGGCCCCACACACACAGCCCCAGCGTGCACGGCCCCACACACACAGCCCCAGCGTGCACGGCCCCCACACACACACAGCCCCAGCGTGCACGGCCCCACACACACAGCCCCAGCGTGCACGGCCCCACACACACAGCCCCAGCGTGCACGGCCCCCACACACACAGCCCCAGCGTGCACGGCCCCACACATACACAGCCCCAGCGTGCACAGCCCCCACACACACAGCCCCAGCGTGCACGGCCCCCCCCCACACACACAGCCCCAGCGTGCACGGCCACACACACACACAGCCCCAGAGTACAAGGCCCCACACACACAGCCTCAGCGTGCCCGGCCCCACACAAACACAGCCCCAGCGTGCACGGCCCCCACACACACAGCCCCAGCATGCACGGCCCCACACACAGAGCCCCACACACACACAGCCCCAGCGTGCACGGCCCCCACACACACAGCCCCAGTGTGCACGGCCCCACACACACACAGCCCCAGCGTGCACGGCCCCACACACACACAGCCCCAGCGTGCACGGCCACACACACACAGCCCCAGCGTGCACGGCCCCCCACACACAGCCCCAGGGTGCACGGCCCCACACACATAGCCCCAGCGTACACGGCCCCCCGCACTCAGCCCTAGCGTGCACGGCCCCACACACACAGCCCCAGCGTGCACAGCCCCACCCCCAACACACAGAGCCCCAGCATACACGGCCCCCCGCACTCAGCCCCAGCGTGCAAGGCCCCACACACAGCCCCAGCATACACGGCCCCCAACACACACAGCCCCAGTGTGCACGGCCCCATACACACACAGCCCCAACGTACACGGCCCCCAACACAGATAGCTCCAGCATGCACGGCCCCACACACACACACAGCCCCAGCGTGCACGGCCCCACACACACACAGCCCCAGCATATACGGCCCCCAACACACACAGCCCCAGCGTACACGGCCCCACACACACACAGGTCCAGCGTACACGGCCCCCAACACACACAGCCCCAGCGCACACGGCCCCCAACACACACAGCCCCAGCGCACACGGCCAACACACACAGTCCCAGCGTGCACGGCCCCACACACACAGCCCCAGCGTACACGGCCCCCCGCACTCAGCCCCAGCGTGCACGGCCCCACACACACAGCCCCAGTATACACGGCCCCACACACACAGCCCCAGCATACACGGCCCCGTGCACTCAGCCCCAGCGTACATGGCCCCCCGCACTCAGCCCCAGCGTGCGCGGCCCCAGTGCATACACCACTGCCTTTCACTTCCTCTACTCCAGAGACAGACAGGAATAACCTAAGAACAGAGGTCAATAGAAGGAAAAACAAAACCACAAGCAGTTCTCCAAAGACCAACGAGACTGATAAATTCTAGACAGACTGATCCAGAGAGAGAGGACAGATCACCAATACCCAGAACAAGAGAGGGGACCTCCTTCCCCGACGCCCAAAAGAGGAAAAGACATAAAAGAGAATACACACCAACATCACTCACGAATGTGGACCCAAGAATTCTTCATAAAACAGCAAACCAAGCCCACCAAGACATCAGGAGCAGAGTTGGTTTAACATTTGAAAATCAATTTAATTCTATTGTTTTGGGGTCTAATTTGCTTAGTTTTCTTTTAGGTTTCTGCAGTGGAAAAACTACATCATGAAATTTAAAACTCTCAGCAAACGAGGACAGAAAGAAACCTCCCCAGCCTGATAGACGGCATCTGTGAGAGACCAACAGGAACACTGCATTTCGTGGTGCAATGTCGAATCCTCCCTTCTGAGATCAGGAAGGAGGCGGGGATCCTTGTTCTCACCACTGATGGTCGACACTGTGAGGAAGTTCTCGCCGGTGCCATCAGTCAAGAAAAAGAAATAAAAGGCATCCAGATGAAAAAAGGAGTAAAATTATTTTTATCTGCAGGTGACATGATTATCTATGCAGAAAATCTGGTGAAATCTACTAAAGAAAAGCTACCATAACAAACGCATTCAGGATGGTTGTTGGATATAAGGGCAACATACAAAAACCAACTGTGCTTCCACATGCCCAAGGTTAGGCAGTGATTTTTTAGATATAAGCACAAAAGCAGGACCCATAAAAGAAAAATAATGATAAATGGACTTCAGGAATTTCTGCTTTTTGAAAACTGGTCAGAGGATGAAAAGATAAATCACTACTAAGTTTTGCAAATCATATACCTAATAAAGGACTTCTATCGAGAAAATATTTTAAAAATCCAAGTAACAACAATTTTTTTTTCTTCTGAGACAGGGTCCTACTCTGTCACCAGGATGGAGTGCAGTGGCACTATCACAACCCACTGCCTCGACATCTGGGCTCAAGTGATCCTCCCACCTCAGCTTCCCAAGAAGCTGGGACTACAGGCATGCGTCACCACACCCGGCTAATTTTTTTATTCTTTGAAGAGACGAGGTTTCGCCAAGTTGCCCAGGCGGGTCTAGCCTCCCAAAGTGCTGGGACTACAGGTGTGAGCCACCACGCCCAGAAAACAACAAAATTTTTAATGTGCAAAAGATATGAATAGACACATCACCAAAGATATACTTGTGACAAGTACACAACGTGTCCCACCACTGCCCATTAGAGAAATGCAGACTTAAACCGCGAAGATAGGACCCCATACCTAGCAGAATACTTGACATTTAAAAACCGCCCAGACCAAGTGTCGCTGAGGATGTGGAGCGACTGGAATGCTTATGCACAGCTTTTGGAAATGGAAAATGGTACAATCACTCTGGAAAACATGTTGGCGATTTCTTAAAAAGGTGAACATAAATCAACAATACAGCCCTGACATTACGCTGCTGTGTATTTACCCAAGAAAAATGAAGGCACATGTGCGTAAAGAGACTTCTACACAGCAGCTTCATGTGCAATAGCCTAAAAATGGAAGCAACCCAAATGTCCATCAACAGGTGAATGAACAAATTACCCACACCTCTAACACTACCTAGCAATAAAAAGGAGGAAACTGCTGTTACATGCAACAACATGAATAACACACGAAAAGGCAGTATGCCGAGTAAAAGATGCCAGGCGAAAAAAGAGTACATACACATACATACAGTCAATGTACAGAAAACTCCAGAAAACACAAACGACCAGGCCAAAAAAAGAGAGTACATACACACATACAGTCAGTGTACAGAAAACTCCAGAAAACGCAAATGGATCTATGGTAACAGAAGGCCAATGCCAGGCCAAAAAAAGAGAGTACATACACACACATACAGTTAGTGTACAGAAAACTCTAGAAAATGCAAATGAATCTATAGTAACAGAAGGCCAATGCCAGGCCAAAAAAAGAGAGTACATACACACACATACAGTCAGTGTACAGAAAACTCCAGAAAACACAAATGGATCTATAGTAACAGAAGGCCAATGCCATGCCAAAAAAAGAGAGTACATATACACATACAGTCAGTGTACAGAAAACTCTAGAAAACACAAATGGATCTATAGTAACAGAAGGCCAATGCCAGGCCAAAAAAAGAGAGTACATATACACATACAGTTAGTGTACAGAAAACTCTAGAAAATGCAAATGAATCTATAGTAACAGAAGGCCAATCAGTGGTTTCCTGGGATGGGAACAGGAAAGCAGGGCGAAGGGTTACCGTGGGGAGGAGGGAGACCGTGGCGCTGACGCACATGTTTGCTGCCTTGATTAGCGTGGCAGATACAGTGTGTGACACACACATACATACATGACATGTGCCGAAACATTTAAAACATGCAGCCTGTATATCTCATTTTTATCTCAACTGTTAAAATATTTAAATAATAAATAAATCTGTGAGGAAAAACACAGATGAAAGGAAGTAAATGGAAATCCATGAAATAGAAAATAGAAAACAGATGGCTCCACTGCTAAATTACATCAAACACTTAAGGAAGAAATCACAACAAGCTTATAAAGTCTTTCATTAGATAGAGGAGAAGGGTTCCCAGCTCATTGCTTGAAGTTAGCATAACACTAACCAAAGAAGGGTATAAATACCAAATTAAGGAAAGAGATCACTCATTACCATAGACACAAAAAATCCTCAAGAAAATACTGGCAAATTGATTCCAGCAAAACATAATAAGGATACTACATCATGACCAGGTGGTATTCATCCCAGGAATGCAAGGTTGGTGTAACATTAAAAAATCAATCACTGTAGTAAACAACATTAGCAGAATAGGGAACACTGGATCACCAACAAAATTTAGAAACAACAACTACAAAAAACTGACTTCTAACATAAGACTTAATCGTGTTTTCTTCCTAAGATCAGAAACAAGGCAAGATGTCTGCTCTCAGCACTGTAAGCCAACATTTTACTGGAGATTCGAGTTAATGCAAGAAAGCTAGGAAAATTAATAAAAGGCATAAAGATCAAAAAGGAAAAACTAACGAAAGACAAAACTTCAGTTAGCTAGGAAGAATAAGCTCAAGAGATCCACTGTACAACACGGTGACTATACAGTTACTAACGACAGATTACATTCTGAAAAATGCCCCAAAACTGACAACTATGATGCAGTACATGTGTTAACTAGCTAGATGTGGTCATTCCACGATGCATATATACTTCAAAACATCATAGCGTACATGACAAAGACATCAATTTTATCTGTCAATTAAAAAATATATTAAACACAAAAAAAAGGAGGAACTAAAACTCCTCTCATTTTCAGATGCCATGACTGGAAAGACAGAAGGCTCCAAAGGCCTCAGCGCCCCATGACCTTAGAAAGGCAGAAGGCTCCAAAGGCCTCAGCGCCGCATGACCTTAGAAAGGCAGAAGGCTCCAAAGGCCTCAGCACCCCATGACCTTAGAAAGACAGAAGGCTCCAAAGGCCTCAGCGCCCCATGACCTTAGAAAGACAGAAGGCTCCAAAGGCCTCAGTGCCCCATGACCTTAGAAAGACAGAAGGCTCCAAAGGCCTCAGTGCCCCATGACCTTAGAAAGACAGAAGGCTCCAAAGGCCTCAGTGCCGCATGACCTTAGAAAGACAGAAGGCTCCAAAGGCCTCAGTGCCGCATGACCTTAGAAAGACAGAAGGCTCCAAAGGCCTCAGCGCCCCATGACCTTAGCAGGACAGAAGGCTCCAAAGGCCTCAGCGCCGCATGACCTTAGCAGGACAGAAGGCTCCAAAGGTCTCAGTGTTGCATGACCTTAGCAGGACAGAAGGCTCCAAAGGCCTCAGCGCCCCATGACCTTAGAAAGACAGAAGGCTCCAAAGGCCTCAGTGCCGCATGACCTTAGAAAGACAGAAGGCTCCAAAGGCCTCAGCACCCCATGACCTTAGCAGGACAGAAGGCTCCAAGGGCCTCAGCGCCCCATGACCTTAGAAAGACAGAAGGCTCCAAAGGCCTTCAGTGCCGCATGACCTTAGCAGGGCCACAGGTCTCTGGGTGCCTCCCCAGCCTCCTCCTCTCCAGCCGCACCCCGCATTTGGTTCCAAGCCACCACATTGACACAACTGCTCTTCCTCAAACGCAGCAGGCCCATTCCTGCCCAGGGCCTTCCCACACACCACAGGCCTGGAAGGGGCCCCTGACCCTGGGCACCTCCTGGCTTGCTCCCTTGCGTCCCTCAGGAGCTGCTCCTCACCGCTTCTGCGATGCCTTCCCTAATGCACCTGCCCATCCCAGCCACTCTTTATTAACTTGTTCCTTTTTCCTGACACTTTCTGATATCTAACATTACATCACACACTACTCGGATACCTGTTTACCGTCTGTCTCAGCTAGACTACAAACACCATGAAGCAGAAATTTCCTCCACATTGTTTACATCTACATCCAGCACCTAAGTGGTGCCTGACCAAAAGTGTATACTAAGGTCTGGGAACGGCTCATGCCTGTAATCCCAAAGCTTAGGGAGGCTGAGGCAGGAGGATCACCTGAACCCAGGAGTTTGAGGCTGCAGTGAGCTATGATCAAGCCACTGTGCTCCAACCTGGATGACAGAGCAAGATCTTGTCTTAAAAAACAAAAACAGGGTGGGTGCAGTGGCTCAGGCCTGTAATCTCAGCACTTTGGCAGACTGAGGAGGGCGGATCACAAGGTGAGATCGAGACCATCCTGGCTAACGCAGTGAGACCCCGTCTCTACTAAAAATACAAAAAATTAGCCCGGTATGGTGGCGGGCACCTGTAGTCCCAGCTACTCGGGAGGCTGAGTCAGGAGAATGGCATGAACCCGGGAGGCGGAGGTTGCAGTGAGCCGAGATCACGCCACTGCACTCCAACCTGGGCGACAGAGCAAAAGTCCATCTCAAAAAAAAAAAAACAAAAAACCAACAACAAAAAAACACAGCATCACTGATGTGACTTTTAACACCTCTAACGCAGTATCACACACAGTGCAGGGAAAGCGGAAGGAAAATGAGCAGGAAGGATGTGCATTGAACTCCTGGTGGTGAAAACGCCACCAGGAAGGAGAAGGTCCCAGAAGTCCAAGAATATTGCGACATTATTCTACCAAAATTGTGAAAAAGGTTTAGAGCCATTTTTTTTTTTTTTTTTTTTTTGAGACGGAGTCTTGGTCTGTTGCCCAGGCTGCGGTGCAGAGGCACAATCCCGGCTCACTGCAACCTCCGCCTCCCGGGTTCAAGCGATTCTCCTGCCTCAGCCTCCCAAGTAGCTGGGACTACAGGCGCCCACCACCACGCCTGGCTAATTTTTGTATTTTTAGTAGAGACGGGGTTTCACCATGTTGGCCAGGATGGTCTCGATCTCCTGACCTCATGATCCCCCTGCCTCGGCCTCCCAAAGTGCTGGGATTACAGGTGTGAGCCACCATGCCCGGCCCCAGATACTATTTTGTTAAAAGGTTAACGTTTATTCTGGATAGTAGGACATAGGTGTTCGTTATGTTACTGTATTTTTCTGCATTTTAAAATATTTCATAATTTTTAAAGATAGTAATATCTGGACTTGATCTCAGGACTTACTACACAGCTAAATTAATCAAGGCTATGTGGTATTGGCAGAGGGACAGATACAAAGATGACTGGAATGGAAAGAAAATCGCAGAAACAGCCACACAAATCAATCCAGGTGATTTCTTCTTCTTTTTCTTTTTTTTTTGAGACGGAGTCTCGCTCTGTCACCCAGGCTGGAGTGCAGTGGCACAATCTCAGTTGACTGTAGCCTCCGCCTCCCAGGTTCAAGCGATTCTCCTGCCTCAGTCTCCCCAGTAGCTGGGACTACAGACGTGCGTCACCACGCCCGGCTAATTTTTGTATTTTTAGTAGAGACGGGGTTTCACTATGTTGCCCAGGTTGGTCTCGAACTCCTGGCTTCAGGTGCCTTGGCCTCCCAAAGTGCTGGGATTACAGGCCTGGGCTACCACGCCCAGCCCATCGAGATGATTTCTGAGGGAGGCACAGAAGCAACTCCATGGAAGATCCACAAATGGTGCCAGACAATGAGCTTCATGTAAATGCCAGCCACATACAGTAATTCACCAAAATAAACACGGACATAAATCTGCAACTGTGAAGGTTTAAAACTTTCAGAAAAACACAGGAGACAAATCTTCAAGATAAAGAGCTAAGAATCCTTAGCTGTGACAAGGCGTGATTCGTAAAAGGAAAAATAAATCAGACTTCACAATGAAAAACTTTGGATCTGCAACAGACCCCGCTTTGTTTGTTTTTTTTTTTTAATTAACTGGTCTGAGTTTGCGTCCAAAAAGATCCTGTTTAGGGGACGAAAGGACAAGCTGCAGACTAGGAACAGATACTTGAAAACCCCATGTCTACGAAGGACTTAAATCTACAATAAAGAACACTCAAAACTTGGTCAAAAAAACATAATTAGGAAGTGGGCAAAAGACATGAACAGACATTTCACCCCTGAAGATATGCAGATGGCAAAGAAGCACTCCCAAGCTATCGGGAAAATGCAAATCAAAACCACAAGGAGGTATCGCTACACATGTATCACAATGATCACAGTAAAAACCACGACGCCAAATGCTGGTGAGTACAAAGAGAAACTCGCTGTTAGGGACTCAACTGTGTGCCCCCAAAATGCATCTGCGGAAGCCCCAGATGACCCTATGCGGAGACGGGCCCTCAAGTAATGAAGGATAAATAAGTTCATACGAGTGGGGCCCTAATCCAATAGGACTGGTGTCCTTATAAGATGAAGACACACCAGAGATGTCAGCATCCCCTCAGCAAAAAGGCAGCATCGGCCGGGCGCGGTGGCTCAGGCCTGTGATCCCAGCACTTTCGGAGGCCGAGGCGGGCAGATCACTTGAGGTCGTGAGTTTGAGACCAACCTGGGAAACATGGTGAAACCCCGTCTCTACTAAAAATACAAAAATCAGCGGCGCATGGTGGTGGGCGCCTGTAGTCCCAGCTACTCAGGAAACTGAGGCAAGAGAACTGCTTGAACCCAGGAGGCAGAGGTTGCAGTGAGCTGAGATTGCGCCACTGCACTCCAGTCTGGGTGACAGAGCGAGACTCCATCTCAAAAAAAAAAAAAAAAAAAAGGCAGCATCTGCAAACCAGCAAAAGAGGCCTCTCCTGGAATCAGCACTGACAGCATCTTGCTCTTGGCCTTCAAGCCTCCAGAACTGCGAGAGTGAATTTCTACTGCTCCCCACTCAGTCTGGAGTATTTTGTTATGGCAGCCTAACCAGGCTGATACGCTCCTACATTGCTGGTGGGAATGTATGGCCACTCAAGAAAACAATCTGGCAGTTTTCTAACAAACTAAACACATAATTACCACACATGAACCAGCAACTGCACTCTTAAACATTTATCCCAGAAATGAAAACGTATATTCACACAAAAACCTATACGCAAGTGTCACAGCAGCTTTATCTGTAGTAGCCAAAACAGGAAACAGCCCAGATGTCCTTCCACGGGTGGCTGGCTGGGCAAGCCGTGCACACTCACGCAGAGGAGTCTCACCACGGGAAACAAGCTACTGACACACAATTACCTGAAGAATTCTGCACTTCCCCTTACACTGCATCCTTCGAATGACAAAATCACAGACAGAGCAAAGACTAGAGGTTTCCAGAGGGTAAGGAAATGGCGTGGCTGAGAGGTGGCATGAGGGCTCCCTACGGGGATGGAGACTTCCACAGCCTCACCTGCACCAGGGTTAGCATCCCGACCGTCACCACTGGGGAAACCAGGCAAGGGTCTAAAATAGAAAAGATCTCCATCTTTTCTCACAGCCGCGTGGGAACCTACAATGAACTCAAAATAATACAGTTTATTTAAAAATAATAGTAACGTATAAGACATTAAAGAATGGCATGTCGGGTACCTCCAAGACCCTGTTATATACATTTTACAGCACACACTCTGCCAATTAAGGAACAGGCACAGGCCAGGCACAGTGGCTGACACCTGCAATCCCAGCACTTTGGGAGGCCGAGGTGGGAGAATCACTTGAGCCCAGGAGTTCTGAGAACAGCCTACAGGCAACATAACAAGACTCCATCTCTACCAGAAATAAATTAAAAATTAGCCAGGCGTGGTGGTGCGTGCCTGTGGTCCCAGCTACCTGGGAGGCTGAGGTGGGAGGATCGCTTGAGTCCGGGAGTTCAAGACTGTGGTGAGCTGTGATCATGCCACTGCACTCCAGCCTGGGCAACAAAGCAAGACCTCATCTCAAGGGCAGGGAGTGGAGGGGTGGGGAGTGGAGGCACAGAGACATCAAATGCTCAAGCCAGGTCAAATCTCAAGGCCCAGGTTCCCTGAGGCAGCCTGGCCTGGGACAGCAGAGTGACCACAGCTAAGGCTTGCCTTCTCTTTCTCACATAAATTATATAAATATATAAACATAAGACCTGTATCCAGAGTAAGCAGAAACTCCCTGCCCAATAAAAAATGGACAAAAAGGCCAGGCGCCGTGGCTCATGCCTGTAATCCCAGCACTTTGGGAGGCCAAGGCCGGCGGGTGACCTGAGGTCAGGAGTTTGAGACCAGCCTGACCAACATAGTGACACCCCATTTCTACTAAAAAATACAAAATTAGCTGGGCATGGTGGTGCATGCCTTTAATCCCAGCTAGTTGGGAGGCTGAGGCAGGAGAATTGTTTGAACCTGGGAGGTGGAGCTTGCCGTGAGCCAAGATGGAGCCACTGCACTCCAGCCTGGGCAAGACTCCCTCTCAAAAAAAAAAAAAAAAAAAAATTGCTGAACATCATCATCAGGGAAATTCCAATGAAATCACAATGAGATCGACACCACTGCACACTCACAAGAATGGATGTAATCAAAATGAGAGACCACAAGAAATGCTGGTGAGGAAGTGGAGAGCCAGGAACTCTCCACTGCAGCTGGTGGAAATGTAAAATGGTGCAGCTACCGTGGAAGGAGGTTTGGTTGTTTCATGTGAAGTTCAACCTAAATCCAACCTGTAAATCAGCAATCCTACTCCTTGGTATTTTTTACCCAAGACAAAGAAAAACACACGTCCACAAAAAGACTTGAAAAAAAATGTTCTCGGCACCTTTATTCATAACAGCGGATACGGTTTGGATCTTTATTCATAACAGCGGACACGGTTTGGATCTTTATTCATAACAGCACATACGGTTTGGATCTGCGTCCCCATGCAAATCTCATGTTCACTTGTGACCCTCAATGTTGGAGGAGGGGCCTGGTGGGAGGTGACCGGATTATGGGGCGGAGTTCCCCATGGCGTGGCTGCTCTCAGGATAGTGAGATCTGACTGGGCCATGGGTGTGGAGTTCCTCCCGGGGCTGCTCTCAGGATAGTGAGTGCTCTCCTGTGAGATCTGA
Source organism: Homo sapiens (assembly GCF_000001405.40). Lineage (NCBI taxonomy): Eukaryota > Metazoa > Chordata > Mammalia > Primates > Hominidae > Homo > Homo sapiens. Next base: position 924,809 of record NC_000004.12, read on the forward strand.
TTGGGTCGTGGGGGTGGAGTTCCCCCGGGGGGCTGCTCTCAGGATAGTGAGTGCTCTCCTGTGAGATCTGATTGGGTTGTGGTGGTGGAGTTCCCCCAGGGGCTGCTCTCAGGATAGTGAGTGCTCTCCTGTGAGATCTGATTGGGTCATGGGGGTGGAGTTCTGCCCGGGGGCTGCTCTCAGGAGGAGGTTGCCAGGATCTGAGATCACACCCCTGTACTACAGCCTGGGCAACACAACAAGACTCTATCTCAAAAAAATAAGAATAAAAAAATAACAGGCACAGGATATGAATGTGCAATGCCAGAAGGGGAGGCTGAGCAGCAAATAAGCATTACCAAACTCGCTACTCAGAAAGGCACAAATCAAAGCTTGACACTTTTTAAACCCATCAAAATGTCCAAATAAAACAAACCCCCAGGGGACACTCTGAGGACTTGGGACACTAGAGTCTGGTGCCCCCGAGCAGCCTGCAGGCCCCATGAGCAGAGCTGGGCAACCTTCCCCCACACAGCCCACCAGCGTCCATGCAAAGGGCTGAGGACACCTCTCACCAGGATGCGTGTAGGATGCACGGAGCACGCTGGGGACGGGACAGAGTGCCGGGGGACAGTGAGGTCAGTACAGGACCACTACAGGCAGATCTGAGTATCTTTTTTAATCAACTCGGCCTCTTTTAAGAAACAGACACTTTTCTAACGTAAAATACCACATACCAACATTTTCAATACACACATAATTCACAACACTACAGAATGAATCTGTGTCCCCTCCAAAATTCCTGTGTGAAATCCTAATACCCAAGGTGATGGTGTTAGGAGGTGGGGCCTCCTTGGGGGTGACTAGGCCATGAAGGTGGAGCCCTCAGGACTGGGATTACTGCCCCAGAGAGCACTCCCTCACCCCTTCTGCCCTGTGAGGACACAGCGAGAAGGTGCTGGACCTCACCAGACACCAGATCTGCCGGCGCCTTGCGCCTGGACTTCCAGCCTGCAGAGCCGTGAGGAATAAACAAACGTCTGTGGTTTATAGGCCCCCAGTGTACGACGTTCTGTTACAGCAGCACAGACGGACTGGGACACGGGGATGCGCACCCACACAGACAACCATGAGCAATTCACCAGGAGTCCACGGAGTGGAGGAGGAGGAAAGGGGAGTGGCCCAGCCCAACTGTCACCTCCCCCAGTGGTGAGCCCACCCGGGGGTCGTCCCCAACAGTGACCTCCCCGAACGTCTAATTCACCCCAAGGGGGTCCTCCCCCGACAGTGACCTCCCCAAACGTCTAATTCACCCCAGGGGGTCCTCCCTGGACAGTGACCTCCCCGAACGTCTAATTCACCCCAGGGGGTCCTCCCTCGACAGTGACCTCCCCCAATGGTGAGCCCACCCATGGGGTCCTCCCCAAGAGTGACCTCCCTGTATGTTAACAGACAGAAACCACAGAAGTAACACAGGCTTGTTCCTGCCAAGGGTCAGCCGCAGCTGAGCATGAAGTGGTGTTGGCCTGTCACTCTCCGCCCCAACAGCCTCTACTACCTTATATGCTCAGACATCTCCTCCAGGGCACAATGCGCAGAGCAACGGGGGCCAGGACAGGGGCCCTAAGGACACCTCCCTGGGGCTCCCAGCCCCCACTCCACCACTCGACCTCTGGCAAGCAACTAATCTCTGCAAACGTCACTTTTCTCTTCTGCGAGATGGAAGTAATTATAGTACCCACTTTCCAGGGCTACTGTGAGGACCACACAATCCACATAAAGTACTACTGACCATGCTCGGCAAATACGAAGAGCCCCTAAGGGTTGCTGTGGTGGTTCTGACCATTTTTACTTCACGCTGGGAACTAGCCAAAGTGGACAAATGTTGATGATCAAGCTGTCAACTTGGAAGTGAAGGCGGTTGGTACCAGGAGAGCCGCCAGGGGGCAGCTACTCTGTGGCAGAATCTGGGCCTCACAGGCCTGATGACCTAGAACCAACTAACCAAGCCCCAGAGACCCTGCTTACCTGCGCTCCGCACTGCCCCGCACCCCTCCCAGCTCACCTGCGCTCCGCACTGCCCCGCAACCCCCCCCACCCCGCTCACCTGCGCTCCGCACTGCCCCGCACCCCTCCCGGCTCACCAGCGCTCCGCACTGCCCCGCACCCCTCCCCGCTCACCTGCGCTCCGCACTGCCCCGCACCCCTCCCGGCTCACCAGCGCTCCGCACTGCCCCGCACCCCTCCCCGCTCACCTGCGCTCCGCACTGCCCCGCACCCCTTCCCGCTCACCTGCAGTCCGCACTGCCCCGCACCCCTCCCCGCTCACCTGCAGTCCGCACTGCCCCACACCCCTCCCGGCTCACCTGCGCTCCGCACTGCCCCGCACCCCTCCCGGCTCACCTGCAGTCCGCACTGCCCCGCACCCCTCCCGGCTCACCTGCCCTCCGCACTGCCCCACACCCCTCCCGGCTCACCTGCGCTCCGCACTGCCCCGCACCCCTCCCCGCTCACCTGCAGTCCGCACTGCCCCGCACCCCTCCCGGCTCACCTGCAGTCCGCACTGCCCCGCACCCCTCCCCGCTCACCTGCAGTCCGCACTGCCCCGCACCCCTCCCGGCTCACCTGCAGTCCGCACTGCCCCGCACCCCTCCCCGCTCACCTGCAGTCCGCACTGCCCCGCACCCCTCCCGGCTCACCTGCAGTCCGCACCCCTCCCCGCTCACCTGCGGTCCGCACTGCCCCGCACCCCTCCCGGCTCACCTGCAGTCCGCACTGCCCCGCACCCCTCCCGGCTCACCTGCAGTCCGCACTGCCCCGCACCCCTCCCGGCTCACCTGCAGTCCGCACTGCCCCGCACCCCTCCCCGCTCACCTGTAGTCCGCACTGCCCCGCACCCCTCCCCGCTCACCTGCCCTCCGCACTGCCCCGCACCCCTCCCTGCTTACCTGCGCTCTGCACTGCCCCGCACCCCTCCCTGCTTACCTGCGCTCTGCACTGCCCCGCACCCCTCCCTGGGTGAGCGCAGGCCCCGCACCCCTCCCTGGGTGAGCGCAGCCACCGCACTTCAGGCTCTGGGTCCAGGAGAGGTACAAAGAAGCAAGGATGACAGAACCCTGGTGGCTAAGAGAACAGCACAGAGCTGCAGAGGCTGGTGCCCTCAGTCACATGGCCAAGAGAACAGCACGGAGCTTCAGAGGCTGGTGCCCTCAGTCACAAGTCCTATGTGGGAAGAGGGTCGGCTACAAGGCTGGCTCGCCACAGCAACCTAAGGGTCTACTTTTTTTTGAGATAGAGTCTCGCTCTGTCGTCCAGGCTGGAGTGCAGTGGTGCAATCTTAGCTCACTGCAGCCTCCACCTCCCAGGTTCAAGTGATTCTCCTGCCTCAGCCTCCTGAGCAGCTGGGATTACAGGCACGCGCCACCATGCCCAGCTAGTTTTTGTATTTTCAGTAGAGATGGGGTTTTGCCATGTTGGTCAGGCTGGTTTCGAACTCCTGACTTCGGGTGATCTGCCCACCTCGGCCTCCCAAAGTGCTGGGATTACAGGCGTGAGCCGTCGTGCCCGGCCCGGTCTACTTTTAAGATCAGTCTAAGGCTGGGCACATTATCTCATGCCTGTCGTCCCAGCACTCTGGGAGGCCTAGGCCAGGGGGATCACGTAGGCCCAGGAGTTCAAGGCTGCAGTGAGTCGTGATCGCTCCACTGCACTCAACATGGGCGACAGAGCCAGACTCTTTTCAATAAAAGAAAATGATCTCAAGTGTACCCTGCGGAGGACACATGGGGCCAGCATGCGGCCTCCCCTGCCACTGAGCCCACCTTGGAGACATGGGGCCTTCCTGCCACTGAGCCCACCTGGGAGGGTTTCTGAAACTTGCAACCAAGAGTCTTGCTTGTACCACATGATTCTGCAACTGTCAGTCAGTACCAAATATTCACAGTGCCCTCACCCAGTCCAGAACATTCTTTTTTCTTTTCTTTTTTTTTTGGTGAGACGGAGATTTACTCTTGTTGCCCAGGCTGGAGTGCAATGGCGTGATCTTGGCTCACCGCATCCTCCACCTCCCAGGTTCAAGCGATTCTCCTGCCTCAGCCTCCTGAGTAGCTGGGACTACAGGCATGTGTCACCACACCCGGCTAATTTTGTATTTTTAGTAGAGACGGGTTTCCCCGTGTTGCCCAGGCTGATCTCGAACTCCCGATCTCAGGTAATCCACCCGCCTCGGCCTCCCAAAGTGCTGGGATCACAGGCGTGAGCCACTGCGCCCGGCCCAGAACATTCTAAGTAAGTGAAGGGAGGAAGCCTCCAAAAGCCATGTCAAGGAGGAAGAAGGGTGGAGAGTCAGGACCACACACAAGTGGCCCTGGGGGTGGGAGTAGGCTGTGCCCTCCCCATTCCTTAGGCCAGAGCTTGACCCCCAAGGCTCCTGAGCGGGCCCAGCCACTCAGCTAACACTGCGCATGGCACACAAGGGCTGCGGGCTGGCTCAAATTACATACAACACCCAACCAAACGCACGAGGCGGGTTACGCTTAAACCATACGACGGCTGTGCGGCATCGTTTTCTTTTCTGCCTCAATTTATCTCACTAGCAGTAACCCCGAGTTCAAGTCAGCCACACAGGGAAGGTGGATTTCCCTGCAGTCAGGGCACCACAGGCTCCACTTCAGAAGCAACGGCACGCAGAACCCAAAACAAAGAACACACAGCATACACCTGCCCTGGGCATCTCTGACATGGTTGGTGCTCCTGATAATCTGCCTTTTAAAAAAGTGAAGACTAGCTAGGTGCAGCAGCACATGCCTGTAAGCCCAGCTACTCGGGAGGCCGAGGCAGGAAGATCCAGAGCCCAGTTCAAATCCATCCTGAGTAACAGCAAGACCTCGTCTCTTAAATTAAAAAAAAAAAAAGGAAGATGACAGAACAAATTTGAAGAAATTAGAAAGCTATCTGGTTCCACAGTTCTACCTAAAAACCCATTCACACCACAAGTCCAAATTCCTAAAAGCTATGAAAACCATTTTTTCCTAACTCACTTGACAGCAAATCCTGGTCTATCATAATAACCTCATTTGGGATAAAACCTGACATGAACTGATATGGGGTTAATTACAGACTTTAATTATCCCACAGTGAGAATATTTATTCATTTAATTACAGAAATATTAATGTATTCAATTACAGAATACTTTCCCAAGTCTTCTGGGAGTATCCCACGATATACAGGTTATATGCTGCAATGACCATTCTGAAACCTGAAAAATTCTGGAAGTGTAAACATCTGTACTCAAGGGTTCAGATTACCAGCCATCACCATGTTTACACAAGACAGCCTAAACTCCCATAGCCTATGTTCTAAGGTTGCTGTTCAGACAAAACTTAATTAAGTATGTTTATATAAAATACTTAATTCAGCTTTCACACTCTGTTTCAGTTCAAAGAGGCTTCAAAGTACTTAGGAGGCTGCAGGCCACCTATTAAGTTTACAAGGAGGAAATCTACAGCTCCTAATTGCATTGGTTATTTTTATCTCCTGACTTGCCTAGATAGCAAAGGGAAACAAGTTCTTTTGCACAACCTCAGCAGCTGCCCACATTTCCTTGTTCTTCTTCCTGGGTGCTAAGTGACCCACAAGCTTCTTTCTTTATACGAATCTTCCTCTCCGGGCCCCAGTGAGGGTGCATTCTCCATCCCTCCCACCAAGATCCGTGCCATCTTCTGCTTGGCCCCTTCCCAAAGCTCACACTGTCTGTACCACCCCTAAGGATCTGTCCCTGTGCTGCCTCTGTCTCTCCACCCCTTGAGCACAAGTCTGAAGTTCCAGAAAGCAAGTCCTGTCCACAATAAACTTCTTAAAGAATGAAGATAACCACCTAGTATTTTCAGAATAAATGATTTGATCTGAGAGAAATCTTCCAACTGATGTGAAAGAATATCACACTTCAGCCCCCACTTCTGAAAGAAGAGCTTAGACTTTCTGACCAAATCATACCCAAAATCTGTTTGGTTTTGACCACAATGGAGACAAAGTGTGTGATAATGCTACAGTCAAAATGTCTCCGCAGGCCTTTTGTGATAATCAGAATTCTGGGATAGTCTCCTGTCTGGTCACAGAGCAGGCACCTGGACAGGCTAACCCTCCAGCCCTGAGAGGTACCAGGGAGCTGGTGAGGGTGAGGGCTTTTGTGTCGCTTCACTCCCTCTCCCTGTGCCAATACAGCAGAATAGAGTTACGCTTCCGCACCCAAGTCAACTGTGTTTAGCCCATAAACTTCACAGCCAGTGAAATATGACACACCTCCAGGCACCACTGGACAAAAAATGTAAGGAAAATCCACAAGAGAGAATGGGACCCACTGGCACTGGTGATCGATTCCGTGTGAACGGAGAGGACATCCAGGGAGCTAGAAATAGCATGCAGAGACAAAACTGACTCAAGACTGACTCAAGAGGACTTAAGCCGAGTGACCTGTCCACTCTGCAAGTTCTATATAGGTCACAACCACTGGCTCTGCTTCCTGTACTACACACGGAATCACACGAGTAGATGTTCACCGGGAAGAGAAACACTGAGGTGTTGAAAGACGAAGGGGGATCACGAGACACAGCCCAGTCTACCCTCGGCCAACCCCCCCACCCCCCAGGCTACAACCGCAACTACCTGCAACACGTGTGCACCCACCAACTCTCAAGTTCCCTGGACTGTAGAAGAACCAGCCCTAACCTCCAAAGTCCAGTCCTGTCCCTGCCTGCTCAATAACCCCAGATGTCCGGCAAAAGGCCAAGGCTTAAACCCACCTCCTGCACCGCTCACCTCCTGACTCCAGCTGTCGGCCTTCTAGGCACCGTCCCTCAGTCTCCGCTGTGGGTCCCCACCCAAGCTCCCTGCCTGCCACCATCCCCCACCTCACCGTAACATCTTCCCCCACCCACCCTGAGGGGGTTCCCCAAGCCCCAGGCCTTGCTCCGACTTGACCCTACTCTTATGACAAGAAAGTACCCCGACCCGGTCCCAGCCTCGCCCTCCGCAATCACCGCCAGCAGGCACTCACCTACGCCCGCGCTATGACCTTCGCCTGGCCCTGACCCACGCCCTCGGCAGAGACCCTCCCCTGGCCGACCCTGACCCACGATCCCGCTGGGACCCTCCCCAGCCCTAACCCACGCCCTTCCACTCCGGGCTGACGCTGCCCCCAGCGTCCCGGAGACAACACTCCGCGGCCGCACCCGCGCTGCCGACCCGGGGCCTCACCTTCGGCCAGGACCCGCCGCACCCGCAGCCGCAGCTCGCCCAGTTCCACCGTCTGCCCCACGAAGTCACTCTGGTCGCGGCCGGAAGCACCGCCCAGGGAGCCTGGACCCGCCAAGAAGTCGAGCGCCGACTGCAGCAGCGACATGGCGGTGGCTGCGCCGCACCCCGCGGCAGCCGGAGTGGTCGGGCTCGGGCTCCCGCTCCCTCGCCGTCCGGGTCAGCTCAGCAACCGCCGGCCCGGAGGTGCACCATCTTCCGCCTCGACGCCGTGACGTAGGCGCCCGTGAGGACGCGTCGCGTCAGGCGGCGACCCGGCCTAGCCCCGTCCCCTCCGCCGCGGCCTCACTTCCTGGCTGCGCGCGCAGGCGCGGAGGTCTGACGGAGACAGCGCGTGCGCGGCGTCGCCGGGCTTGCGATGAACTTCCGGCTGTCAAGCTCCCGGCCGGGCTGACTCAAGCGGAGGCGCGCGGAACAGTCGCCGAGGCGATTCCCGCCCAGGTAGTTCAGCGCCCCAGTCCAGCTCCCGGTACCGTTCCCCACATGGTCTGTTTTGTGGGAGGCTCCTTCTCAGGTGTCTCCGGTTTAAGCGCTTCGCCATCCTCTGGGTGGAGTCAGCCTCCCGTTTGCTGTTAGCGCCGCGTTTGCGAATGGGTTCGCGAATTTTTCTCTCAGTTGGCTAAGGAGCAAGGAGTTAGCGTGCGTTAAGCTTTCAGTAAATACTTGGTTTTCGTCTCATGGAGGTCGGAGTTTCCTGTGACGCTTAGTGAGTAAGGTTGGCAGCCCCCTCCCAGCAGCCAGGCAGGCAGTTTGCAGGGGAAACGCTGCTGCATTGCTCTGTCTTCCGAGGAGAGGGCCAGGGTCTGGCCTGGGGCAGTGACCAGTAGTGGGAGCCGTGGGCTAGAAAAACCTTCGTCCTGGGCAACCACAACACTGCAGAGACTGCCCTGTGACCCTCAAGGTTCGTTCTCACCCTGACATTTTCCAAGGCAAAAGCAAATCCTCATGAACCACTTGGAAGGGTTCGTAATGCCCAACTATTTGGAGATGAAATGGTGACTTTCCTTATAGGATAATAAGGAAATGGCTCACAGACAATGCATTTTTAGTTTTTGGCCCACACAGTATTTGGGGGTTGGGAGTGGGTAGCAGGAGGTGAATTAGTTGCTATCATTTAAAGACTGATGCCAGGCGCGGTGGCTTACACCTGTAATCCCAGTGCTTTGGGAGGCCGAGGCAGGCGGATCACCTGAGGTCAGGAGTTCCAGACCAGCCTGGTCAACATGGTGAAACCCCGTCTCTACTAAAAATACAAAAATTAGCCGAGCGTGGTGGCGGGTGCCTGTAATCCCAGCTACTCGGGAGGCTGAGGCAGGAGAATCGCTTGAACCCGGGAGGCGGGCGCCACTGTACCCTAGCCTGAGACTCCGCCTCAAAAAATAAATAATAATAATAATAATAATTGAAAGGCCTAAATGTTAAAAACCTAGTTTTCCAGCTTCTGTGGAAAAATCAAACCTGTCAATATTGGACCCAAAATGATGTGTGTTACCAATTACCTAGAGTGGTCCCTTGAGGTAAGACACAGTCATTTGCCTGACCAGATGGGCTCATGTATGTTACCTGCCTGGTTCCTATAGTCATTTAAGGTTGCAACCCCTTCAACAGAGTTATTTGTTCTCCAACTCAAAAATGGATTCTAAAGCTCACATCAGCCTCTTAGCCGTCCCAGAAGCTAACATCTGTTATCTTTATCATTAAAAGATAATAGCCTCAGCTCGTTGGAACACTTATCTATGTTATGGAATGAAGTATTGCATGAAGCCAAATGACATCTTTAAAAATATATATAACAAAAATAACAGTAGCAATAGCTTAGTTTAGGCACTGATTTATTGCTTACAACACCCTTTTCTGTAATAGTTCATTGTAGTGAAAACATCTTTGTGAAGAAAGCACAGTATAATTAACCCCCTTTATTTTGGGATGAGAAAATATGCTCAACAATGCCATTATTCGGCCAGGGCCAACAAGTGATACAACTGCAATTCAACGCAAGTCATGGCTTTTCCAGCCAGTGCGTTTGTCTGGTCGACTGTGGAATAGAAGGATAGAGAGCTCAGGAAAGAATCCCTGCTAGAGACAGATATCTGGGCATCCTCAGCATAGAGGTGGCAGTTGGCTCTAGGAGCTGAAGAGAGGACCAACAGAGATGGTGTACTAGACATAAAGAGGTTAGAATCTTCAGAGAATAGACAGTTTGTGGAGAAAGAGCAGTCAGTGAAGGAGGAAGAAAACCAAGAGAGTGTCGTAACAGAGCCAAGGAACGAGGATGTTCGGGGCAGAGAGTGCAGCTAAGAGTGTCGAATGCCACTTAAAAGTCAAGTAGAAAAAGAAATGGAAGATATGTGTTGGATTTATTCACAAGGGATCATTGGTGACCTCACCAAGAATAGCTTCATTGGAGTAATGAGGTGGAAGCTACATATTACCGTAGAGGGATGAAGAGATGATGAGGTAGAGATGGCAAGTGGAGATAACTCAAAATGTTTGTCTGTGGAAGAGAATATGAACAACTTCAGGCCAACAAATTCGGCACCCTTAGCTCCAGGGAGCTACAAGGGTGATGTAGTATTGAGATGTTTTAAGATGAGAGATTCTTGAGCAGCCTAAAGCGGATGGAAGGGAGAGAAGGTTTGCTGGTACAGAAAAAAGAGGAATAATAAGATAATTCTATCTTAATGAGATATCTTCTATCTCTTAGAACATAGGAGGGGAATGACATCAAGAGCATAGGTAGAGATATTTGCTTTGGACATAGGAAAAACACTCAGGAAGAAAAATGGGCTGCAGTTGTAGGTGACCTTATGTATTTATTGGAATGAAGGTGAAGGAATTCTCTAATGACTTCTGTTTTCATTGTGAATGAGGAAAGAAAAACATCAACTGAAAGTGAGAGGGGAAGTAGGAAACCCAAGATTTAAGCAGTGTCAAAAAGATCTAAAATAGCTATTATGAGAAACCTAGCAAATAACTCACTGGAAAGCATGAGAGCGTTTAAGCACTCATCTGGAGGCCATGAACTTATACTGGCATGACCTGGGATCAGCTGGACATTTCTAAACCTTGTAATCACTTTGGAAACCAGAGTCAGACTACTTATCTTACGAATATTTCTGGAGCACCTTTATTTATTGGCATTGAAGTAGATGCTATAGTAACACCATCTTAACCCAAATATCTATCTCCATATCTCATCTGAACTCTCAGATGTTTGTTCTTAGATACTGCTACATGTATAAACATGTATATATCCAAAACTGAAGTTATAGTCTTAATCCCTATAACTGATTTCCTAAATTTCATAGCAAAGAGTATTGCAAGAGATTAAGAGGATCATTTTGTAATGAAGAAGGGGTGAATTCATCGAAAAGACTTGATAATCCTAAACATTTATGCACCTAATAACAAAGCTCTAAAATACACAAAGCATAAACTAATAGCTGCAAGGAGAGAGAAAAATCACAATTGTAGTTGGAGAATATTCTTTCTCAATAAACGATAGGATAGATACCCAGAAAATCACTGAGGATATAGGCGACTTGAACATGACTGTCAGCCAACTTGACCTAATGAATGTTTATGGAACACTCCCCACAATAACAGCAGAATACACAATTTTTCAAGTGCATTAAAACATTAAGCCTGATCATATTCTGTTCTATTAAACAAGTATGTTATCTGACCAGAATGATATTGAATATTAAAGTAGAAATCAGTAACAGATTGGAAAATCCTTTCAATATTTGGAAACTGAATAACTCACTTTTGTTTTTTGTATATTTTTTCAACTCACTTTTAAATAACTCATGGGTCAAAGAAGAAATCAAAAAGGAAATTAGAAAGTATTTTGAACAGAATGAAAATGAAAATGCAGCATTTAAAACTGGTGGGATGCAGCTAAAACAGTATTAAATGTTAAGTCTCAAATCAGTGACCTCAGCAATCACCTTATGAAACTAGAAAAGTTGGCTGGGCACGGTAGCTCACTTTGGCAGGCTGAGGTGGGCAGATCACTTGAGGTCGGAAGTTTAAGACCACCCTGGCCAACATGGTGAAACCCCATCTCTACTAAAAATACAAAAATTAGCTGGGTGTAGCAGTGCATGCCTGTGCACGCCTGTAGTTCCGGCTACTTGGGAGCCTGAGGCAAGAGAATTGCTTGAACCCGGGAGGTGGAGATTGCAGTGAGCTGAGACTCTGTCACAAAAAAAAAAAAAAGGAAACTAGAAAAGTAAGAGGAAATGAAACCCAAAGTGAATATAAGAAGGCAGATAATAAGTATCAGAGTGGAATTCAAAAAAATAGATAACAAAAGCAATAGAGAAAATCAGGGAAACCAAAAGCTGATTCTTTGAGATTAATAAAATTGAAAAATCTCTGGCCAGATTGAACAAGAAAAAGGCAAGACACAAATTACCAATATCAGGAATGAGAAATGACATCACTACGGAAAGGATAATCGGGGACTATTATTAAGGACTTTAGGCCAACAAATTCAGCAGCTTACACTAAACGAACAAATTCCTGGAAAGCACAAACCACTTAAGCTCATTTAAGAAGAAATTGTGTTGGGCCCGGCGCGGTGGCTCACGCCTGTAATCCCAGCACTTTGGGAGGCCAAGGCAGGTGGATCACAAGGTCAGGAGATCAAGACCATCCTGGCCAACATGGTGAAACCCCATCTCTACTAAAAAAGATACAAAAATTAGCTGCGCATGGTGGCATGTGCCTGAAATCCCAGCTACTTGGGAGGCTGAGGCAGGAGAATCGCTTGAACCAGAGAGTCGGAGGTTGCAGTGAGCCGAGATTGAGCCACGGCACTCCAGTCTAGCGACACAGTAGGACTCTGTCTCAAAAAAAAAAAGAGAAATTGTGTTGTATGAAAGGATGAAAGAGGCCCTGACATGCATACAATTAAGGCATTGCAACATACTTTGTGTTATCTAACCATCTTTTTTTTTTGAGGGGATGGATACCCCATTCTTCATGATATGATTATTACACATTGCATGCTTGTATCAGAACATGTACCCCATGAATATATACACCTACTATATACCTATAAAAATTAAAAATGTAAATTTTTTAAGAAGGGAATAGATAACCTAAATAGCTCTATGTCTATTAAAGCATTGAATTTATAGTTGACAAATCTTCCCTTAAAGAAGACTCCAGACTTGGCTGGGCACAGTAGCTCATGCCTGTAATCCCAGCACTTTGGGAGGCCGAGGCAGGTGGATCACCTGAGGTCAGGAGTTCAAGACCAGCCTGGCCAACATGGTGAAACCTCATTTCTACTCAAAATACAAAAATTACCCAGCATGGTGGTAGGTGCCTGTAATCCCAGCTACTTGGGAGGCTGAGGGAGGAGAATCACTGGGACCCAGGAGGTAGAGGTTGCAGTAAGCTGAGACTGTGCCATTGCACTCCAACCTGGACAACAAGAGTGAAACTCGATCTCAAAAAAAAGAAGACTCCAAACTTAGATAGCTTCTCTGGGAATTCTACTAAACATTGAAGGAAGAAATAATACCAGTTCTATACAAACTCGGAAAGTTGAAGGAAGGAATTATTTCCCACCTCATCATTCCTTACAGCATTATTCTGATACCAGAATTCCACAAAGACGTTACTAGAAAATTACAGGATAATATCTCTTGTGAACATAGACAAGAAAATGCATTTAAAACATTGTTTAGCAAATTGAATCCAACACTATATACAGAAAGGATAGTACACCGTGACCGAGTGGGATATCTCAAGAGGGCAAAGTTGGCTTAGCATTTGAAAGTTTATCAATGTAATTCACACTCTTGAGAGTGAAGAAACAAAATGGATCATGTCAATAGATACAGAGAAGCATTTGACAGAATCCAACATCCATTACTGATTTAAAAAAAAAAAAACTCAGCAAACTAGGAATAAAATGAAACTTCCTCAGTATAGTAAGGGCATCTGTGAAAAACCTGCAGCTAGCATCATATGAAATAATAAAAGACTGAATGTTTTCCCCCTAAGACCAGGAACAAGCCAAGGCTGGCTGTCTGATCTCACCACTTCTATTCAGCATTGTACTAGAAATTCTAGCCAACGTGATGAGGCAAGAAAAAGAGGGCTGGGGCCAGGCACAGTGGCTCACACTTGTAATCCCAGCACTTTAGGAGGCCGAGTCGGGTGGGTCACCTGAGGTCAGGAGTTTGAGACCAGCCTGGCCAACACGGTGAAACCCCGTCTCTACTAAAAATACAAAAATTAGCTGGGTGTGGTGGCGGGCGCCTGTAATCCCAGCCACTCAGGAGGCTGAGGCAGGAGAATCACTTGAACCTGGGAAGTGGAGGTTGCAGTGAGCTGAGATCGCACCACTGTGCTCCACTCTGGACAACAGAGTGAGACTCGGTCTCCAAAAAAAAGAAAAAAAAATCGGATAGAATCTATAAAAAGAGCTACTCGTGAGTTTAGCAGGGTTCCAGGATACAAGATAAATATGCAAAAATCAATTCTATTTCTACGTACTAGCAATAAATATTGGAAGTTGAAATTAGAAACATTTACAATAGCATCAAAAAGTCTGAAATACTTGGGATAAATGTGAAAAAAGATGTGCAAGACTTATATGCTGAAAACTACAAAAATTAGCTGAGAGAAATTAAAGCCCATAATAAATGGAGAGATATGCCATATTCATAAACTAGGAGATTCAACAGTGCAGTTCTCAAATTCACCTGTAGATTCAATGTAAACCAGTCAAATTCCCAGCAGACTATGAGAATTTGACACATAGATTCTAAAATTTACTTGGCTCTGCAAAGAAGCTAGAATAGTCAATACAAGATTGAACAAGGACAAGACAAAATTGTGTGATTTACATTACCTAATTTAAACACTTAAAGCCACAGTAATCAAAACTGTGGTGGCTGGGTGTAGAGGTACGTGCCTGTAGTCGCAGCAACTCAGCAGGTTGAGGCGGGAGGATCCCTTGAGCCTGGGAGTTTGAATCTAGCCTGGGCAACAGTGTGGAGTTGATATAAAGATAGCTAAGTAGGTAAATAGAAGAGTCCAGAAATTGACCCACAGGTATCTATGCTGAATTGATTTTTTATAAAGGTGTAAAAGTAGTTCATTGGAGAAAGAATAATTGTTTCAACAAATGATACTGGAAAAATTGGATATTCACGTGTTTAGAAAAAGGAACCTTGGGCCGGGTGCAGTGGCTCACGCCTGTAATCCTAGCACTTTGGGAGGCTGAGGCGGGCAGATCACTTGAGGTCAGGAGTTCGAGACCAGCCTGACCAACATGGAGAAACCCCATTTCTACTAAAAATACAAAAATTAGCTGAGCGCAATGGCTCACGCCTGTAATCCCAGCACTTTGGGAGGCCAAGGCAGGCAGATCACTTGAGGTCAGGAGTTCGAGACCAGCCTGACCAACATGGTGAAACCTCATCTCTACTAAAAATACAAAAATTAGCTGGGCGTGGGGGTGAGTGCCTGTAATCCCAGCTACTCAGGAGGCCGAGGCAGGAGAATTGCTTAAACCCAGGAGGTGGAGGTTGCAGTAAGCTGAGATCATGCCACTGCACTCCAGCCTGAGTGACAGAGTGAGACTCCGCCTCAAAAAAAGAAAAAAGAAAACCTTAACCCTTACCTAGCATTATGTATAAAAGTTAACTCAAAATCATAAATCTAAATGTGAGATCTAAAACTATAAAACTCATGGAAGAAAATGTGTGAAATGTTCTGTGAGATTTTTAGCCATGACACTAAAAGCTTGATCCCATGAAGGAAACAGATAAACTGGATTTCATCAGCGTGAAGAACTTTATAATATGCTGTTGAAAATAGCCCATATGAACAATAGGTGAATAGATAACCTGTAAGTCCATAACATAGGGTAGCATTCAATAATAAAAAGATAAGCTATCAAGCAACAACAAGACTTGAAGGAACCTTAAATGCATATTGCTCAATGAAAGAAGCCAATCTGAAAAGGTTCCATACTGTATGATTCTAACTATAGAACATTCTGGAAAAGGCAAAATTATGAAGACAGTAAAAAGAGCAGTAGGCCAGGCGCAGTGGCTCACGCCTGTAATCCCAGCACTTTCGGAGGCCAAGGCAGTCAGATCAACTGAGGTCTGGAGTTCGAGACCAGCCTGGCCAACATGGTGAAGCCCCACCTTTACTAAAAATACAAAATTAGCTGGGCGTGGTGGCATGCGCCTGTAATCCCAGCTACTCAGGAGGCTGAGACAGGAGAATCACTTGAACCTGGGAGCTGGAGGTTGCAGTGAGCCGAGATTGCACCATTGCACTCCAGCCTGGGCAGCAAGAGTGAAACTCGATCTCAAAAAAAAAAAAAAAAAAAAGCAGTAGTTGCTAGGGGTTCAGGAAGAAAGAGGGAGGGTGGAGCACCAGAGATTTTTAGGGTGTTTAAACTATTCTGTATGATACTGTTTTGGTGAAAACAAGTCATTTTACATTTGTCAAAACCCATAGAATACAGCACAGAATGAAGCCTAATGTAAACTATGGACTTAGGTTAATTGTGATGTATGAATATTTGCTTGTCAATTGTGCCGTATGTGCCACACCAATGTAAGATGTTAATAATAGGAGAAAGGGAGGCCAGACATGGTGGCTCATGCCTGTAATCCCAGCATTTTGGGAGGCTGAGGTGGGTGGATCACGAGGTCAGGAGTTCGAGATCAGCCTGACCAACATGGTGAAACTCCATCTTTACTAAAAATACAAAAATTAGCCAGGCGTGGTGGCGTGTGCCTGTAATCCCAGCTACTCAGGAGGCTGAGGCAGGAGAATCGCTTGAACCCAGGAGTCGGAGGTTGCAGTGAGCCAAGATTGTGCCACTGCACTCCAGCCTGGGTGACAGAGTGAGACTCCGTCTCAAAATAATAATAATAATAATAATAATAATAATAATAATAATAATGGGAGAAAGGGGAAAGGGGGATGTGAAAGTGTATAAAAGAACTCTGGGCCGGGTGCAGTGGCTCACGCCTGTAATCCCAACACTTTGGGAGGCCAAGGTGGGCAGATTACGAGGTCAGGAGTTCAAGACCATCCTGGCCAACATGGTGAAACCCTATCTCTACTAAAAATACAAAAATTAGCTGGGTGTTATGGCAGGCACCTGTAATCCCAGCTGCTCGGGAGGCTGACACAGGAGAATCGTTTAAACCCAGGAGGCAGAGGTTGCAATGAGCCGAGATCGTGCCATTGCACTCCAGCCTGGGTAGCAAGAGCGAAACTCTGTCTCAAAAAAAAAAAAAAAAAAAAGAAACAAAACAAAAAAAACTCTGTACTTTCTGCTCTATTTTTCTTTTTTTTTTTTTTCTTGAGATGGAGTCTGGCTCTGTCACTCAGGTTGCAGTGCAGTGGCGTAATCTCGGCTCACGGCAGCGTCTGCCTCCCTGGTTCAAGAAATACTCCTGCGTCAAACTCCCGAGTAGCTGGAATTACAGACGCGTACCACCACACCCAGCTAATTTTTGTATTTTTAGTAGAGGTGGGGTTTCATGTTGGCCAGGCTGGTCTTGAACTCCTGACATCAGGTGATCCGCCCACCTTGGCCTCCCAAAGTACTGGGATTACAGGAGTGAGCCACCGCGCCCGGCCTCTGCTAAGTTTTTCTATAAACCTAAAACGGCTTAAAGAAAAAATCAATTTTGGCCAGGCGTGGTGGCTCATTCCTATAATCCCAGCTACTTGGGAGGCCGAGGCAGGAGAATTGCTAGAGCCCAGCCTGGGCCACATAGACCCCATGTCTTTATAAAAAAAGAAAAAAAAAGAATATTTTGTCAAACCCAATGTCATGAAATGATTTTCTCCGGCATCATCTTCCAAGAGTTTTATAGTTTTAACTCTTACATTTACATCATTGATCCACTTCGAGTTAACTTTTGTATGTGTATTAATTAGGTTGAGTCCGAATTCATTCTTTTTTTTTCTTTTTTTTTTGAGATAGAGTCTCTCTCTATTGCTAGGCTGGAGTGCAGTGGTGCGATCTCGGCTCACTGCAACCTCCGCCTCCCGGGTTCAAGCGATTCTCCTGCCTCAGCCTCTCGAGTAGCTGAGTAGCTGGGACTACAGGCACGTGCAACCATGCCCAGCTAATTTTTGTATTTTTAGTAGAGACGAGGTTTCACCATCTTGGCCAGGATGATCTCGATCTCCTGACCTTGTGATCCGCCTTCCTCAGCCTCCCAAAGTGCTGGGATTTTGGGCATGAGCCACCATGCCCGGCCCGAATTCATTCTTTTGCATGTGGATATTCAGTTGTCCCAACACCATTTGTGAAAAAGACTTTTCTTTTCCCATCGAGTGGTCTCGGCATCCTTGTCAAAATCAGTTAACCATAAATGTAGGGGTTTATTTCTGAACTATATTCCATTGGTCTGTGTCTATGCTGTCTTGACTACTGTAGCTTTGTACTAAATTTTGAAATCAGAAAGTGGGAGTGCTCCCAATTTTGTTCTTTTTCAATATTATTTTGGCTGTTAAGGTTCCTTGAATTTTCTTTTTTTTTTTTTTTCTTTTTGAGACAGAGTCTCACTCTGTCACCCAGGATGGCGTACAGTGGTGCAATCTCAGCTCACTGCAACCTTCGCCTCCCAGGTTCAAGCGATTCTCTTGCTTCAGCCTCCTGAGTAGCTGGGACTACAGGCGCACACCACTACGTCCAGCTAATTTTTGTATTTTTAGTAGAGATGGGGTTTTGCCATGTTGGCCAGGCTGGTCTTGAACCCCTCATCTCAGGTGATCCGCCCGCCTCTGCCTCCCAAAATGCTGGGATTACAGGTGTGAGCCACTGCGCCCAGCCAAAATTCAGAACTTCTGTTCTCCTAAAGACTGGTAAGAGAGTGAAAAGACAAGCCACAGACTGCAAGAAAATATTTCCAAATTACACATCTTGCAGGATTTTTAACTAGAATATAAAGAACTCTCAAAACTCAATGACATTACAAACAACTCAGTAAACAAGCAAAGATTCTAAGACACTTCACTGTGAAAGCTATACAGATGAAAGATGCCTAATTAGTCAGTAGAGAAATAGCAGATTAAAACCACAATGAGACACCCCTACACGAGTACTAGAATGACTAAAATAAATTAATTGAATTATTGATTTTTATTATTACTATTTTTTTCCTAGACGGAGTCTTACTCTGTCTCCCAGCCTGGAGTGCAGTGGCACGATCTTGGCTCACCGCAACGTCCACTTTCTGGGATCAAGCAATTCTCCTGCCTCAGCCTCCCGAGTAGCTGGGATTACAGGTGTGTGCCACCACACCCAGCTAATTTTTGTATTTTTAGTAGAGATGGGGTTTCACCATGTTAGCCAGGCTGGTCTCGAACTCCGGACCTCAAGTGATCTGCCCGCCTCGGCCTCCCAAAGTTCTGGGATTACAGGCATGAGCCACCGCGCCCAGCTAAATTATTTCTCTAAGCTGTGCCAAACTGAGTACCAGAGGAGATGAGCAAGCGCAGGTCTCATGCCTGTCGGTGGGAATGCAGATGGTGCAGCTGCCTCGGCAAATTGTCGGGTGGTTTCTCAGGAAGGAAACATGTCCTTACAATACGACCCAGCAAAACCACTCAAAGGCATTTACCCAAAAGTCATGAAAACATGTTTACACAAATGCCTGTGTGCAAACGTTTATATATAGTGGCTTTATTCATAATTGTGCAAAATGAAACAATACACACGTTTTTCAGCTGGTAAGTGGATCCACAAACTGAGGTGTGTCCATGCAGTGAAATTACCACACAGCAACCAAAGAAGTGTGTTACTGATACTCCCAGCACCACAGATGAGTCTCGAAAGAAGCTAGACTCAAAACCTCTGGAGGGTGCGATTCCGTTTATACCACATTCTAAAAAAGGCAAAATTGGCTGGGTGCAGTGGCTCACGCATGCAATCCCAGCATTTCGGGAGGCCAAGGTAGGTGGATCACCTGAGGTCAGGAGTTTGACACCAGCCTGGGAATCATGGTGAAACCCTGTCTGTACTAAAAATACAAAAATTAGCCAGGCATGGTGGCTGGTGCCTGTAATCCCAGCTGCTCGGGAGGCTGAGGCACAAGAATCGCTTGAACCCAGGAGGCGGAGGTTGCAGTGAGCTGCGATCGTGCCACTGCAATCCAGCCTGGGCGACAGAGCAAGACTGTCTCAAAAAAATAATTAACTAAATAAACGAGGCAAAATTACAGTGACAGAAAACAGATCAGTGGTTGCTGGAGCTTGGGGTTGGGGAAGCTTGAACACAAAGATGCTGTTTGGGGATAGAACAGTTTGCTGGATTGTGGCTAGCTGTGGTTACATGCCTGTCTGCATTCTAGGTAAGAAGTAACCTGGGCATAGAGCAAAAGCCCCCCACCTGCTCCCCGCCCCTCCCTGCCTGGGTTGCTGCAGCGCTGTCTGGAAGTTGGCGAACATTGTTCTTATTTGTGGTTTTCATTTCTTACCGTATACACATACGGTGTGTGTATAATTAAGAAGATAGATGGTTTTATGTGTCCATTGTTTACATAAATGGTACAATAGTATGGTTTTGCAACTTGATTTTTTTGTCTCAACATTTTGTTTTATAGTTCTATACTTGTAGATCTGTTTTAACTTTCTGATAGTTTACTTCATGGTTTAATGATTTGTCCCTTACTAGTCAGAATGTGTTTTAGTTTTATTGTTAAAACACACCGGGCTGGCTGCGGTGGCTCTCGCCTGTAATCCAAGCACTTTGGGAGGCTGAGGCAAGGAGATTGCTTGAGCCCAGGACTTCAAGACCAGCCTGGGCAACATGATGAAACCCCTGTCTCTATGAAAAATACAAAAAATTAGCCAGGCTTGGTGGTGCACGCCTGTAGTCCCAGCAACACAGGAGGCTGAGGTGGGAGGATCACTTGAGCCTAGGAGGTCGAGGCTGCAGTGAGCCGTGATTACGCCACTGCCCTCCAGCGTGGGCAACAGACTGAGACCCTGTCTCAAAAAGAAAAAAAGAAAAACTGCGTGTTGCCTCAGTGCAGACCCTAGGCAGCCTGTCATGGCAGTCCCAGTGAGACTGCCTGGAATGGACCCTTGGAGGGTATGGCACTACACCTTATTAACTGTTGCTAAACTGTCGCTGAAACACACATGTCCGTTTACATTCCTGCCTCAGTTTCTGTTTCCCCAGGCCCCCGCCGTCTCTGTCTCCTCACTCCCCGCCGTTTGTTGCTGCCTCAGCTTCTGTTTTCCCCACGTCTTTGCCGTCCTGTCGTCTCACTCCCCGCCGTCTGTCCCCACCGTTCATTCCAGCCTCGGTTTCTGTTTTCCCCAGGTCCCTGCCCTCCCGTCGCCTCACGCCCACCACCCTGGCTGGCCTCTCTCCGTTTCATTTGCACCTCCCCGATCTCCCTGATTGCTAGTGAAGTGGAATGCCTTGTGTGTTTGTTTTTCCCGGCTGGAAACCAGTGAGCCTCTGTCCATTCTCTGGGGTGAACTCTCCTTGTTTTTGTGCGTCTCGCCTTGGTGTGAGCAGACTACAGCACATCCCTCTTCCTGCGGACCCTCTAGCTGGCCACATATTTCAGTCCCCTGATGCCCTTGGCCAAGTAAACAGCACCCCCTTTGGAGTAAAACCTGGGGGCTCTGGCTTGTCACCTCCCGCTGGTGCTGAAGGGCTCTCCCCATACCCTTCCTGAAGAGGTCTCCGCCCCTTAAATGGTGGAGAGCCCAGCCTGTCCTGCCCCCGGCTGCTCCTCTCCTCCTTCCCGGGTGCCACTCCCTCGGACCACCCCCACATTTCCAAGTAGCACAGAAATTACTTCTGTTTCTAACACGGCTCAATCCGAGGTACCTTTGAAGGCTGCAGCTCCAGCCTGACTCCTTCCATCCCCATAGCTCCCCTGCCCTGAGACAGCCTCCGGTGCTTCTGCTGTGTCCCAGGAAACAAGCCTGAAGCAAGCACTCACCATCCCTCAAGAATGTGCCCTGACCTACCTTCCTCACCACGGTGGCATCAGGGCCAGGTGGGCTCCCCCTTCTCCGTCACCCCCCACGGCAGCCCCCAATACTCTTAGGAGCTGCTTTCCCACATGCTGTGTGTCTCCTGGGATGCCAGACCTCCGTCACTCCTCTCCTAGGTCATAGCAGCCCTTCTGACTGGCGTCCTTGACACACTGCTGCCCTCTTCCCTGCTCCGGGGCACCTGGCTGCAGGTGGGGCTCAGCCAACATGGGGCTCTCTGGCCACATTCTATGTTTGGGGAACTTGTCTCAGTGTGCCCAGCCTCCACCTCGGGTGCAGGGTGAAATCCATAGTGCCTGGTTGGCACGAGGCTGCCCACTCGGGTGCAGGGTGAAATCCATAGTGCCTGGTTGGCACGAGGCTGCCCACTCGGGTGCAGGGTGAAATCCATAGTGCCTGGTTGGCACGAGGCTGCCCAGCACCATGCAGCAATGGCTCCTGCAGCCATACCTCAGTTCTGTCTCCGTGAGGCGCTGGGGTCTCTTCTGTCCAGAGTACTCTCCACCTGGCATCTTATTCATCTTCCCAGATGCATCTCTGATATTAAAAATGCCTGGGGAGTGCTGTGCTGAGCCACAGCTGTGGCGTGTGCCCAGTGTGCACCCAGCCCCGGCTCCCACAGGCGGACTGGAGTGCCTGCCCTGGTGCTAACTGGCTACATATGCAGGGCCTTGGTTTCCCCAAAGGTCACCAAGGGAGAGCGCGGCCCCTGTAGGAAACAGCCCCAGGCACGCGTGCACAGGCGCCGAGACCGAGGGAGAGCGCGGCCCCGTAGGAGACAGCCCCAGGCACGCGTGCACAGGCGCCGAGACCGAGGGAGAGCACGGCCCCTGTAGGAGACAGCCCCAGGCACGCGTGCACAGGCGCCGAGACCGAGGGAGAGCGCGGCCCCTGTAGGAGACAGCCCCAGGCACGCGTGCACGGGCGCCGAGACCGAGGGAGAGCGCGGCCCCTGTAGAGAACAGACAGCCCCAGGCATGCGTGCACGGGCGCCGAGACCGGGGGAGAGCGCAGCCCCTGTAGGAGACAGCCCCAGGCATACGTGCACAGGTGCCGAGACTGAGGGAGAGCGCGGCCCCTGTAGAGAACAGACAGCCCCAGGCACGTGTGCACGGGCCCCGAGAGCGAGAGCGGGGGAGAGCGCGGCCCTGTAGAGAACAGACAGCCCCAGGCACGTGTGCACGGGCCCTGTAGAGAACAGACAGCCCCAGGCACGCATGCACGGTCAAGGGCCCCGCAGGGTGCTGTGTTCCTCTTCCACGTTTAGGTCGGCCTTGGGGTCTGTGATCTCTGTGCCTTTCCTTGTCTCTCCCGTTTCCTGAGGAGAAACTGAGGCCCAGTCCACCCAGATCAGTGTTCACCAGTAACAGGGCCGGGAGTGGCATCTGTTGTTGGCCTCTCAGCCTGGAGGCCAGAAATTTGAGGGGCACCTGGGAGAGGACAGAGCAGCGTGGACCCTTCCCCTGCTCAGTGGCGGCCAAGCCCCCCCCCATACCAGTCCCTGTCCCTGCACCAGGGCTGAGGCTGCATGGCCGACCTCCAGGAGCGCCCCACAGGCACACTCAGACCTGCCTTTCCTCCCAGGCTCCTGTAACCGCCAGGCAGCGGCCCCGCCATGTCCCAGCCCCGGACCCCAGAGCAGGCACTGGATACACCGGGGGACTGCCCCCCAGGCAGGAGAGACGAGGACGCTGGGGAGGGGATCCAGTGCTCCCAACGCATGCTCAGCTTCAGTGACGCCCTGCTGTCCATCATCGCCACCGTCATGGTCTGTACGGGGCCCCTGCTTAGGCCTGCCCCACCCCGAGCCTCTCGAGGCACTGCCCAGCCCACCTCAGACCTGTCTAGGTCTTGCCAGCATCCTTGGGTCCCCCAGCTCCTCAGGCAGCTTAGGGGGGCCCAGCACTGCCCTCGAGTCCCCAGTACTGCCACACCCAATCCAACAAGCGTCTCTTGCTCTCCTGCTTCCTTCTGTCTCTTTGCCCCCTCAGATCCTGCCTGTGACCCACACGGAGATCTCCCCAGAACAGGTAACGGGGCAGGCTGTGCTCTGCGTGGTGTGGCCCTGCGAAGATATAGGGTCCCCGAGGCTCGACCTGGCACAGGGTGCTGACCCTGCACGCCTCGAAGCTTCTGAGGCTTAGGAGGCAGAGGCGGGAGGCGGGGGCCTCCTTGGAAAGGGAGGGAGCCAACAAGTCCTGCTCAGCCTGTGCTCACCCCGGCGGAGGTCCTGGCCTCCTGGGAGGGTGGGAGACTGGGCTCCTAGGGCTCTGTTTCCGAGTTCAGTGGACAAAGGCAGCACCCTGGAAGTGAGCCAGAGGACAGGTTGGAAGAGGAAGGTTCCGGGCCTGCCCCAAGGACAGAAGTTTCCTCTGCGGGAGGGCAGCTGCCCCAGCAGGCAGGCCCCTTACGTAGCTGCTCTGAGTAAACGCGGCCAGCGCCCCGTCTCAGCGGGGACACTCCCACCCCGGCTGCTCCTGCAGGCCTGGAGGTGAGCGGGAAAGGGTTTACAAGCAGAGTTTCCACCTTGACTGTTTCTGAGCTAAAGAGCCAAACAGCATCTTAGAAGGGGAATGACTGGAGGGCGTCTGGGGCCCACACCTGCCTGGCTCTGTGTCCTCATGACAGGGTCGTGCGGCCCAAGCTTCATGGGTGCGCAAGGCACAGCAGTGACCACGTAGCCCTTCCTGGGCCAGTACTGAGGTTGGGCCTCCAGTCCTGACTCGTGAGCTGAGCCTGGGGGACGCCGAGAAGTCATGGGAGCTGCTTAGAGTTCGGCTTTCTCAGCTGTGCGAAGGGGATGATGAGACTTTACATAGGGTTTTCATAAGTAGAAATGCGGGTGGAGCCTGGCCCAGTCTGCAGGGAGACCCTGGGCACCAGCAGGCAGCAAGCAGCACAGGCACTGGGACCCCAGAGCCGCTCCCGCCCTCCCTAGGGGGGCAGCTGCTCAGGAAAGCTGCGTCCCCACCGAGGCCCATGGGGTGGGCTTGGCCAAATGCAGTCGTGAGGTACTGGCCTTGGCTGCCCCTTTCAGAACGGGGTCGCTGAGGTACGGCCACATCCACCTGTGATGCCCGTGCCAGAGGGCGCATGACAATGAAGGGCCCGGGTGGTTGAAAATAAAAACCTGTGAACCTAAACCTGCTCCGACTTCTCTGCAGCCAGGGCACCTTTCTAGGACTGTGGTGTTTAGTGCCCTGTCTTTTCTCTGTTGTCCTAACTGGGTCACAGGGAGGGTCTGAGTCTCAGAAAGTCCTGGAGAGTCAAAAGCTCATTCAGAGAACACATTTATGTGAAGAGGGAAAGGCCTGACGTGTGTCCCAGGGAAGGTGCTAGAACAGTGGACACCTCCTTGTGAGGAGAGGGGACTCCTGGGGCTGTGCTCACTCTGATGAAAAATAAAAGACAGTTGTAACTTTGAAAACCCATGATTCGAAAAGCTAAATGGGACTCAATTAAGAAGTGACTGAAACACTAAGTTATTGACCCAGAGACCTGCCTGCAAGTGAAGAACCAAGGGAGACAGTAAAGTGCTCAGTGTTCTGTTGGGAGCGTTCGTGGAGAAAGCATGAAAACCTTCCCAGGGCTGGAGGGCGAGGGCCCCGGTGCCTCCACGCCCACCGCGGCCCCCAGGGCAGGCTGCCTTCGGGGTCCCTCGCAGCTTCCACAGAGACCCTTTCCCGTGGCTGCTTTGGAATTGCCTACCTAGGCAGTGCCAGGTGTGACCCTTTTGTGCTGTCAACCTGTGTGTCCTTCCGAAGTCCGCATGCCGGACGCCTCACAGGGATGGCGTTGTGAGGCAGAGCCTTTCGGTGGTGACCCGGTTATGATGGCAGAGCCTCATGAATGACATTCGTGACCTGGTGCTTTTGCCCTCCTGTCCCCTCCCACATGCGGATACACAGAGGGTACCATCCCTGAGGCGGAGTCCACAGCAGACACCGAGCCCATTAAGAGCTGACCCCCCAGCAGGAACACAGCCCATAGAACACTCTGGAGTACACCTGTGGGTGTGGGCATGGATCAGCGCCCTGGAGAAGGGGTGGGGGCTGGAGGGGTGGGGGCTGCAGGTGCCAGGGGAGACAGACCAGCTGGAGACGGAGGCTGGACCCAGACCAGGGCACTCAGGGTCTGCTGGGGAGGCCAGGACCCTCCCAGGTGCCTCACAGGACCCACCCGAGGGTTTCGCCCTGCCCTGGGCCGAGGCCAGCCCCCCCTCACGGTGCTGTCTCGACTGCCATTCAGGGACACTCATGTCACCTGGGCTCTGACAGCAGTGCTCTTGTATTCCAGCAGTTCGACAGAAGTGTACAGAGGCTTCTGGCAACACGGATTGCCGTCTACCTGATGACCTTTCTCATCGTGACAGTGGCCTGGGCAGCACACACAAGGTGGGGGCCCGGGCGCTTCCAGCGGTCCATAGCTGCTCTCAAGGTTCCCGTACCCCGCACCACATCACGCACGGGTCCATGGGGTCGGGGAGGACAGCAGGCTACTCCTCCCACCCTCATCCGCGTGGGGATGGCAGGACTTACCCCAAACCCAGGGCCTGGGACAGTGTGGATGGTGCAGTAGGCGGAGGTGTGGACGGTGCAGTAGGTGGAGGTGTGGATGGTGCAATAGGTGGAGGTGTGGACGGTGTGGATGGTGCAGTAGGCGGAGGTGTGGATGGTGTGGATGGTGCAATAGGTGGAGGTGTGGATGGTGTGGATGGTGCAGTAGGCGGAGGTGTGGACGGTGCAGTAGGTGGAGGTGTGGATGGTGCAATAGGTGGAGGTGTGGATGGTGTGGATGGTGTGGATGGTGCAATAGGTGGAGGTGTGGATGGTGTGGATGGTGCAGTAGGCGGAGGTGTGGGCGGTGCGGATGGTGCAGGGTGTGGATGGGAGCAGGGTGCTTTCTAGGGAACTTCATTTCCTTCGTGTTTTCCAAACTCCGTGCACTAGGTAGTAGTTTATATTTGGTTAACAGTGACATCTTTTAATGATGTTTTAACCAGAAGATGCTGGAAAGAGTGTGTGTGCATTTAATGTTACTACAACCGCGTTTTATTGTCTATCTTTTTCTTAAATGGTTTAGGTTGTTCCAAGTTGTTGGGAAAACAGACGACACACTTGCCCTGCTCAACCTGGTGAGTATTTTCCGGTCCTTTTCTGGGGAGTGACTCTGGTCTGTAATCTGACCCTCAGGGAAGAGGGGAAGGGAGCAGCCGGCCTCTCTCGTGACCTCCAGGGAGTCTCGGAGCCTGGAATCTGTCCACAGCTGGGAGCTCCTTGAATGATCTTTCCCTCCCCATGGGTCGCCAGCCTATATCTCCTCCCAGACACAGCCAGGGTGTGGGGGACCAGGGGCACTGGGTTGGGCACAGGTGTAGGGGACAGAGAGGATGAGTGCCCCCATCTGGCCCTGCAGGGTCTGGGGGCTGGACTCACACTCGCTGGCCCACCCTTCTTGGGGAGGGCCCAGCCCTGTGCCTTCCCGGAGTGGGCTCTGTCCATTCCCCTGCCCTTCTCCCCAGGCCGCATCATGGCTGTGATGCCCTCCCTCCCTCCAGGCCTGCATGATGACCATCACCTTCCTGCCTTACACGGTGAGCAACACCAGGCCCCTGACACCCTGAGGCTTTGCTGGGCACCACTGGATTTGACCTGTCCTCAAAAGCAGACCAGCTGGATGGCCCAGGGCCCAGGCCACACGGTTGTAGAGAAGAGAGAAGGTTCTGGGGAGAGCCAGCTGTTGGGCTGTTGGGGGCTTCTTTCAGGCTGGCGGGGAGGGGAGGCAGTGGCCCCGATGAGGGAGTCACCGGCGCTCCCAGCTCCCACCCGGCCCTGAGCCCACAGCCCCCTGCCCATCCCAGGCCTGTCCCTGGCGTGCAGCCCCTACAGCCTCCGACCACCCGCCCTGTACTACTCAGGCTGTGAAAGTGCCTCCAAATTCTGGCAGTGGCCGCTAGTCTGAGTGTGCGGGGCTGTGTGCCACAAGGAACTGGGGTCTGGGGAATTCCGTATGAATCGGATGACATTTTGGCTTTAAAGGCCTGAGACATCTGGTGGAGTTGGTTGGGGTGGGGGCAGTTTGGACACATGCCCCCCAGCACCCAGCTGGCGCCATCCTGTGATGGCCCCACCGCATCTCCCAGCGTCCCGTGGAGTGGGGAGGCTCACCATGGCCCAGTTCCAGGCTCTGGGGCCTGGTAACCTAGGATTTGGGGGGGTTTGGTTTTGTTTTTGTTTTAACAGTTTTCGTTAATGGTGACCTTCCCTGATGTGCCTCTGGGCATCTTCTTGTTCTGTGTGTGTGTGATCGCCATTGGGGTCGTGCAGGTAGGGGGCCTGGGGGGCCTGCACTGTGTGTGTGTGTGTGTGTGTGTGTGTGTGTGTGTGTGTGTGTGATCACCATCGGGGTCGTGCAGGTAGGGGGCCCAGGGGGCCTGCACTGTGTGTGTGTGTGTGTGTGTGTGTGTGTTCACCATCAGCCCTCTTGGGGCCTGGGGTCCTGTGCTGTGTGTGTGTGTGTGTGTGTGTGTGTGTGTTCACCATCAGTGCTCTTGGGGCCCGGGGTCCTGTGCTCTGTGTGTGTGTGTGCGTGTGTGTTCACCATCAGCCCTCTTGGGGCCCGGGGCCCTGTGCTGTGTGTGTGTGTGTGCTGTATGTGTGTGTGTATATGTGTGAGTGATCGATTGCCGTCAGGTCACACAGGTAGGGTTCCTGAGGCCACCTACACACATAGGATGTGGCATGCCCAGAGTCCCCGCTTTCTGACCAGAGACTGGGAAGAGTGGGCCCTGAGACCCCCCACATGCGGCCCCAGGAGCCAGCAGGGGCTCCTGTTCTCTCTCCACCTCAGCCCCTGTGCCCAAAGTGTCCCAGGTACAAGCCCACCTCTACTCGCCAGGTCCTCCCCCACCCCAAGACCCCTGTGCGCGCGTGCCATGCAGCCCGGGGCCAGGTCCTCCCCACCTCGAGACCCTTGCGTGCGTGTGCCATGCAGCCCGGGGGTTGACTGCTGTGGGGGCCCCCTCTGCTCTTGGGGCCTGTGTCCTACAGCTTGCTTTTCCCGCAGGCACTGATTGTGGGGTACGCATTCCACTTCCCGCACCTGCTGAGCCCGCAGATCCAGCGCTCTGCCCACAGGGCTCTGTACCGACGACACGTCCTGGGCATCGTCCTCCAAGGCCCGGCCCTGTGCTTTGCAGCGGCCATCTTCTCTCTCTTCTTTGTCCCCTTGGTGAGTGCTGGGACAGCCCGTGGGGCCCAGGCAGGAACGGGGGCCACCATAGGAGCAATGTCCCCGCTGAGCAACAAACACGGGGGTGGGGGCAGAGCGCAGACAGGCAGGGGTTCCACCCAGGGTCTTGTGTGTGAGGCCCAGGGCTGCAGTGAGTGGCACCAGGGAGGGAGGCCTGCTCCACCTGAGGCCCCGAGACCCAGCCTGTCGAGGACAGAGACGGACGCTCATCGAAGGAAGGGGCAGCTGAGTGTCCTTCTCAGAGAAGCTTCACGATGACGATGACCAGAAACAGCGACACCCGGAATCCGGGGGTGCATGCGTTTTCTTGTTTTGTTTTTTGTTCATTGAGGCAAGATCTCGCTGTGTCACCCAGGCCGGAGGGCAGTGGTGTGATCTTGGCTCACCACAGCCTCGACCTCCCGGGCTCAAGTGATTCTCTCACCTCAGCCTCCCAAGTAGCTGGGACTACAGGTGTGCACCACCACACCTGGGTAGTTTTGGTATTTTTTGTGGAGACAGAGTCTTGCTATATTGCCCAGGTTAGTCTGGAATGCCTGGACTAAAGTGATCCTCCCGCCTTAGCCTCCCAAAGTGCTGGATTACAGTGTGAGCCACCACGCCAGCCTTTATTTTCTTTTTTTCTTTTTTTTTTCTTGAGACGGAGTTTTGCTGCCAGGCTGGAGTGCACTGGCGCAATCTCGGCTCATTGCAACCTCTGCCTCCCAGGTTCAAGCAATTCTCCTGCCTCAGCCTCCTGAGTAGCCGGGATTACAGGTGCCTGCCACCACCCTCAGCTAAGTTTTGTATTTTTAGTAGACACGGGGTTTCACCATGTTGGCCAGGCTGGTCTCGAACTCCTGACCTTGTGATCCACCCACCTCAGCCTCCCAAAGTGCTGGGATTGCAGGCATGAGCCACTGCGTCCAGCCTATTTTCTTTTGGATAAGGAATCTATACAAAACTGTGTCAGGACAGTAAACATCAAACAGTGTTTGGAGGAGGAGCCCCTGGGGATAAGACCAGTATCTGCTCATGGGGACATCAGCTGTTGGTGCTTGGAGAATGTGAGCCACTAGGGAGAGGGAGAAGGCAACAAAAGCACTGCTGGAGACGTGTAGGTGTCGTGAGTGGCGCCGCTGTGAGCACTGCTGGAGACGTGTAGCTGCCGTGAGTGGCGCCGGTGTGAGCATTGTTGCGTGTGGAGCCACTGTGGGCATTGCTGGAGTGATGCCTCTCTGAGCATTGCTGGACACGTGTCTCTTCAGATCTGTCTTCTCAGGCTGTTGGTGTGTGTGCCCACAGTGAGTTTCTGGGTCATTTGGTGATTCTGTTTAATTTTTTAAGTTTAATTTTTTGAGGAACCACCAAACTTCCACAGCAGCTGCAGCATTTTACATTCCCACCAGCAGCACATGGTGGTTCCAGTTTGTCCACATCCTCATCAACACCTGCTGTTTTTCAGTTCTCTCCATCCTAGTGGATATGAAGAATCTCGTTGTGGTTTTGATCTGCGAGAGGTCGACCATTTGCATGTTTTGTTTGGAGCAATGTCTGTTCTCATCCTTTGCCCATTTTTAATTGGGTCGTCCTTTTATTTTTGAGTTGTAAGAATTTCAGATAGGGAGATAGACGATAAATTTTAAGACACGGTCTTGCTCTGTCACCCAGGCTGGAGTGCAGTGAGCTGGGTCACCTCTCACTGCAACTCCTGTCTCCCAGGTTCAACAGGCACACACAGTCACACCTGACTAATTTTTTATTTTTCGTAGAGATACAGTCTTACTATGTTGCCCAGGCTGGTCTCGAACTCTTGGGCCCAAGCGATCCACCTGCCTCAGCCCCACAAAGTGCTGGGATTACAGGCATGAGCCACTGTGCTGGCTTAAGAATCCTTTACACTTTTTGGGTACTAGGCCCCATCAGATACATGATCTGCAAAGACCCTCCCTTCTGCCGCAGCCCCTGCTTTGGCACACAGCTTTGTGTGGGTAAGGCCTGGCCTCGGACCCCTGTGGAGGGCACTGACCTGCGGTTTGTCTCCCTGCAGTCTTACCTGCTGATGGTGACTGTCATCCTCCTCCCCTATGTCAGCAAGGTCACCGGCTGGTGCAGAGACAGGCTCCTGGGTAGGTGATGACTGGGTGGGCTGGCCTGAGAGGCCTGTAGTCCGCCCACCTCCGTGCGGCTGCTCCGCACTGAGGGCTGTCCGTGGGCCGAGGCCCGTGTGCGTGGTGGTGGCTGGGGCTCCCCCACTCCGCCCCTCGGGCGTCCCTGTCCTGTCTCCTCTCCTGGCCTGCACATTCCAGGCCTCTTCATGGATGAGGGCGGTGACAGCCACGCGGGCTCTACCTCCACATGGGGGGTTTGGCCAGCTCCACCCTCCTGGCGTGTCCCCAGGCCACAGGGAGCCCTCGGCTCACCCAGTGGAAGTCTTCTCGTTTGACCTCCACGAGCCACTCAGCAAGGAGCGCGTGGAAGCCTTCAGCGACGGAGTCTACGCCATCGTGGCCACGCTTCTCATCCTGGACATCTGGTGAGGACCCCGCGTCACCTGCCCCAGCTATCAGGTGGCCAATGTGTCTTGAGTCCCTGGCGTCTCATCCTGGAAACCCCAGAAAGGCACAGGGGTCTTGGCTCCACCCTCCTCTGGATGCCTAGAGTTTTGTGTGAGGTCAGGGCAGCCCCCACTTCAGGGAGGACAACCTTCCCGGCGGCCCCTCCCTTCCCAGCGGCCCCTCCCTTCCCAGCGGCTCCCACCCCAAGCACAGCCGAGGATGGGGTGCCAGGGTGAGGTCAGCACCAGCAGCCAACTGCTCTCCTCACTCCTCTCAGAGGGGCTCAGCAGCCATGGGTATCCCCCTGCCCCAGGCCTCACCCCTGCCCCAACACCAGCCCCTCCTAGTCCCTAGTCCCTCCCATTCCCTCCGGCTCCCTCCCAGTGCCCCCCATCGCTTCGCAGCCCCTCCTGCTCCCTTTGGCTGGCTGTTGCTTCCTTCCAGCGTCTGCTCCTCCGCGGCCTCATCTGCCTCTTCGTCTGTTAGAGCGCGCGTCTCGTCTCAGTCGTCACGTTTTTGGTTTTTGTGGGGTTTTTTTTTTTTTTTTTTTGAGACAGTCCTGCTGTGTCGCCCAGGCTGGAGTATAGTGGCTCAAGCTCAGCTCACTGCAACCTCCGCCTCCCAGGTTCAAGCAATTCTCCTGCCTCAGCCTCCCAAGTAGTTGGGATTACAAGCACCCACCACCATGCCCAGCTAACTTTTTGCATTTTTAATAGAGATGAGGTTTCACCAAGTTGGCCAGGCTGGTCTTGAACTCCTGACCTCAGGTGATCTGCCCACCTCGGCCTCCCAAAGTGCTGGGATTACAGGTGTAAGCCACCGTGCCCGGCCATCGTAATGTTTGAATTTGCTTTTTTACATCTTCCATCCTTTTGGAGTGTCTTGTTCCCTCGTCATAGTTCAGCACTGTGACCACCTTGGGGTTAGACACTATGGTTTTATATCCTGTACTTGATATTCTCGAGTCCAAGTCTCCTGATGCTCTTCTCTGCTGTCGTGTGCATTTTTAAAAACGGGAAGCAAACGTTCATTGGCATCTGATCTCTAAGGCCCAGGTGCCAGGGATGCTCCAGGGTGAGCTGCCTGATTGTGCAGGCCAGCTGAGGCTCCCCTTGGGAGGGACCTGCCGAAGAGAGGCAGCAGCGTGGGGCCGGGACAGTGACCTCTCCTCCACCTGGAGCCATGGCCAGGGGAGCTGCCCCCTCCCAGCAACTTCCTGCCCTTGCTGCCTCCAGTCTGTCTCCTGCCCCCAACCCCCACCCCTCACCCCTCGCCCTCTGCGTATTGTTCTGGAGGACAGAAGTCTGTCTGGGGCTGCATGAGGACCACTGTCCTTCACTTCCCGATGTTGAAGGACGACACTGTTCCCGGCTTTCTGGGTGGTGCCGTCAGAAGGCAGCAGCCCTGACAAGGGGGTTCCCACAGCCTCCCTGTGGAGGGAGTTGGCCTCCTGAGACCCCCATGTGCATCTGAGAACCGTGGAGGCAAGCCCTCTGCAGATCTTCAGCCAGGGTGTTGTGTGGGTGGCTCCGAGGGCTGGAAGCTGGGAGGGAACAGACCTCGCTGCCCCACAGCAGGCTGGTCCTGCCCAGCAAACACAGGAGAGCCTCGGCCAGAGAGGGCTGCAGCCCAGGGCCCCCAGCAGCACTCTGGGCCAGCAGGGTTGGGCTCCCATTAGCACAGAGCAGAAGGGTGCCAGTTTCTATGGAATTTCAGATGAACAGCACGTAACAGTCAGTGTGCCAAATACACATAAATACGGCGTTCTGAAATTTAGCACACTGGGAAGTCCACATGGTTCATCTGAAAACGTGCCAGATCCAGGCAGCCCTGACAGGCGCTCAGCCACCCTGCTGGGGCCTGTGTGGCCACGGCAAGGCCGGCACAAATGCATCTATTCACTGTTCTCAGCGAAGACAACGTCCCGGACCCCAAGGATGTGAAGGAGAGGTTCAGCGGCAGCCTCGTGGCCGCCCTGAGTGCGACCGGGCCGCGCTTCCTGGCGTACTTCGGCTCCTTCGCCACAGTGGGACTGCTGTGGTTCGCCCACCACTCACTCTTCCTGCATGTGCGCAAGGCCACGCGGGCCATGGGGCTGCTGAACACGCTCTCGCTGGCCTTCGTGGGTGGCCTCCCACTAGCCTACCAGCAGACCTCGGCCTTCGCCCGGCAGCCCCGCGATGAGCTGGAGCGCGTGCGTGTCAGCTGCACCATCATCTTCCTGGCCAGCATCTTCCAGCTGGCCATGTGGACCACGGCGCTGCTGCACCAGGCGGAGACGCTGCAGCCCTCGGTGTGGTTTGGCGGCCGGGAGCATGTGCTCATGTTCGCCAAGCTGG
Source organism: Homo sapiens (assembly GCF_000001405.40). Taxonomy (NCBI): domain Eukaryota; kingdom Metazoa; phylum Chordata; class Mammalia; order Primates; family Hominidae; genus Homo; species Homo sapiens. Next base: position 958,252 of record NC_000004.12, read on the forward strand.
CGCTGTACCCCTGTGCCAGCCTGCTGGCCTTCGCCTCCACCTGCCTGCTGAGCAGGTTCAGTGTGGGCATCTTCCACCTCATGCAGATCGCCGTGCCCTGCGCCTTCCTGTTGCTGCGCCTGCTCGTGGGCCTGGCCCTGGCCACCCTGCGGGTCCTGCGGGGCCTCGCCCGGCCCGAACACCCCCCGCCAGCCCCCACGGGCCAGGACGACCCACAGTCCCAGCTCCTCCCTGCCCCCTGCTAGCAGCCACAGAGCCCACTCCCAGCCGTCCTCACCAGAGATGGACCAGGGAGGACAGGATGCTGGGCAGGGGAAGCCAAGTCACGGGCAGGCCGCAGTGGTTCTTGCGTGGCCTGGTTTTATTTTCATTGTGAAATATCATGCTCTTATTTCAGTCCTCAAATTGTTCTCCACTTTTTGCGGAGAGAGGAGTTTCACAGGAACTGGAAATGTGCTTTATGGCATTTGCCTATCCACTCTCTCCAACCTGAAGACACGTTGCCAAGCTCACCTACCCGAGGGGCAGCCCACTCCCAGCCCCTTTGAGGCCTATACAGAGCTGGTGGGGTCGGGGGTGCCAAGCCAGGCCCTCCCCTCCCCTCGGTTGTTGACACAAAGATGAGGAAGAGATGGTAGGATAGTGACGCCCAGACTGTATTTGTCCTGGATATAAATTACTGTTGCATTCAGGCAGCGATAAATACAGAGGGGCCCGGTGTGCAGGGCACAGACCCCACCTGGGTACAGACTCACATACAGGACAAGCCCCTCACCACAGTTACACACGATTCATACAGACCACAGTCCACACCAGGGCTCGCGAAGCAAAACTAATCACAAAGGACTGGTCTTGAAGATGACAATGACGTAAACAAGAGTGCACGCTGGAGGCCACAAGCGGCCTTACAATGCGTGTGTCTGTGCAGTTTGGCAGATGCGGGGGGTCGGGGGATTAGTGGCATCAAGGGCCCCCCAGGAGGCTGCAGCAGGCTGGGCCAGGCCACACTCCTGAGGCCAAACCAGAGCCACTTCTGAGGTCAAAGCCACACCCAGGAAAGCTCCGCAGGATTGGAGGCCCAGGCCAGCTGTGCCCCACAAGGGAAGGGGGAGATCCGCACCGTGGGACCGTTTCTCGTGGGGGAGTCGGGGCTTCCCCACAGAGCGGGCTCCATTTTTGGTCAGACTCCTCCCGGGGCCAGTGCACCATCTGAATCCTTGGGCACGTGGAGGCAGCTTTGTCTTTGGCTGGGTGCACCCCAGCCTGGCCCAGATGCAGGACCCTCCACCAAGCTGTCTGGGGGCGTGGGAGCAGGAGGGCTGCAGGAGCTGGGTCTCCACACGCTGACGAGGGATAGGACTGAGCAGATGTCGGCTCACACAGGCACTGGGAACTGCACATCAACAGCGGGCAAGCAGCGTGGAAAGTGCTAGCGTGGGGTCTGGGGCTGAAAGCCAGCTCCTCCTCCACGTGCATGGGCTGTTTACACCTCCCAAACTCCTCTGCACCGCCATGCCCTGCTTTTGGTCCCTTCTGGGTGCTAAGTGCCCCACCCTGAGGGCCGAGGGGCAGACACTCGGGCCCGGCCCACACTCTGGTGCTGCCAGGGCAGCACCTGAGACCTCCTAGCCTCCACGTGGACAGAGGTTCTCCTCCCCAAGCAGAGGCACTAGGAAAGGGCCACCAGGTCCAGCTGGGCACTGCCTGCCCCTGGAGCTGTACCTGAGATCCAAGCTGCCATCTGTATATAACAAGGCCAGAAAACAAGGGAAGGCACCTTCTCCCTTCCCTGAACACAAGGAAGTCACCAGTCACCACCACCCGGCAGCCTCACACGCTGCCCACACCTGCTGCCCAGGGCGGGGAGGTGAGGCTGGAGGGACTGGCAGCCTGTGTCTGCTGGGGCAGGGACACACCAGGGAGCCTGCTGCTCTTAAGGACTGGCCAGGGGGACGGCCCGAGGGGCACAAAGTGAGATCAGACCCACCTGGACGGCCTGCATCCAGCACTGTCCAGCTCAAGGGGCTCAGTGGGGAGAGGGATGGGTGCCCACCCCTGAGGAGAGGACCAGGCCCCCACAGGGCAGAGGGCTCACCATCCAGAGCCCTGCGCCCACCCGGGACACGGGGTAACACTGCCACCCGCACACCAGTCTCCAGTGGGATGAGGGCTGTGACACCAACATGTGTCACCAATGGGATGAGGGCGGGTCCCGCTCCGTCACTGGGAAGATGCTGTGGTCAGGGCTGTAGCCAGGTCCGACCACAGGGCCGGCCACTGTGTGGACGTGGAGCTGCCTCCAGACCACCTGAAAACAAGGCTGGCGGGAGCAGAGATGGCTCGAGCCCTTGGGCTGCCCCAGCCACCCCTACCTAGGATCGCTCTCAGGGGCAGGCGCAGCATCCGCCCGGGCATCCCTGGTGGTCCCGGCCCTCCTCGGCTTCTGCTTGGCCTTCCTCAGCATGTGCACCTGTCCCAGGGCAGGGGACAGAGGACCAGGGTGACATGGCCGATGAAAGAACGGTACACGGGCAGCCCCCGGTCCTGGGGCCCCGGGCAGCTGATGCCATCTCAGCCCCATTTCACGGAAGGGGAGGGACCTGTCTGGCTGCTCCCTGTGCCACCTGTGGCCCGCCTGGCCACTGGCACAGCCCTCCTCTGAAGCAGGCACCCTCCCGGAGTCAGTGCTCCCTGGCCGCAGCCGGCCATGCCAGCACCACCTGGGTACCACTGGCCACTCCCATGGCCGGCCCAGCCCGGCCCACCTCCCCTGGCTCTCCAGCCTCACCCCACATACCTTAGGGCCAGCAGCTGAGATGATCATGTGCCCCGGGGCCTGGACCCAGGGCTCCCCGTCCACCTGCACCGGGGTGGCCTTGAGGAGCGTGACTCGGAAGTAGGAACCCTGGGCAATCCGGATTCCGGAGCGCAGCCCACCCTGGACCTGGCCCTGGGGCGGGAGAGGCCAGCCGGGCTCAGCGGGGATCAGGGACGCCCACCGCTGACCTGGCCCTGGGGCGGGAGAGGCCAGCCGAGCAGGGACCAGGGACGCCCACCCTGGACCTGGCCCTGGGGCGGGAGAGGCCAGCCGGGCTCAGCGGGGACCGGGGACGCCCACCCTGGACCTGGCCCTGGGGCGGGAGAGGCCAGCTGGGCTCAGCGGGGACCGGGGACGCCCACCCTGGGCTCGCCCGCCCACTCGGCCGGCGGCTCACCATGTGCACGACGCCCGTCACGCCCACAACCTCCAGCAGCCCGTCGTCCATGCGTGGCTTCTCAAACCTGGTGTCGCTGTCGGAGCCCCACAGGTCGGCCCCCGAGCCCCAGCTGCCGCATAAGAGAGCGGGCACAGAGGTGTAGGTGCAGGCAGGACGAGGGCTGAGCCTGCCCATGGCCCCGCCGGGCAGAGCCTCTGGGGAGCCCCGCCCGCGAGCACCTGGGGATGTTGATGAAGATGAGGCCTTCAATACTGGGCAGCTCCACCTCCTGCCGCTCCACCTGCAGCCGGATCTGCTTGTGCAGGCTCCGAGAGTGACTGATCTTCTGCAGCCCCACCCGCACGTACACACCCTTGTTGTGCAGCCTGCAGGACGGGGCAGGTCACCCATCACCAGGGGAAGCCCTACCCCGCCTTAGGCAGCCTCCGGGTTCCGGCCCCTCTGCCTGTTCCTGCTGGGGGACCTGAGGGAGGTATGCCGTTGACAGGTGGTAGCCCCTGCGGCTCCGGTACCTGCTTGTGAACTTGCCAGGCTCCTCTTCCCGTGCCTGGTGGAAGTCCAGGCTCAGCTCCGCGTCGATGCCAATGCCACAGTAGTTACTCATCTGCACGATCTGGGGACAGGGCGTTCATCTCCCAGGACCCGGCCGCCCTCACCAGGCCCCCTGAGCTCCCCAACAGCTCTGCCGGCAGGCAGAGACAAGAGCAAGGACCACCCTGGCACCAAGCCGAGCACCCAGGAGAGGGCAGCATGGGCAGGTCCTGGCCAGGCTCTGTCGCCAGCTGGCTCAGCACAATCCCCAGCAGTGGCTACTTTCTGTGTCTCCCTCAACTGCCCGCTTTGCAGAGGGGATGATGCGGGCGCGTACACCCGAGTGTGGCTGGGAAGAGGACGCCCGTTGTGACGCGTGTAGCGGGGTCATATGCAGGAGCCTGGAAGGCACCCCACGCCGGGCTGCCCTGTACCTTGGGGGGCTCTGCGTCTGCCGTGTCGTTCTCTGCACTGCCAGCCTCGTGGGCATCCAGCAGGATGGTCCAGCGGTCCATGAGCACGGCGTCGGCCTCGTCCACAGACAGCAGTACGGAGAACGGGTCCTCGCCGCTGTAGCCCGCCCCCCAGCGGAGGACTCGACCAAGGTCATTCCCTGGGACACAAGCAGACACAGAGCATCTGTCCACACCCACCCGCCCATCAGCTGGGTGCAGACCCCACCACGAGGACAGCCAGCCCAGGCCTCGGCAAAAGCTGCACAGGAAGGGGTAGACCCTGAGGCCCCCTCCTCGGCTGCACGGCTGAGCCCACCTGTGCCCAGGGGCAGGATGGCCACAGAAGGCTCCGGGCAGGCCAGTCGGTACCGTGTCTCCTCCAGGGCGCCAAGCACCCAGCCCACAGTGCCATCGCCACCACACACCAGCACCCGGAAGCAGGGCACCTGGGAGAACAGGTGGAGCCTAGCGGGAGACAGGAAGTGTCCTCTACCAGCTGCGGGCGCAGCCCATCCCCCACCCAGGCTGCCTCTTCCAAGTGCCCGTCCTGGCCGTGTGGAGGACTTCAAGGTCCCAGCACGGGATCCCCGTGGAGCTCCTGCCGGCCGAGACAGCTGTGGCAGCCTCCTGGGGCCCTTCCCGCCCCTGCTGCTGCCCTGGACCAGGGGTCCTGCTGGACTCACCCGGGAAGAGGACCTCCGTTGGTCAGGTCGAAGACCTGATGAGGGTTCAGTAGCTTCCGGAAGCTGCAGAGCAGGTCTCGGCCCTTGAGGCCTCCACTCTTGGGGTTCACGAACACAAGGAGGGGACAGCTGTCTGGGGGCAGCTTCGCGTGCTGACAGACAGGGGGCTGGGTTAGGATGGGGACCCAAGGTGGGGTGTCCCCACTGCTGGGGTTGCCAGGCAGTGCCCAGCCCCCAACCCTGAGCCCACCTGGCTTGGACCAGCCCCCTCCCCAGGAAGGCGTGGCCAGCACCCTCACATCTGAGGCCTCACACATGAGCTGCGTGGTCACCCCATCTCGCTGCTGGCCAGCAGGGCGGCACTGAGGACAGCCGGCTGGCTGCCTGGCACTCCCAGCACAAAGGCCTCAGACCTGCCCACTGAGCTGCGTGTGAACAGACCACACCCGCCTGGGCCATGCAGCGCGAGTCCAGGCTGGAAATCCACGTGGGACTCTGCGTGGCACTCTGTGCCAGCGAGACCAAGGCCTGTCCCCTGGGGGGCCTCTGGTGCACACCTTTGGAGGATGGCGGCTCCCAGGCCACCGCCCACCTACACAGCAGCCGAGAAAAGCTCTTAACTCACAGGGTGGCACGCGGCGTCCCTCGACCACAGGACAGAGTCCATCTCCCCACACACAACCCCAAGAAACAGTACCCAGGGATCTAGACACAGCGGGCTCAGGGCTGGGATCCCTACGACAGGAGGCTAGGGACCCTACGACAGGAGGCTGGGGCCCCCACAGCGGGGAAGGCTGGGCAACAGGAGACACACAGGCTGGGTGCAGACACAGGGTGGGCAGCGGCACAGGGGCCGGCCGTGGCTGGGGGCAAGGACACACTCGGGGCTTCGTGACCCACTTGGCAGGCAGAGCCGCCTGCGGTCACCACTTACCACTCACCCCAGGGCAGGCAGCTGACGGGAGAGAGAAAGCGCGTGTCGGCCCCAAACCTGGCTCTGCCCACAGAGCGAGTGGAGCTGGGGTGGGGGCTGCATCCTCGGGACAGTGGGGATGGCCACCCTGTCCTGAGCCAGGCAAGGCCGGGTGTAGGGGCACAGGAGGGAGGCATAGCAGGGAGCCACAGGCATCTCCCGTCCCAGCCACAGACAACTCATTCTGCTCGAGTTCTGCTTCGCCTGGACTGGGGTCACGATCAAGGGTCAAGGTTCAGGGGTAGAACAGCCATGGACACCTGGGGGGTCCTCATGGGACCCTTTGGGGGCTAGATGGGCTGAGGACGAGAGGCCAATGTGAAGGCACGGTGTGCAGCGTGGAGTCCCAGGCTCCAGCCCCTCCATGGGCCAGAACCCCGTTCCCCCCGGCCCTGCCCTGTCTCCACGGACCAGACCCCCGTTCCCCCCGGCCCTGCCCTGTCTCCATGTTCCAGATCCCCCTTTCCCCCAGCCCTGCCCTGTTGCCAGGTGCCCCCTCTTCTGGGCACTGTGGGTCTGAAGGGCAGCGTTCAAAGTTTGGGAGCTGCACTGACTGGCCTGGGGAGCTCCAGGCAGAGAGCAGAGGCCCTAAGGCCTCCCGGGCAGGGGGAGTGAGGCTGAGGCTGTACCGGGAGGGCCATGCCTGGGATCCTGACAGCTGGTCACAAACACGCTCTGGCCCTTGGCGAGGCAGCCGCAGCGGGGCCCGGCACATCCAGGAGCTGCGTCCTGTGGGCCTCCCTACTGGGTGGAGGCCTCAGGTGCAGCGTGGAAGCTGGGCCTGACCCCACGGTGCCCCACGGAGCTGGTATCACCTACTGGGCAGCCTCGGATGAGCGCTGACCCTCTGACCTCAGGCCCCTTGCTGTAAAACGGGCAACAGAGTCCTTCCTGCTGTTGTGAGGCACAAACAAGGTGGCACCTACAAGCCCCCAGTGAATTCAAGGAAGTGATGCCAGATGAAAACAGCGAGTCTGGCTGTGGGGCCTGTGCACCTGCAGACCCCGACCTCCCTCTGGCCACCCCCTGGGGTGTGTGAAGAGCCGGCTTGACCGCACACTCACCAGCAGGTCGGGGAGCACCAGGGCAGTGAGCAGCCGGCCCCGCACAGCCATGTCCTTCAGCAGCATGTACAGCCGCTCGGCCTCCGCAAAGCAGGCAACGTCCAACACTACCGCGCCTGCGGCAGGAGCCCAGGACTCAGGGGGAGCCTGTCCCATGGCCCCCACGGTGCCAGGGCAGGAACCAAACCAGGACGTTTCCCCAGCCCAGGGCTGCCCAAGGGAAAGGTCAGGTGCTACGTGAGGGCCAGGGCTGTCCCACTTCACCCCAGGAACACCCCTGGGCCTCATGTGACCACGTCCCTCAGGGCAGCTCACCTTGGGAGGAGTAGATGTGACTCACGGACACCACGGTGGCTGCAAAGGCAGGCTGTGGTCAGGGCGGTGGGAGGCGAAGGACACACAGCACTGGGGCCAGGGACAGCCCCTCCGCCTGTCCAGGGGTGACATCTCACCCCAAAGGCAGCCTCCCCAGGAAGTACCCCTGCCCCACTCCAGGAGCAGGACTCCCAGCTCCCTGGAGGTACAGGACCCCCCAGAGGGAGAGGGAGAGGCAGAGGCTGAGCACCGCAGGGAACGGCCACAGAGGGCGAGAGGCTCCAGAGCCTCTTGGAGGAAGAGACGTGGGCTGGACCCGGAGCTCAGGCCTTGGTGGCTCAAGGAGAGGCAGGAGCCGGCTCAGCACTGCAGCCCCACTGCCTGCCGCTCGACCCTGCCCCGTGCCAGCAGCCCACGGCCAGCCACAGTGGTCACACCTTTGGTAGCCCCGGCCTCATGCAGCAGGCTGCTGTACTCCTCGGGAGACAGGCCGGGAGGCAGGCCGCCAACAAACAGGGAGACGTGCGGGGCTACATCCCTGCTCTCTGCCACGTAGAACCGCGTCTGGCTCACCTGCCGCACAGACATCTGCAGGGAGAGGGGCGGGGATGCTGGGCCGGGGAGAACGGCACCACCGCACCAGGCCCTCTGTCTCCTCACCCGCAAAACAGCAAAACAGGGCATCAGGAACACTCCCAGGAATTAAGTCAACAGGAAAACGAGGAAAGGGGCCACAGAGGCTTCCTTGCTGTGGACAACCCCTGTCCGTTCCCCTCGAGGACCTCGGGGAGATCTGCAGCTCGAGGCCTCCCTGCAGGGACCAAGTAGCTCATGACGAGGGCGCTGCCCTGTCAGCCAGGACAGCCGCTGCCTAGCCAAGGAGAACTCGGCGTCTGGGGCACACCCACCCTGTGGGGCAGAGGCTGTGGCTGAGGGCTGCTGGTTCCCTGGGGGCCGGCGTCCACACCCACTCACCTGCCGGATGTCCTGTAGCCGGTCCAGCAGGGGCTGTTCGTCCATCAGCATCGTCCGCTGGACTGCAGAGGTGAGGGCACAGGCCGTCAGCACCCGGCTCCTCGCCCACCTTGGAAGCAGCTGCCCGGAGCCCCCAGGGCCCGTGGGGATGCAGGGTGGAGCTGGTCAGGAGGGCAGAGCCCGGCCTTGATGTCCGGCACCACCCTGCAGGAAAGCCTGGGCAGCAGGTCCAAACCCAAAAGGTGCAGGGACCGCCACGCCCAGCACGGGCTGTCTACTCACCGTGCCTGCAGCCCATCGCCACCTCCACCAGCTGGAAGCTCTCGGGACTCTCGGCCTGTTGGGGTAGAGCTTGGCATCGGGTCTGGGCAGGCCCCCACCACCTCAGGACACCCGCGGGGACAGCCACGCCTGGGCTGGGATGGTGGCCTGGCCTCCTGGGGACAGCGACCCCCCACCGAGTCTGGCCGGCATGGGGAGCAGGCACAGGGTACGCACCTGGCGGCCGAGCAGCGGCAGGACCTCCAGCACCACAGAGCGGGCCGTGCTCTTCGGGGTCACTCGCACGGACACGTAGGCCACGCCCACCCTGTGGGGACACAGTCTGAGCTGGAGCTCCCCCCACCCCGCCCAGCAGACCCTGAGCCTCGGGCCCAGTCTCACTTGAGCCAGCCAGGGTAGATCTTCAGGACCTCCTGGGCCCGCGGCAGAGCCCGGATGACCCAGGCCTCTGGCGTGGCCTCGCCGGACCCGGGGCTTCTGCCCTCCTCCGAGATCACAGCACTCCCAGCCTTGCCCCCAGCCCAGGCGTCACAGGCCTGAGAGGAAGGGGGCAGCCGGCACAGCTCCAGGTGGCCAGGGTCCTCGGGGATGTGGTGGGCCCGCAGTGCGGCCTCCTGCAGGGCACCAGGTTAGAGGGGCCAAGTTGTGGGGGGTCAGGCGGGGTTCAGTGGGGGGCAGGTCATGGAGGGGGAGGCCAGGTGGGTGAGGGGCGCCAGGTTGGGGGAGCCAGGTCAGGTGCGCCAGGTGCGGGGACATGCGGTCCTGGGAGGGGGCTCAGACCTCCCCCAGCCTCCCCCTTACCAGCACCTCCTCGGCACCGGCCAGGCGGGACACCGTGACGAGGCGGAACTGGCTTCTTCTCACCGCGTCGTCGCCATCAAAGATCTTCAGCGTTTGCTTCCCTGGGCCGGGTAAGCTCCGTGAGTCCCGGGCGCCCGGGGGACCTCAGTGGAGTTGGGGGGAATGAGGCGGGCACTTACCGGACTCCGGAGTTGCCTGTGTCTCTCTGCCTGGACCCACGGCAGCGCTCCCGTCGGCGCCGTCGCCCCCCTCGCCTGCGGGTCGGGCACACGGACCCCTCATTCAGTGCGCAGCCCCCAGCCCAGGGCGCCCCGGCCGGCCCGCACCTCACCCGGCTCCGCGGCCTCCACGATGCGGAAGCTCTGCGTCTTGCTGAAGCCGCCGGGCAGAAGGCGCACGCACGCGGGAGGCAGGACCAGGGAGCGCAGACGCCCGAAGCCACACTCGGGAGCCAGCGCCGCGGAGCAGAGGGAGTGCGCCTGGGGGGAGAAGGGCCTGAGCTGGGGGGTTGGAGCCAGGGTGCGGGGGCACCAGGTGCGCCAGGTCCAGGGAAAGACCCCACACGACGCAGACCCACCTGGACCCCGTGTCCTTCCTGCCGCCCGCCCCCGAGCACCCACCTGGAACCCGCGCCTCTCCTGCCCCGCCCCGCCAACTCCTCCACCTCCCAGCACCCACCCAACCCCGCACCTCTCCTGCCCCACCCCCACCCCCTCGACTTCCCAGCGCCCACCTGGACCCCGCACCACTCGCAGCGCACGCCGGCCAGCACGTCAGAGGAGCCGCACGTCTTCCTGCAGACCTCGCAGCGCGCTCCCGAGGGCAGGTTCCCCTCCCGCCAGTGGTGGTGATGGGTGTCCTGCAGAGCGGGGGCAGTCAGCAGCTGGGCCCGCCCCACCCCCCAGGGCTCCCTGGGGCCGGTACACTCACGTGATCCTGGTGCCCATCCTGGTGGCACTGGCGGCAGTCACTGCAGGCGAAGGGCACACAGTCTGGGTGGAGGTGCAGCTCACACACTGGGGGGCAGGCAGGGTTAGAGGTGTCTGCCGCCCCCGGAGGACCCCTGCCTCTGCCGGTGCTTGGGTCTGCCCCATCCCCACCACCTAGCACCCTGCATCCTTTAAGTGTCCTGTGGCCTGCCAGGCGGCCAGCCCTTGGCCTCCCCCATCACCCCTGACAAGCTGCACAGCAGGGGTGGGCTGGGCCACCCTGGGCAGCAGAGACCAGGACACTGGGTGGGGAGCCAGGCAGGCTCCAGGTACCTTCGCAGTGGAGCGCCGGTGCCTCCAGGACCTTGCGGCAGACAGCACAGAACTTGCGCTTGTGGAGCCCCCGGGGGCCGAAGCAGTGGGCTACAGGAACCTGGTGGGGCAGCCTCACCTCAGCACCCTTGGTAAGGGCAACAGGCTGCCCGCCACCCCTCCTCGCTCTTCACCTGCGCAACTCTGCAGCTCACGCTCCTGCTGAGAACTGCCCAGGCTGAGCCAGCTGTGCTAGCTGGAGGCCCCAGGAACAACCACACCCCCAGGTCCTGGGGACAGCCTGGCTGGTCAAAAGCAGGGAGGAGGCTGTGGCCTCCTCCAGCAGCCCTGCCTAGCGCAGGGGAGCGAGGCCCCAGGAACAACCACACCCCCGGGTCCTGGGGACAGCCTGGCTGGTCAAAAGCAGGGAGGAGGCTGTGGCCTCCCCCAGCAGCCCTGCCTAGCGCAGGGGAGCGAGGCCCGCCTGCCACCCCTTCCCTCCTTGGGGCAGGCGAGGCTCTGTCGACGGCCTGGCATCTGTCTCCTCCGAGCCAGGAAGATCCCAGCACACAGGGACTGCCCTCTGGGAGATAATCTGGCCATAACGAGTGTGGACCAATGTTTCTGTGTTGGAGAAAGCTGGGCTGTTGCTTTTCCACGAGAAGGGAAGGAGAAGGACCAAGTCTTCACTCCTGACTCTCGCCCTTGTCCCCAAACTTAAACCACACCCGATAAAAGCATACACAGAAAGACCGTGTTCCAGAATAGCAGCTGTGAGCATGCCAGGATGGCGGGTGACTTTTATTTTGTTAAATATATCTCCTTTTTTTTTTTTTTTGAGATGGAGTCTCGCTCTGTCGCCCAGGCTGGAGTGCAGTGGCGTGATCTCGGCTCACTGCAAGCTCCGCCTCCTGGGTTCACACCATTCTCCTGCCTCAGCCTCCCGAGTAGCTGGGACTACAGGCGCCCGCCACCACACCCGGCTAATTTTTATATTTTGTTTAGTAAAGAAGGGGTTTCACTGTGTTAGCCAGGATGGTCTCGATCTCCTGACCTCATGATCTACCTGCCTCGGCCTCCCAAAGTGCTGGGATTACGGGCGTGAGCCACAGCGCCCGGCCGTTAAATACATCTTCTAAATTTCCTATCATGCATACAGTTGAAATACATACTTATATTTTCCCAATTTAGCAAAGTATAGAAGACATTAAAATCAATTTTAAAAAGCGGCAGCCTCGGGCCGTCCACATGACGAGGGGCCGCCCAAGCCAGTGTGGAATCACCAGGGTGTCGGCCACCACCAGGACCACCGGCCTAAGGCCTCCTGCTCACACCCGGGGAACTGCATCATTAGGAACAGGGCGTCAGACATTAGAGGGGACGGCGCAGCCGGATGCCCGCCAGTGGCAGGTGTGCCTGCTGGCCTGGCTTCCCGTCCTGCTGCACACCCGGGCCTGCCTCGCGGCCTGCGCCCCACCTGCAGCCTGAACGCATCAGGGAATGCGGACTTGGGGGGCCTCAGTCTGAAGACGGCGACGCTGACAGCTGAGGGAGGAATAAGCCTGGCCCTTCCTACATGTCCCTGCTGTCACCACTGTCACCAGAGAAGGGAAGTCCCCTGTGCCCTGCAGTGACCTGGGCCAGTCACCTCCCTGCCCCACCCAGAGCCCTTAGAGGGAGGGTGGTGGCCAAGACACCCTCAGGCACCCAGGCTTCCTGCCTTTGCTTTTTATTCAAGCTTCCTTGAGATGCTTGTGGGTTCACACATAGCTGTGAGGAAACTGAACAGACCCCCTGAAGCCTTTGTCAGCTCCCCTAAGTGTGTGATCTTGCAAACTGAGGTCACGCCAGATGCCGAAATCTCCATCCCCCCCAGGAGCCCTCACGCTGCATGTCACAGCCACGCCCACTTCTCCGCCTGGAAACCTCTCTACATCTGTGCTCCCTTTAGTTTCGTCATTTTGAGCACATTCTATGGACAGGATCTTGCTATTTGCGACCTCGGGGACTGGCTTTTATCACCATCATTCCCTGCAGATCCATGCAGGGTGCTCAGCCTTTTAATCCCGAGCAGTATCTGCCCTTTGCCTTTCAACTGCAGGTATCACTAACGTCTGACATGAAGGTTTTCAGTGCCTCGACCCTACGAGAGCTGACACATCCCCCAGCCTCTTGCAGGTGCAACACCCAGCCCCACACTCACCCGGACCAGGCTGGGTGCCACACTCGTGCACGGGATCCTCACGTGCTTCAGGCACTTCTCATGAGACATGAAATTGCAGACTGTGGGAATGAGCACTGTGTGAGTTGGCCCCTGTCCTACCCAATGGCTGTCCTACCCAGGAAGTTAGAGGCCCCAGGGCAATGACTGCCATACCCACCATGCTGCACCAGGGGCCCTGTGGTCCTCGAGTTCCCCCACCACCCTGCCCACTCATTGGAGAGAGCCTGCAGCCCAGGAGCCCAGGAGCAAGAACCTGGGTGGTCCTGACCATCCTGGAGGACAATGAGTGTATCCTCTCATCCAGAGAGCAGTCCCTCCCCTTCGCACGTAGGCCCAGCACTCCTCCTGCCTCTGCAGTTGGGCCTCTCAAGGGGCAGCCCTGGGCTCACCAGGTTCGCCAGGTGGCAGGGGCTTCTCGGCCTTCGGCAGATTGGCTTTACCAAGGACATCTGTGTCTCACTCCCCCGAAACTACGCATACCCCTAATTGTCCCTGCTACGTGCTGTGCACCGTGCCTGAGACCGAGAGCCACCCAAGGCAGGTGAGGGCTCTGGGAGGCAGGAGCCGCTGGGGAGTGGACAGCCCCAAGCCTCCCAAGGAGCTCTGGCTGTGTGCATAGGACCCAGGGAGCACCTGAGCCGGCGGGGTGCTCAGGAGGGCATAAGAGGAGCAAGCGCCACACCCCAGCAGTAAAACAGACAGGAGGGTGGGGCCGGGGCAGAAGGGAGGGCAGGAACCCTGGGCTGGGGCAAAGGCTGCGGGGGCTGGGAGTGGGCAGGGCACCCAGTGACACAACTGCCAAGACAGCCCCGGGTGAAGGTTGTGCCACGGAGCCCCAGGCAGTCCAGCTGGGACAGGGAGCTCTTCCAGAAGGCCCCGCTGGTGCCGCCCTTCACCTGCTGCAGCCCTAGCCACCCCAGTCTCCAGATGGGACCGGGAGAAGCTTCTCCTGGCAGCTTAAGAGAAAAGCTCTGGAAGCAGGCCAGGGTCCACCGAGAGAAGGGGGGACAGGCAGCACCCAGGTCCCTCCTCTGCCATGGAGACAGGGCCTGCTCACCCCACGCCCCACGCTTGGGTCTCCTGGCGGGGAGGGTGCCCTCCTTCCCATACCGCTGCTGGCCCCTCTTCCACGGGTGCTGCCCAGGAGGGCCCTTTTGCCCCCTCCGAAGGGGGAGGGGACCCGGAGTCTGGCCTCAAGTCGGGAGCTGCCTCAGCCACACATGCACACTCCCCACCTCTGGGGAAGCCCCTGGCATCCCCAGGCAGCAGGCATGGCTGTGCCATGCTCTGACGTGACAAAGAAGCTGGCGGGCCAGGCCACCTTGTGCAGCCCTGGGGGTCAGAACAACCATGCCGTTTCCACCACAGACGACATCCCCGTGTGAGGGGACAGTCTCCTCTGCGGACCCTGACCTGAGTGGACCCCTATCCCCAGAGAAAGGCCTGAGGCTAAGGATAGCCCCTCCCACCTCAGCGTCCCTGGCCAGGACACAGTAAGTGTCAAACGTCCAGAACTCCGGTCCTGTCCCTCGCTCCCTCCAGAGGCTGGGCTGTGGTCCCCCTGTCCCTCGCTCCCTCCAGAGGCTGGGCTGTGGTCCCCCTGTCCCTCGCTCCCTCCAGAGGCTGGGCTGTAGTCCCCGGGGCCCGCCTGCTTGCCGCGGGGGAAGATGAGAGCCAGCCCTGGGAGCACCCGGGCCCAGAACAGGGAAGGGCTGTCCTCACCCCAGCAAGAGCTGGGCAGCTGGGTGGAGCAGGGCTGGGACACGCGCACCGGGACGGCAGGGCCCGGCCTGGCTCTCCAGGAGGCTGGGACTCTGGGCCACAGCATGAGAAGGGCTAGGGCCAGGGGCCCAGGCCAGCCCTGCTTAGCCACACCTGCTGCCCCAGCCACTGGGAGAGGAAGCCGGCCATGGGGACCCCAGCTGAGGTCCCGCTCGCATCAGGCACAGCCCCTGGGTCGCAGCCATCGCGCGGCACTATGGAGATGCTGTCCGCACCTCCCAGGTGAGGAAGCCCGCAGCCTGGAGCGGCCCCACGGCGCACAGGCCCCGGCCGCCCCACGAAGGCACGTCCCGCGAGCAGGGCTGGGACCCCGCCCTCCACTCCCCCGAAAGCGCCGGTGCCACCTCCGCTCAGGCTCCCGCCCACGGGGCAGAGGCAGGGCTGCAGCCGGGTAGGCATCGGGCCCGGGCGCTCACCGTCGCACAGGAAGCCGGCCAGCCCCCAGATGAAGTCGGAGCAGAGGTGGCAGAAGGTGGGCTTGGTGAGCGTCACCTTCCGGAAGCTGTGTCCCGGCGCGGCAGCGGGGCCCGGGGCTCTGACGCCCGCCCGCTCGGGTCCCGGCCCCGGCCCCGGCCCCGGGCGCGCGCGGCCTCCTGAGCCCAGCACGGGGCTGCAGGCCGGGCTGCCGGGGCGCGGGGAGCCGCCGCCCAGCCAGGCGCGGGCCCCGGGCTCGGCCGCCGCCGCCATTCCCGGCCCGAGCGGCCCGAGCCCCTTTAGGTCCGCGCCGGGGGTACAGGAGCCGCCGCTCCACGGCCCGGTACACTGCTTCCGACTGCGCCTGCCCCACTGCGCAGGCGCGGGCCGCGGGGCGGGGCGGGGCGCTGCTGGTGGGCGGATCTGGGGGCTGGCGGGGCGGGGCCTGCTAAGGGTCGCAGCCGTGCCCCGTCGATGAGCGGGGCTGGGGGCGGGCCCTGTGATCGGGCGGGGCGGGGCCTGCTAAGGGGCGGGGCCTGTGCGCGGAGGCCGCTCGCGAACCAGCCGTGGGGAACTGGTCCACGTGGGCTCGGTTTGACCGCAGCCGGGCCAGACTTCTCCGGACGCCGCACGCGCGGCGTTGTACCTGCGGGGTCCCGGCCCGCGGCTGCGCAGACAGGCGCCTCCCACGCGAGACGCGGATGCTGTCCGAGGCCCCCGGCCGCGCAGGACGCCCCCGGCGAGGGGCAGCGCTGCGGGCCTCCCACAGTGGGTCCCGGAAAGCGGGGTTTGCGGTGCTTGGGCGGCTCCGTCCGTGGGGTCTTCGCACGCGCAGACTTGGCCCTGCCCGAGGCCCAGGACCCCCGGCGCCCGACCGCTGTCCTCACTGCAACGGGGGACCCGCCTGCGGCCCGGGGCTGTCCGCTCGCGACCCCCACCCGGGCCTCACGCCGAGCGCCCAGCTCTCCTGCCTCGTGCGCGCCACGGGTCTTGTTCAGGTGGCGCTGGTGTCCTTTGAGAGCCGCGTCCACGCGGGTCACCCCTCCCCGCCGCTGGCAGCAGTCTGGGTCCTTGCCCCCGTGGGCCTAACTGTGGATAGGAGTCTGCGAAGCGGGGGACCCCACCCCGGGCCACCGAGCGGGGACCTGCAGAGGGCAGGGCTCCAGGGCCATCGCAGCAGGCGGTCTCAGGGGGCAGGAAGAGCAGGGAAGGGCCTGTGGGGAGACGCCTGAAAGGGGCTGGGGGCTGTGGACTCTGGAGGGAAGGAGCCGGGAGACCTGTCCTAGGGGCTGTGCTGGTGAGGGCACCCAGACCACAGGGGATTCCAGGAATGGAGGGTGAGCCGGGGACCCAGTCTGAGGAGGGAGGAGCAGGCCCCTGAGATGGTGAGGGGGGAGACGCAGTCCTCAACCAGGGAGGATTCTGTTTGTCCAGAAGCTGCTGGTTGAGCTGCTGGGGTAGGACCCTGGGTGGACCCCAGGGTAAAGGGAATGCAGCCAAAGCTTCAGGGAACCTTCACCCTCCAGGAGCTGCGCTCTGGGACAGACAGCACCCTGAAGAATGAGGGCTGCCTGGGGGCAGCAGGAAGGCGTCCAGGCGGAAAGCCGGAGCAGAGGCCCTGTGGCAGGGTGCTCCGCAGAAATCCTTTCCTGATGCCCACCTATGCTGGGAGGCCCGGAGTCACCACCCCTGCATTCCCTGTCTCCTGTGCCAGACCCCACCCCGAGCCTGCCCTCAGCCAGGCCCCAAGACCCCCTGTGCCTGGGCCCTGGGAGAGCTAGGACCCAGCCTTGTGGCCCATGAGGAGGAGGTGGCTCACTGAGCCCGTGGTGCTCATGGCAGTGAACCACGGTGCAAACTGCAGCTGGCTTCTGAGGAAAAACTGTTTAAGGACATACCTTTCTCCATTTAGGAGACAGTGGAGAGCATCAAAAACATCTTAAAAAGGAAAACCCTCATCTACCATTTCTGCCAGAACTTTCTGCTTTCTGACGCACACGTTAATTAAAATGGCGGGCAAAGCATCCTTCCAGCAAACACTCCACGGACTTCCTAGAACGTCCTCCAAAGCCACCAGCAGCTTCTCGCTGAAGGGGCCTTAAAACTTTGAATCCGCTCTCCCTCTCCCTCTCCCTCTCCCTCTCCCTCCACGGTCTCCTTCCACGGTCTCCCTCTGATGCCGAGCCAAAGCTGGACGGTACTGCCGCCATCTCGGCTCACTGCAACCTCCCTGCCTGATTCTCCTGCCTCAGCCTGCCGAGTGCCTGCCATTGCAGGTGCGCGCCGCCACGCCTGACTGGTTTTCGTGTTTTTTTTGGTGGAGATGGGGTTTTGCTGTGTTGGCCGGGCTGGTCTCCAGCTCCTAACCGCGAGTGATCCGCCAGCCTCGGCCTCCCGAGGTGCCGGGATTGCAGACGGAGTCTCGTTCACTCAGTGCTCAATGGTGCCCAGGCTGGAGTGAAGTGGCGTGATCTCGGCTCGCTACAACCTCCACCTCCCAGCCGCCTGCCTTGGCCTCCCAAAGTGCCGAGATTGCAGCCTCTGCCCAGCCGCCACCCCGTCTGGGAAGTGAGGAGCGTCTCTGCCTGGCCCCCCATCGTCTGGGATATGAGGAGCCCCTGTGCCTGGCTGCCCAGTCTGGAAAGTGAGGAGCGTCTCTGCCCGGCCGCCATCCCATCTAGGAAGCGAGGAGCGCCTCTTCCCCGCCGCCTTCCCATCTAGGAAGTGAGGAGCGTCTCTGCCCGGCCGCCCATCGTCTGAGATGTGGGGAGCACCTCTGCCCCGCCGCCCTGTCTGGGATGTGAGGAGCACCTCTGTTGGCCACAACCCTGTCTGGGAGGTGAGGAGCGTCTCTGCCCGGCCGCCCCGTCTGAGAAGTGAGGAAACCCTCTGCCTGGCAACCGCCCTGTCTGAGAAGTGAGGAGCCCCTCCGTCCAGCAGCCACCCCGTCTGGGAAGTGAGGAGCGTCTCCGCCCGGCAGCCGCCCCGTCCGGGAGGTGAGGGGCTCCTCTGCCCGGCCGCCCCTACTGGGAAGTGAGGAGCCCCTCTGCCCGGCCAGCCGCCCCATCCGGGAGGTGAGGGGCGCTTCTGCCCAGCCGCCCCTACTGGGAAGTGAGGAGCCCCTCTGCCCGGCCACGACCCCGTCTGGGAGGTGTGTCCAGCGGCTCATTGGGGATGGGCCATGATGACAATGGCGGTTTTGTGGAATAGAAAGGCGGGAAGGGTGGGGAAAAAATTGAGAAATCGGATGGTTGCCGGGTCTGTGTGGATAGAAGTAGACATGGGAGACTTTTCATTTTGTTCTGTACTAAGAAAAATTCTTCTGCCTTGGAAAAAAAAAAAAAAAACAACAACTTTGAATCCCAGCCTGGACCACGGCACCCGCCACAACGGAGCTTGTCTGCCAGAGGGACAGCTTCTTCTGTGCAGGCCCGTCCACGTCTCCAGGCCTGTGTCTCCCACTCCCTTTCCTGTCTGTCTTGGTCAACGTGGGCTGCCGTGACAGAAGACCACAGACTGGAGGCTTAAACCACAGGAAACGTGTTTCTTACTGCTCTGGAGGATGGGAAGTAGAGATGGGGGTACTGGCATGTTTGGTTCTGGTGAGGGCCTCTCCCCCCACCACTCCCCTGAGGAAACCAGGGTCTAAAGTCTAACCATACTTATGGGTAGAACTGTCCCCCCAAAATTCTATGTTGACATTCCAACCCCCAGCACCTCAGAATGAGACTTGTTTGGAGACAGAGTCTTTACAGAGAAAATCAGGTTAAGGTGCGGTCACAAGGGCGGGCCTCACCCCAGCATGAGGCGCCCTTATGGAAAGGGGATCTGGAGACAGGCATGCAGGGAGAGGCCGTGCGAAGATGAAGGCCGAGGTCAGGGCGGTGCTTTCTCAGGCCAAGGATCACCGAGGGCTGCTGGCCGCCACAGGGAGCTGGGGAGAGGATGGGACCGGTCCTGCCTCGCAGCCTCGGAGGAGCCGGCCATGCAACCGGATCCTAGACTTCTTCACTCTGAGCGTGTGCATGAGTAACTGCGGAAGCACGGTGGGTATTGATTCTGGGGCTTAAACACATTCAGCAAGCTGGTGTATTTGCAGATGCAGGATCTCTGAGCAAGGGGGCTGGCCGGTGCATGTCACATGTGCCTAGACCCTCCATGCAACGGCTCTTAGGGGGTCCTAGTTTTCCTGCCATCCGACTGACCAAGCCTTCCCTTCCACAAGGCGTATGTCCTGTTTAAGCACCTGCCTCCCCTGAGGTCTTAAATAGGTTTCCCTATTGGGAGGGGAGTCTTTTTACGTTTTACATTTACATCTGTGAGCCAGCCAAGACTGATCTGGGGGTGTCGTGTGAGGTGGGTCCAGCTGCTTGTTGGGGGCGCTTTCCCCACAGCTCTGGGAACCTCTGCCACAAGGCAGAGAACCAAGTAAGCACAGGGCTGGAGCTTGCACAGGTTTCGGGCAGCCTGAAGCCAATGGGGATGTCTTTTTTTTTTTTTAGACGGAGTCTTGCTCTTGTTGCCCAGGCTGGAGTGCAGTGGTGCGATCTCCGCTCACTGCAACCTCTGCCTCCCAGGTTCAAGCGATTCTCCTGCCTTAGCCTCCTGAGTAGCTGGGATTACAGGCACGTGCCTCCACAGCTGGCTAATTTTGTATTTTTAGTAGAGACGGGGTTTCTCCATGTTGGTCAGGCTGGTCTCGAACTCCTGACCTCGTGATCCGCCTGCCTCGGCCTTCCAAAGTGTTGGGATTACAGGCGTGAGCCACCATGCCCGGTCTGCATTTCTTCTTAAATAGATCCCCATCAGCAGTCGGGAGTTCGAGACCAGCCTCACCAACATGGAGAAACCCCGTGTCTGCTAAAAATACAAAATTAGCCGGGCATGGTGGCAAGTGCCTGTAATCCCAGCTACTTGGGAGGCTGAGGCAGGAGAATCACTTGAACCCGGGAGGCGGAGGTTGCAGTGAGCCGAGATCGTGCCACTGCTCTCCAGCCTGGGCACCAAGAGCGAAACTCCATCTCAAAAAAAAAAATGACAGAAAAATGAAAAAAGAAGAAGGAATGCAAAATAACTATTATAAAATTAGATGCCGGCCGGGCACGGTGGCTCACGCTTGTAATCCCAACAGTTTGGGAGGCCGAGGCAGGCGGATGGCCTGAGGTCAGGAGTTGGAGACTATCCTGGCCAACATGGCTAAACCCGGTCTCTACTAAAAATATAAAAATTAGCCGGGCGTGGTGGTGTGTGCCTGTAATTCCAGCTGCTCGGGAGGCTGAGACAGAAGAAACACTTGAACCCAGAAGGCGGAGGATGCAGTGAGCTGAGATTGCACCACTGCACTCCAGCCTGGGTAACAGAGCAAGACCTCCGTCTCAAAAAAAGAAAAAAATAAGGCCGGGCGTGGTGGCTCACACCTGTAATCCCAGTACTTTGGGAGGCCGAGGCAGGCGAATCACAAGGTCAGGAGTTCGAGACCAGCCTGGCCAACATGGTGAAACCCCGTCTCTACTAAAAATACAAAAAATTAGCTGGGCGTGCCGGTGGGCGCCTGTAATCCCAGCTACTTGGGAGGCTGAGGCAGGAGAATTGCTTGAACCCGGGAGGCGGAGGTTGCAGTGAGCCAAGATCGTGCCACTGCACTCCAGCCTGGAGGACAGTGCGAGACTCTGTCTCAAAAATAAATAAATAAATAAAAAGAATAAAATAAAATTAGATGCAAGAAGAAATAATAAATTAAGCATGTTTTAAAACTTGACTAATAGCACAAGCAGCACAAAATCCAGAAAATACCGAGATTTTTTATTCATAACAGCTTGCTAGGATACCCTTTCATCCACTTTTTTATTGTCTCTTTTTACAATTTTGCAATATCATCTTCCACAGAGGAAAGAGGAAGACGAAAGGTAATCCTCAGGCCCACTAGCATGGCTGGTTTTTAAAAGTGTGCTTTGCTTTACAGAAATGTACTGATGACTGGTTACATCATCCACATGGTAAAGCCTGTTGTGAAATTTGGAGGACGCTTGCTCAGGCTTCTCTCCTCTGCAGGCTGGCCAGGTTGAGGGGCTGCCTTTTTTCCCCAGGTGCTGATCCAAGCCTCCCTCTGGAATAAGCTGTATCCACCGGCTTCTCGTGAGGCTGGTGTGAGGGTCCCGCATTCTCGATGTCGTTGATGTCGGCATTTCCTGTTAAATCAGCAAGATCTTTCCTCCTCTTCCAGAAGTTCCTGCGAGTCACTCCTCTGTGTTAATTGCCATGGGTGTTGCTGGAAGCTGTTTCTACCCCAGGACGTCTGGAAGGAAGTGGCCGGGAAGGGCATGGTGGAGGCCGCTGACCCGCTGACGTCTCCACAGCCAAACGTCCCCCTGCCGGGCCCCAAAGTGCCCACTGCCTCTCCAGTGCCAGCCCAGCAAGAGAGGAAGCGGAGGCGGGGTGGGAGCCCTTGTGGTTAAGGAATTTTGGCTTAGCACCTTTTACAAAACCGTGTGCTGCCTTGGAAGGGGATCTACCAGCTTCCCGTGAATCCGTCCCACTGTGTGGACCTGCTATGCCAGTGCCATGACGTGGACCAGGCTGGCACAAGCCCTCTGCAGGTCCACCTGTTGGCAGCGCCACACTCCCTCCCGAGGCAAAGCTACTGGCCCCTTCTAGCTTCCAGAGCTGATTTCCAGAGGCCGCACACCTTTGTTCTAAAATTTGTACCTGGGCTTAGTTTTAGTCAGGTGCGGTAAGGTGGCAGACGTGGAGACAACTTCCTGCAAAGAAGATACATTACATTTCCCAAGAGAAGGGGGCACAGCACACAGGGCCACGGAGTGGAGGGAGCCCCAGTTCATGGGGGCTCTGCGGGAAGGGCAAATGAGGCAGGGTGGACACTGCCAGGTGAGATCAGGACGGGATTGGAGTTGGAGCGACTTCCCTGGGCCCTGGGCTCGGCAGCCCCTGGTCGGCCAGGACCTCGCCCTGGGGTGACTGAGGGCAGGGACACTGGCTTTGTGTGACTGTGAGAAGGAGGCACCTGTGGGCTCTGGAGGGGTGATCTCTCCAGGATCAAGACGCCCAAGGCCAGTGCATTAAGAATACAGAAAATAGGCTGGGTGCGGTGGCTCACGCCTATAATCCCAGCACTTTGGGAGGCTGAAGTGGGCAGATCACCTGAGGTCAAGAGATCGAGACCATCCTGGCCAACATGGTGAAACCCTCTCTCCACTAAAAATACAAAAATTAGCCAGGAATGGTGGCGGGCGCCTGTAGTCCCAGCTACTTGGGAGGCTGAGGCAGGAGAATCGCTTGAACCCGGGAGGTGGAGGCTGCAGTGAGCCAGGATCGCGCCACTGCACTCCAGCCTGGGCAACAAGAGCGAAACTCCATCTCAAAAAAAAAAAAAAAAAAGTGCTGTTAATACAATCAGGATGGACAGGAAGTAAAGAGGAAAAAATTCTACGCACCTTGAGATATAAGCCAGATTTTTAAGACGAAAACCAAGATTTTGTTTAAGAAAAAAAGAAGGAAGGATTACGCTGCAGACGGGCCATTCTAGGGGGCAGCTTCCCTCCCCTCCTTCCCTCTTATCAGCCAGAGACAGAAACTAAAAACCAGGGTTTAGGGCAGATGAAAGCCTAAACAGAAAGAAGGATGGGGGTCGGGAGAAAGGAAAAAACAGCAACTGCCTAGATACAAGCAGAGAAGACAAAGGCCTGATTTTGCCTGTTCTTTTACCAGGAAAAAATAACGGGTGCCTCACGGCGGGTTTTCACAATCTCGAGGCTGCCATCACCCCTTAGGCCGCACACCCTGAGACCCAGCAGGGTCTCAACCAGCGACTCCCCAGTCAGCAACCGGCCAGCGTGCGTCACGTCACGCAGACACGGCCTCTGCTCCACTCAGGGCCCGTTTCAGCCACCTGGAAGCCGCAGTTCACCGCCACCTCCAAGGACACAGCCCACCTTTTCCAGGCTGCGCCGGGACCTCCACTGACCAGGCCTTCTTCAGAGGCGCGGGCCCACGTGCATGGAGAGCACCCTCCTACTGACACGCAGTCCAGTATCTTTTCGTTCTTTTTGGGTTCTGGTGGCAACATATTCCTCGTTTCCAAATTTTACGTCCAAATAAAAACCAGCCAGGCGTGGTGGCTCATGCCTGTAATCCCAGCACTTTGGGAGGCTGAGGTGGGAGGATCACTTGAGGTCAGGAGTTCTAAACCAGCCCGGGCAAGACAGAGGGACCCTTAGCCCGGACAACAGAGAGGGACCCTATCTACAATCAATCAATCAATCAATAATTAGCCAGGCATGTGCTGCCTGCAGTCCCAGGTACTCAGGAGACTGAGGTGGGAGGCCTGCTTGAGCCTGAGAGGTCGAGGCTGTAGTGAGCCGTGATCGCGCCACTGCACTCCAGCCTAGGGGACAGAGCAAGACCCCGTCTAAAAACAAAATGCATTAAAATCTGCAGGCACTCTCGTTAGTGCTCTCAGAGACTCCACTGTAGAGGCATTGGCAGCCTCTTCTTAGCCGGCTGGCGTCTCTCAGCCACTCCTGACAGCCGTAAGCTGCCCAGCGGCTTCTGATGCAAGAACCAGCAAGAACCTGGCCTTGTGCCGTCCACTCTTTTTTTTTCTTTTTGAGACGGAGTCTCACTCTGTTGCCCAGGCTGGAGTGCAGTGGCGCGATCTCAGCTTGCTGCAAGCTCGGTGCACTTCCCGGGTTCACGCCATTCTCCTGCCTCAGCCTCCCAAGTAGCTGGGACTACAGGCACCCACCACCACACCCGGCTAATTTTTTGTATTTTTAGTAGAGACGAGTTTTCACCGTGTTAGCCAGGATGGTCTCTATCTCCTGACCTCATGATCCGCCCGTCTCGGCCTCCCAAAGTGCTGGTATTACAGGCATGAGCCAGCGCGCCTGGCCCAGTGCCGTCCACTCTTAAAACCACAAGTGACTGGCTGACCCCAGGCTCTCCTGGGACAGAGGCTGTCACAGACCCTGAGCCTCTGGCCTCATCCCCAGCTGCCTGTATGCACTGGGTCACAGGACCAGCACCCCACAAGCTCAGCTTGGCCTCAGAGAGGCCTCTCTAGGCAGGATGGAGGCAAAGCTGCCCCTTGCTGTCTTCCATCTGTGGGAGGGGGCGGCTTCCCCTGTCCTCGGTGGCTTGCCGGATGCCAAGTGTGGGAGGAGGTCACCTCCCGTAAACCCCTGGGCTGCCTGGCAAGCCCTGTGGGACCCTCTGAGCGAAGAGAAATGGGTGCGTGCGTGAGGGTACGGTGCTGCTGGCCACACTGCTGGGGAGCCCGGTGGACGGCTGCTGCTCCACCCCTGCCCGGACGCCCCCAGTGAAAGGCGGACCTGGAAGCAATGTGCCAGGCGTGGTCTCAGCCCTGAGGGCCTCCGCCGACCAGTGGCTTCTTCCCCACGTTTATTATAAGCCACTGGGCCATTGCCCAAAAGGTGTCCCCTGCAGGGTAGAGACCTGTGTGAATCTCTTGCCTCACAGAGCCCCAAAATCTAAATCGGAATCGCACACGTCTCTACACACAGCAAGGCCTTCCTCCTGGCCTGTCGTGGCCGGGTCCGTGTGTCTCCCCACACCTCACTGAAATAAACCCTGGGGACACATTTTAGAACAATCTTTCAATCTCTCCTGAGGCCGTTACAGCCTCCTCTGTGTCAAACCCCCCTCCGTCTCCCCTGTATAGGAACACTGGGATTACACTCAGGGCCCACTCGGATAACTAGAATCATCTCTACGTCTTGGATGCTTCACGGAACCATGCCTGCAGGCGCTCGCCATGTGAGGCGACAGGCGCGGGCCTGGACAGGACGGAGGGCGTCTTCAGGAGGCTCTCCTCCCCTCTCACTTCACTTTTCCCATACAGCACCTGTGCCACTCTTGCTGTAAATCCTAATTCCCCAGAAATATGTGAAACCCTGTAACATGATTGTT
This sequence comes from Homo sapiens, assembly GCF_000001405.40. Classification (NCBI taxonomy): domain Eukaryota; kingdom Metazoa; phylum Chordata; class Mammalia; order Primates; family Hominidae; genus Homo; species Homo sapiens. Next base: position 983,155 of record NC_000004.12, read on the forward strand.
TTATGCGGTTACGATTCATTAGGTTTATACACAATATACCGTTTCTGTTGCTTTTGTTGGGGTTCAGAAAATGTCACCCAGAGTGAAGGCCTTGGAAGCCAGGCCTTCTCCTGCCTCCTGTCTCTGGCCCCTCATTGTCCCAGGCAGGTCGTAGAAACCTAAGCCCCTTTTCCCCAAAGCCAGCCATAAACCTAAAAGTATGACTCTAATAACTTTTCTCTGTCTTTCTGTGTAAAAACTGGCCATAAAGGAATTCTCTGGCCTGCCTTGTTTGACTGTATGTGGTCAGACCCCTATTCCGGGGCGTTGTGCCCCCACCCAGCAGGAGGGAGAGCTGCAGAGAGAGGCCTCCAGGAACCGAAGCAGATGGGCCTCGCTGGGCTCCCCCAGGAGTCTGTTAGCCTGTCAGGTCTTAACCTTTCGTCCAATCCTATTTCCAGATTCACAGAACCTGAGTATAAAAATGTGGTTTCCCCTGCGCCTTTAGGTCTTTGCTCTGAAAGCTGCTGTGTCACATAAAACTACAATCCAAGAAATCTGTGTACCCTTTTAGTGAAACTTCAGAAAGGCAGGGGAGGTTTTCCCTTCCCCCCGCACTCTTCACTTCTTCCTCTGCACCTCTGAGCTGGGATTTGGGACATCATTCTTTCTACTTGAAGAACACCATTTAATTTTGTCTTTTCTTTTTGAAACAGGGTCTCACTCTGTTGCCCAGGCTGGAGTGCAGTGACGTGATCTTGGTTCACTGCAGCCTCTGCCTCCCAGGTTAAAGCAATTCTCCTGCCTCAGCCTCCTGAGTAGCTGGGATTACAGACGCATGCCACCACGCCCGGCTAATTTTTGTATTTTTGGTAGAGACAGGGTTTCACCATGTTGGCCAGGCTGGTCTCGAACTCCTGACCTCAGGTGATCTGCCCGCCTCAGCCTCCCAAAGTGCTGGGATTACAGGCATGAGCCACCTTGCTCAGCCTAGTTGGATTTAATTTGCTGTTAAACCAATTCGTTATCAGCTTTACTGAGATATGATTTACATACAATAAAATGAAGCAAGTTCAAGTGTATCATTCAATAAATTTTTACTAAGTTTCATGAGGTTTTAATATTTTTTTCAATGTTTTCATTTTGAAAAATTTCAAACTCACAGAAAAGTTGCAATAACAGTATATAGTTTTCACCCAGGTTCACCAACTGTTAATATTTTGCTACCTTTGCTTTTATCTCAGTCTCTGTATGTAATCTAAATTTATTGTTTTGCTTTAATTTCCAGAGCAACTTTGGTTACAAATCTATTGATTCTTCACCTCTAAACCCTTCAGCATGGATCACAAATGAACAAAAAATCTCCATTCACAACCGTGATGCAATCATTGAGTCGTTTAATAATTCTGGAGTTTGACCCAGCGCGGTGGCTCATGCCTATAATCCCAGCACTTTGGGAGGCCGAGACAGGTGGATCATTCGAGGTCAGGAGGTCGAGACCAGCCTGGCCAGGATGGTAAAACGCTGTCTCTACTGAAAATACAAAAATTGGCTGGGCGTGGTGGCTCATGCCTGTAATCCCAGCTACTCAGGAGGCTGAGGCAGAGGTTGCAATGAGCTGAGATCGCACCACTGCACTCCAGCCTGGACAACAGAGTGAGACTTCGTTTAAAAAAACAAAAAACAAAAACAAAAAAAATTCTGGAGTTTATCATTGGTAGAATTTTGTTGCACAATGTACAAGGCATATTCCAAATTGTGAATGTCCCCATCATGCACTTTGTAATAATTTTTCCTGACCCGGATCCATTCCAGCACCGTGCAGTGAGGACTTCTGTCTGTTTTTGTTTTGTTTTACCTTCCTCCAGGGAAGGTGTACTTTTCTGTCCACAGGTGTCCCGGTGAGCGGCTCACCTTAATTCTCTCAGGGCTTGAGGTGATTTAAGGCTGGCTTCAGTCCCCACAAAGACAATTCTGTTGCTGGTTTACCTTTGCTTTTAGGGGATAGAACTTTGGGGTCCCAAGAAAAACCCAAAGTCTTTACCAGGCCCCCCGCCTGAGCCTCGACTTCTGTCCTGTGGCCACAGTGTGAGGAACGAACGCAGCAGCGTGTCGCCATGTCTTGTGTGGCTGGGATACGCTGCAGGGGTGTGGAGTCGCCGCCCCAAAGCGGGCCCCGCCCCCTCCCGGCTTGTCCCTGCAGAGCCCCGAGGCCTCAGAGGCTCCTCAGAGCTCCCAGTGCCCTGGACGGTTCCGTTCAGCGCTCTCCAGTTCTGATGGTTGCTCTCAGGAGGCGGCTGGTCTGAAACAATTCAGTTTCCATTGCTGTGTCCTGCACCACGGTGTGGGACTGGTGGTTTCTTACTGTTTTTCTCAGTTCTCTGACGCTTTGAGGAATTGTTTTTAAAGCGAGTTATCCATCATTTTAGTTGTTTTCTCTGGGGTCGTTGGACTGAGGGTCTTACCCCGCTGTTCCTGGAGACAGTTCTGTACTTGCATGGTTTCTCTCGCCTTTCCCTCCCTTTCTTACTTTTTAGTTTCTTAATGAATTTTTTTGTATTATGTTTTTCCTCCTTGCTAATTTGGAATATATACACACTATTTCACTTTTAAATGGCTAATCACTTTTAATGCAATTTCAACATAAGAAGACCTAATGTTAAGCAATATTTTAACCCCTCTCCCCAAAATAAAAAGACCCAGAACACTGTAACTCTAATTATCCTTCTCCCAACTTAGAGAGGATTATTGTCCAGTATTTTCGTTTTGTTAGTAGACTGTTCTTTTTTTCTTTTCTTTTTTTAGAGATGGGGTCTCATTTTGTCAACCAGGCTGGAATGTAGTGGTGTGATCATGGCCCGTCTCAGCCTTGAACTCCTAAGCTCAAGCAATCTCCCACCTCAATTTCGTGGGTAGCTGGGCCTCACAGGCATATACCATCGCATCTGGCTAAATTTTTTTTTTGTACAGATGGGGTCTTGGTACATCTCCCAGGCCGATTTCAAACTCCAGGCCTCAAGTGATCCTCCCGTGTTGGCCTGCAATTCCAAAGTGCTGGGATTGCAGGTGTGAGCCACCGCACCAAGCCTGTTCTTTCCATTATTATTTTTATACAATGTTTGCTTGGATTCACACATGCATACATGGACTACACATGTACTACAGTTGTCCCATGGTATCCTCGGGGTATTGGTTCCAGGACCCTCCCAGATACCAAAATTTGCAGGTGCTCAAGTACTTGATATAAAATGGCACAGTATTTGCACATTACCTACGCACATCCTACTGTGTAGTTTAAATCAAGATTACTTATAGTCCCTAAAACAATGTAAATGCTCTGTAAATAGCTGTTATACTGTATTGTTTTAAAATATGTATTATTTCGTATTGCTTTGGCTTTAAAACAATATTTTCAGTCTGCTTGGTTGAATCCATGGATCTGAAGCCAAGTGTAAGGAGGGCCCAGTGTGCTCTTCTGGGGTAATTCTCCTTCCTGCTAAAGCGCACGCTTTACTCAGGAGGCTGGGGTGAGAAAATCGCTGAAGCCCCGGAGATGGAGGTTGCAGTGAGCTGAGATCGCGCCACTGCACCTCAGCCTGGGCGACAAAGCAAGACTCTGTCTCAAAAACACACAAAAACAGAGAAAAACAAGACAGTAATGGCTCAACTCACATAGCACCAACGGGCGAAGCGTTCTTCTGAGCGCTTTCCGAGTCATCGGTCCTCAGAGCAGCCCCTGAGGCCCGCAAGGAAGCGGGGCTCCAAGCCCTGCCGTGCTCCCGGCTCCCCGAGGCTCCCCGAGGCCACCCAACCCCTCCCACCCGGCCATCGCCCCCTCACCAAGGCCCCGCCCCGCGGCGGCGGTCACATGGGGTGCGCGCCCAGACTCCGACCCGGAGGCGGAACCGGCAGTGCAGCCCGAAGCCCCGCAGTCCCCGAGCACGCGTGGCCATGCGTCCCCTGCGCCCCCGCGCCGCGCTGCTGGCGCTCCTGGCCTCGCTCCTGGCCGCGCCCCCGGTGGCCCCGGCCGAGGCCCCGCACCTGGTGCATGTGGACGCGGCCCGCGCGCTGTGGCCCCTGCGGCGCTTCTGGAGGAGCACAGGCTTCTGGTGAGCGCTCCGCGGCCTCCGGGACCCCCTGGCCGCACGGGGAGAGCTCGGGCGCCCCCTGACTGCGCACTGTGAGAGCTTCAGAGACCGGAGCTCCCTCCTCTGGGGCCCTGGCTCTCCCGGGCCCGCCCCCCGCCGTGTTTGTGGGTGGGTCCTCCACCTGAGTGGGCGCCGGGGCGTGAGCCTGGGCCGCCCCCTGCAGCCCAGGCCGATGCCCGGGATCCTGCTCTTTGAGGTAAACCAGGAGTCTCCCCTGGGAGTGGACGGCCCTGCAGCGGGACCTGGCCTGCCTGTCCCATTCCTTCCACCTAGAGCTGAGGTACCCGCCTTCCTGGCAGGGCCAGGGCCAGGGCTGGCGTTGGCCCCTCGTCTTACTGCTGCTGCCGTTCCCCATGAAGATGGGACCTCCCCACATTCCTGGCCCTAAGGGTCATTTTATTAGTCACTGAACGCACGGGCAGCGCCTGGATCCTGCGCCCGGGCAGTCCTGGGCTTGAACGTGTGTGTCAGCCGCGCTGCCAGCCATGCTGAGGCTCGGGACTGAGCCGCCCCTTTGTTGTCCCCAGCCCCCCGCTGCCACACAGCCAGGCTGACCAGTACGTCCTCAGCTGGGACCAGCAGCTCAACCTCGCCTATGTGGGCGCCGTCCCTCACCGCGGCATCAAGCAGGTCCGGACCCACTGGCTGCTGGAGCTTGTCACCACCAGGTGGGCGGCGGGCAGGGTCTGGGCGTCCCAGAGCCCCTTACAGAGGCACAGATGGGAGGGGAGGGCTGGGGGCTGCTCGGAAGACCCCTTGTTCCCCCACCTCCCGCCGAAGCACCCTGTTGGGGAGAGCGTGTCCTTGCTGGCTGTGCTGGGGTGAGGGCTGTGTGCTGGAGGGAGCCCCTGCATGGGGCACGGTGGGCTTCCTGCAGGTCTCCCTGCAGGCTCAGGGTTGGCTGCGCCGCACCTGGCTCCTGGTGCACCCGTGAGCATCCCTGTGTGTGTCTGCTGGCCAGGCTGGGTAGGGCCACTGCACCTGAGGGCTGAGCTGAGGTCTCATCGGTCACAGCACCCTGGGCCCTGACGCTGGTGCAGGTGGCCACCCTGTGAGGGGGAGGCACGAGGTGTGAGGGGCACTTGGGTGTGTGGGGCCTTCTGGAAACACAGAGACCCTCGTGCACTTGGCCAGAGCCGCTGGCTCCTACCAGCAGGGTGGGCACCGGGCAGGCCTGGGCATAGGGAGTCCTCTTGGCACCTTGGAGGCTGCATGATGGCGGGGGACCCTTGTTCAAATAAGATGTCAACCCTGAGCGTCAGGTCAGGCCCATCCCTCCTGAGCTGAGGGACGGTGCATTGGGGCCCAGCCAGCACTGTGGGCCAGCCTGTCTCGGAGGCAGAGGTTCTTGATTTCTGAGTGTTTGGGTCCTGCGTGTGATCAGAGGGCCTCCTTTCCCAGTTGGGGTTCCCCGGTTTCCCCAGGGCAGCTGTGGCACAAGAGTGCAGCTCTTGGGTGGCTCCTCCCTGGGAAGGGTCTCAGCAGTGGCTTGCAGACGTCTGCTGTGGGTCCCCAGGAGGGAGCAGAGGCTGCTGGGCAGGCCTGGCCCTGCTACAGATGGGCATCGGTGGCCTCCAGCTCCCTGTGGCGGGCTCGTGCTGTCTGCACGGCATCGTGCACACTGAGGAACAGCTGCTCCTCCTCAGCCGTGTCCCCGGGGCCCTCCCCGAGGAAGCCTCCTCTGCTCAGAATGTCTCTCACAGGCGGGCTGCAGCAGGCTAGCAGCAGGCTGATGCCCAGGGCCCCGTAGTCTCGGCGCAGGTCCTGCAGCGTGCTCACACCGGCTGCGTCTAGGAACAGCAGCGGGGCGCAGTCGATGACCACTGTGTGGAAGCCGGCCGCTGCGGGCACCAGCGCAGCCCTGGTGCTAACCGGGCCCAGGTCCTCGCCCTGGGCAGGGCCTCCCTCACCGACCCCCGTCTCTGAGCCCCCCTCCTTCCTCCTGGCAGCCATGCACCCTGCGTCCAGCCCCGTGAGGCTGTAGAGTGACTGCAGGAAGAAGTCCTTGTTGGCATAGTACAGCGGCCCCCCAAAGCGGAACACCCGCACGCCGGGCTCAGGGACGAGGCCCTCGAACTCTGTGGCATCCTCGTAGAAGGCCGTGTCCCCGATGCGGGCCAGCAGGGCGGTGCGTGGGCGTTGGGTGCGGCCGGCCAGGCTGAGCAGCGAGAGGATGACGCCAGCCAGCAGCCCGGCCTCTGTGCTGACCAGCATACAGGTGGCCGCGGTGCCTGCCCAGACCAGCGCGTCAGCCGGGCTCATCCGCCACAGCCGCGGGAGGTCCCACACCTTGCGCAGGGCCCCCCGCAGGCTGACCACGATGACGCAGGCCAGCACGCTTCGCTGTAGGTCGTGGAACAGCGGTGCCAGCGCCAGCAGCACCAGCAGCACCACGGTGGCGCTGACCACGCTGGACAGCTGTGTCCGGCAGCCAGTGGCTGTCTTCACCAGGCTCTTGGCCAGGGCGGCGCTGGTGGCGAAGCAGTGGAGGAAGGCGGGTAGCACGTTGCAGCAGCCCACAGCCAGCAGCTCCTGGTTGGCACGCACAGAGTAGCCGTGACTGCGGGCGAACATCTCCGCCAGCGAGATGGAGAAGGCGGCAGCCACGAGGGCCAGGGCCACGGCATCCAAAGCCACACGCTGCATCAGCCTGGGCTCTGGGACCTGAGGGGGCATGAAACCCGTGGGGATGTCGCCAGCCACGCTCGAGCCAAAGCGCTTGTGGAGCTGCCCGAAGTGCGACACGAGTGTGGCCACCACGATGACCAGCAGCTCCGTGGGCAGCGGCACCCTCAGGCGGTGTCGGTAGCGGTCTGAGAGCTCCTTCGCGGCTAGCAGCACCGCCAGGCACACCGTGCTGGTGACCACGTCGCACACGTTGGCCTGCCCGGCGCCGCGCAGCAGGCTCAGCCATGTGAGGACCACCATGCCGGGCCCCTGGTGCCGCGGGATCCGCACGCCCAGCAGGTGTTTGAGCTGCGAGGTCAGGATGGTCACGGAGGCCCCCATGGCAAAGCCATCGAGCAGTGGCTGTGAGAGGTAGGCGGACACGAAGCCCAGCCGGAGGACGCCCATGAGGACCTGTGGACGGAGTGCGGTCAGGCCAGCAGGCGCCTGGCGGGAGCCACCTGCCCCTCACCAGCACCTGGCATGGCCCGAGGGGTGGTGGTCACGGCACAGGACCTGACAATTCTGTGTTGCGGCCCCGTGTGTTCCAAACCAGACTCCTCACACGGGCCTGAGTTCTGGTTCCACGCGTGCTCATGCCCGCAGACAACTGTGACATCCACGTGAGCATCACACGTGCACACAGCTGGCCATAGACACGTCTAACCCTTGTCACGTGCAGCAGCCCGTTTTATTTCAGAATTAAGACCTCTGGTATCAGAAGGCAACCCCTTCCTGCTGCTTCCTACACATGGTGCCCACTGCCCCCCATGCAGATGTGGAGCCAACGGGGGCCAAGGTGGACAGGCCAAGGCAGGAGACCTTCGGGGGTGGGGAGGCCATCCCCCACTCCACCTAGGACAGAAGGCCTGGGAGGCCACATGGCCTCAGTCCAGCACCACTGAGCCACAGCCACACCTGGCCTGCTGGTCCCCACCAAGGCCATGGCCCACCGGACTGGCTCCCCGTGCCCCTCCCCTCCTGCATCCACAGCCTCTCCGCGTCGGTGCCTCGCCCTGGGATGCCCCGGCACGCCCCAGCTCTGCCCAAGCCTTGCTGTCTTGGGCCAGCACCTCCTCTGCCAACCCTGTGCTTGCCCCCAGCCTTGCCCTCGTGGATGGCCAAAACCTAAGGGGGGGTGCCCTGGGCCCCTCCCTGTGCCCAAGCAGGGCTCCTCACCTGGTAAAGCCCGGTCATCAGCGTGAGGGCGGTGGCGACACGGATGGCGTAGCAGTCACGCCCGCAGTCCAGCATGGCAGCCGAGCCGTTGAGGGTGCTGCTGTTGGCTCCGGGCTGCAGGCCGTCCTGGGAGGGGTCAAAGCCGGCCAGCTGGAGCTCCCGGTCCACCACCTGCCCCACCATGAGGCAAAGCAGGCTGAAGATGCCCACGGAGACATGCCGTGAGGTGCCCATGAGGAAGTAGATGAGGTTGGCGAAGAAGGACGTATAGAGGCTGTAGATGGGCTGCAGCCCGGCCAGCAATGAGTAGGCGATGGCCTGCGGCACCAGGATGATGCCGATGACCAGCCCAGACATGACGTCGCCTGCCAGGTACTCCCGCGGGCGGTACTGACGCAGCCAGCGCGTGGCGGGGAGCAGGTCCTGCACCAGCGCCCGGACGCACAGCACACTGCACGAGCAGCTGCACCACAGCCTGGCCTTCAGCATCTCACGCAGACCCCGGGGTGCTGGGCGCTGCCGTCGGACCGGCACCGGCCCTCTGCCCTGCTGCAGAGGCTCAGGGGACTCGTCCATCCTGTTGCGTCAGGTCCCGTGGCCGACCTGCGGCCGAGAAGAGGGCATGGTCACAGGAGCCCCCGGATCCAGGGCCAAACGACAAGGTCCCCGGCAGCAACGGGCCCCTTGGGGCGGACCCCTCGCCCACCCAGGGCCGGGGATTGGTGCTGGGCCTTCTCCTGGCAGCGCGGGCCCCAGCCCCCTGCCCGGTATGGATGGACGCTGGGCCCTGCTGGATCCAGAATCCATCGTGAGGTGAGATGGGATTACGACACCAAGCCCATGCCATGGGGTGTGCTGAGGCCAGCAGTGCTGAGGGGCGGCGTGGCGGCACCCTGTCCAGGCTCAGCTCCGGCCTATTGGCTCTGCGGTTCCTGGCTGAAAACCACCCTGTAGCCTCCTGAAGCTCACCTCCCCAACGGGGCAGGAACAGGCTGGGCTGCCACCACGCACATGTGCCTACCGTCAGAATGTCACAGTCACTGGACACAGGTGCAGGCAAGCCTGAGTCCAGCTGCTCCGTGTCCACCTCCCTGGCTCCCCAGGTTGGCAAACGGTCCTGCTGTCCACCCCATGCCCACACCAGAGCCCTCCCTCCCCCATCCAAACCATCGCCTGCTCTCCTGGAGACACCTCCACCCACCCCTCTGTCACCTGCCCTGTGGGTCCTGGGGCTGGCGGAAGTCTCAGGAAGAGGCCTCCTATGTCCCTGCCAAGCTTTGTGGGTACTGGGACCCCAAGTCTGCTGGGGGAGCAGCACTCAGACACTAGCCTAGCCCATCCGCCTGGACTTGGGACAGAATTCTGAGAATATGCCTGGACGGGGGCCCCATCAGGGCCAGCTGGGAGGGGAGGAGGGTGACTGGCGTCTGTCTCCCCTGCCCAGACAGTTCTGGGACGTGAGGCGCCCTTTTTCCCAGGCTGCACCAGCTCACTGTGGAACGGCCATGACACACTGTCCCGAGGCAGCACCGAGAGGGCCCAGCCCGCTGCACACAGTCACCCTGGGCCGGCAGAGCCGGAAGGGCACCTGACCTTTCCCTTGATCTCGGAAAACACCGTGGCGTTAGGGAGGCGGTGCTTAGAGGCCTGACTGGTCCCACGTGAGGCCTCGGGTCTGTCCTGTTTGCAGACTCCAATGTACTTTCACTTTAAACATTCTTCTCAGCGACGTTAGGCAAAGACTTTGCTCCCAGGACACCAGGTGCCCAGGACACCCTGGAGCCTGGGCTGAGCCTGCTGTTTGCACGCTGGCCCAGGGTGTGCGAGCTCCAGTCTCCTGGCGGGTGTGTTGGGGCAGTGAGCCCAGCCTGGTAGGTTGACACATGCAGGCTGGGCACAGCACCCCTGGGGCACAGAGCGGGGGTCCTGGCCCTCAGGCAACATTGCAAGAGTTGTGTCCCCTTCCCTGGAAGACCCCACCACACTGGGTCCCTGGATGCCCTGAAGCCCACCCCAAGCCCCTGGGGTCCAGGTGTGTGGAATGGGGACAGTAGGGCCACCTGCCTTGAGCCTGAGGGTGCCCCTAAGAAACCACGAGTCCAGGGCATTTCTGGCCTCGGCTCCCACGCCCCCCTCTGCTGCAGCTGAGATCTGGGCCCAGGATGGTTCTTACCTGAGGGAGTCCTCACAGGCGCGGAGGGCCCTGGGATGACGAGGGGCTGGCAAGACCACCGAGGACCGCAGGGCCCTCTGGCTCCCGCGAGCAGCGGGGAGAGTGGGGGTGGTGGCGCCAACCTGCAGGCAGTGGTCTGTGCCCTGGACTCTGTAGTTCAATTATTTACCTACAGATTGCTGAGTCATGGGTTTCTCCAGCCATGTTACCTGATCGGCTGATCCGGGAGTTGAACTGTAATCAGGGGCTTGTAGGAGTTAGAGCTGTGTGGGCCTCTGAGGAGCTCCCAGCCTCCCAGGAGCCGCTGCAGCTGTGGCTCTGCGGCCCTGCCGGGGGGGCTTAGGGACCAGCGGGAGGCGGGGGCTCAGGGGCTGAGCACAGGTAAACCTTCAGCTCTGGGGTCTGGGGTCGAGTGCAGCAGCCTTCAAACCCAGGCGGGGCTGAGGGAGGCTTGGTCTCCGTGTCCAGTCGCCGGACACCCTCCTGGTCCTGCAAGGAGCCAGCCTGGTCCAAGCTGGAGCAGGGCAGAGGCTGACAGCCGGCTCAGCCCAAGGCTGCCGGTGCGTGCATATGCGTGTGTGCTCGCGTAAGCCCTGTGTGTGGTGCTCACCGCCCAGGGCGAGGACTGCCGGGGTCAAGGTGCCGTGACTGGCCAGGAGTCCTGGTCTGACTGGACCCAGCACCGACCCACAGCGCCTGGTCACCCTCACGGCTCCTCTGCCCTCCCCTCTACCACAGACCAGGACCGGCAGTGCCTGCCTCATAGGGCTGGGGTGAAGATAAATGATTTTTTTAAGTGAACTAAATTAGGCCCACACGTGAAAATAAGGGTAAGCTGCTTTTTAAAAGGAATTATTAGCCAGGCACGATGGTTCACTCCTGTAATTCCAACACTTTGGGAGGCCTAGACAGGAGGATCGCTTAAGGCCAGCAGTTCAAGACCAGCCTGGTCAACATAGTGAGACGCCCCCCACCTTTTCTTTTTTTTTTTTTGAGGCGGAGTCTTGCTCTGTCACCCAGGCCGGAATGCAGTGGTGTGATCTCGGCTCACTGGAAGCTCTGCCTCCTGGGTTCACGCCATTCTCCTGCCTCAGCCTCCTGAGTAGCTGGGACTACAGGCGCCCGCCACCGCGCCCGGCTAATTTTTTTTTTTTTGAGACGGAGTTTCGCTCTGTTGCCCAGGCTGGAGTACAGTGGCATGATCTCGGCTCACTGCAAGCTCTGTCTCCCGGGTTCAAGTGATTCTCCTGCCTCAGCCTCCCGAGTAGCTGGGACTACAGGCACCCGCCACCACGCCCGGCTAATTTTTTGTATTTTTAGTAGAGACGGGGTTTCACCATGTTAGCCAGGATGGTCTTGATCTCCTGACCTCGTGATCCACCCACCTCGGCCTCCCAAAGTGCTGGGATTACAGGCTTGAGCCACTGCACCCGGCCGCCCCCTGCCCCCCAACCTTTAAAAAATTAAAAGTAAAAAATTAGCTGGGTGTGGTGGTGTGTGCCTGTATCCCAGCTACTCAAGCGGCTCAGGTGGGAGCATGGCTTGAGCCCAGGAGTTTGAGGCTGCCATGAGGTATGATTAGGCCACTGCACCCTATCCTAGGCCACAGAGCAAGAGCCCGTCTCAAAAACAAACGCTGTCATTGGCCCAGCACTTTGGGAAGCTAAGGTAGGAGGATTGCTTGAGCCCTGGAGGTCCAGGCTGCAGTGAGGTATGTTTGTAGCGCTTCACTCCAGCCTACAAGTCTTTTTTTTTTTTTTTTGAGATGGAGTCTCGCTCTGTTGCCCAGGCTGGAGTGCAGTGGCACAATCTCGGCTCACTGCAGCCTCTGCCTCCCGGGTTCAAGCGATTCTCCTGCCTCAGCCGCCTGAGTAGTTGGGACTACAGGCGTGTGCCACCACGCCCGGCTAATTTTTGTATTTTTAGTAGAGACAGGGTTTCACTATGTTGGTCAGGCTAGTCTTGAACTCCTGACCTTGTGATCCACCCGCCTCGGCCTCCCAAAGTGCTGGGATTACAGGCGTGAGCCACCGTGCCCGGCCAGTTCTGTCTCAAAAAAAAAAAAAAAATTCCTTGGGAGCCTCAGGTCCCCCCGACTTTGACAGTGAGTACTGGGTGGGAGCCTGCACGGGGCACCTGTGGCCGGAGGGTGAGTGTAACGAGGGGCTGCAGCCCTCAGTGCTCTCCCATCCCAAGGGAGGCCAGGAGGCTGCGGTGGGTCCCTCGGGTGGGGCTGGAAGGCCAACCCGGCCCTGGCACCTTGGGCAGCCTGACTCTGTCCGGGGAACAGAAGCCACAGGCTCTACTTCTCCTGTCCATGTGGGATTGAAGCCGAGGGTCTCGCAGAACCAGCTGATGTGCCGGGGCTCCATTTCCCCAAGACGAGGACACTGACATTGATGGGGCACAGCCCCGGAGGGAGGAGACCCTGGACACTCACCCCACCAAAGGTACCTCCTTGTGGAAGCCGTCTGCCAAGCGCTGCTAGTTCCCCACAGCCCTGGGTGAGCCCAGGGAAGACTGGGCTGCAGTGCCCCCATTTGGAGGTGAAATGGGAGTGGAATGTAGTTGGGATGGCCAGAGAGTAGGAGACATCCTAAGTGTGAGATGTGGACAGGGCTGAATGCTCCAGGGTCTCGTACCCCAGAGTGTGAGATGCGGGCAGGGCTGAACGCTCTGGGGTCTCGTACCCCTGAGTGTGAGATTCGGGCAGAGCTGAACAGGCTCCAGGGTCTCATACCCCCATAGCCTCCACCTGGGATGCCCTCTCCAAGTCTGATTTCTCCTCGAAGCCCCTGCCCTGTCCTCCAGAGTCTGAGCCCTTGCTTCCACCCCAGCCCAACCTGGGCCCCAGTGGTCCCTGGGAAGCAGCTGTTTGCTCAGCAGTTGGGAGCTGTGCTGTAAGAAGCGGTTGGCCAGTGGGTGGGGTAAGGCAGTCACGCAGGGCCTCAGGTCCCTCCCTGGGACAGATAAGGGCCCCTCTGGGTGCAGCCACCAGCAGGGTTGTTGGAGAACTGGGGAGACCCAGGGGGCTGGGGTTGTTCCCTCAAGGTCTCCCTAAAGGAGGCAGGGAGGACCTGGGTGCTACAGCAGGGGTGGGGCACCTGGTGCAGACGCCTGCATGCAGGGTGGGGTGGGCAGTGCCACCTGGGGCCACAGAAAAACCTGGAGTGGGAGGTGGCCCTTCCCCCCTCAGGAAAGGTGGTGGAGGTTTCCAGAGGCTGGCTTATGGGGACCTGTGGTGAGGTTTTAGGCAGGTGAGCGTAGTTCAGGAACAGCCTCAGCCGCACTGCAGGGGCCTGGCCTCAGGTCTTCTGCAGGCATTGGGCCTTATGCCCTTTTAGTCCCCACCTAGGCTGGGTGTCTAAAGTAGGTGAGGTCATCACTGCAGGATCCTTGGGGCCTGACCTGCCCCCTCCCACGTGTCTCTGCCTCAGTTTCTCTGAGCATTGAGGCAGTGGCTGGTGCTGTCCTGTGGCCAGGCCCAGAGGCTGAGTGCCCAGGGGGTCCAGGGGCCTTGCTGGCCAGAGAGAGTGGGTAGCCCATTCTACCCCGAGCCTGTGCACGCGCAGGGCTGCCAACACCTCCTTCCTTCCCCGCTTGGCCCACGCAGGACAGGGGGCGTGGGGGCCCCAGCAACTGGGACCTGCCTGAATCCGCCTCCCTCCTGAACCCCCCTCCCGCCTGAACCCCTGGCCAGTCTTGTGTCACACGCTTACTTCCTTAGTTTTGTCTTTAAATCAGCCGTTTTACATTGGAGTCCATTTACTGGGAAAGGAGACCTTGCATCCTTGCCTCCCACCCGTGGGAAGAAGCCCGGCCGACAGGGCTTTGAGACCGGACCCGAGTTTATTCCCAGAGACCCTCCCGCGGGTGGGCGAGCTCCGAGGTCTGGAGAAGAGGAGGCCCCGGCCCGCACCCTCTAGCACCTGTGTCCCCTTCGTCCCGGCCACAGATGCAGGTTCTCCCAAGAGGCGGGTCTGTACCCGCCCCGCGCCCCCAGCCCAGCGGGCCCGGCCTCCGCCCCTGCCCCGCACTCCCACCCCCACCCTCAGGAGAGCGCGGCCCTGCTCCCCACCCCGCGCGGTCTCCCCCCACCGCCTGCGAACCCCCATGCACGCGCGGCCCCGCCCCGCGCACTCACCAGGCCCGGCAGCCGCGCGGTCTTAGCGGCTCACGCGCTCGGGCCCAGGGGCGGGGACGTGGGGACCCGGGCGGCCGCTCAGCCGCGGCCGCGCGGTGAATGAGCCCGTTGTGCGGCCGCCGCGGCCCCAGCGACACCCCGCGCGGGGTCTACAAGGGCTGACGCGCCCCCGCGGCTTCCGTTCCCGGGCTGGGCGGTGGCTCGTCTGCGTCTCCGGCCCTGGGGGTGGGCTGCGCGCTCCATCTCGCCGGCCCAGTCCCCTCCCCAGCGTCGGTCTCTCAAGGCCCCTCCCAATGGGGGCCAGGCGGAGGGTGGGCCCTCGGGCCTGTGGACTGACCCCGGGGTTCCTGGGCCTGGGGGCGGGGATCCCTGTCCCGGGCTCCCCTCGCTGCGAGGCTGGCCCTGCCAGATGACACTCAGAGGCGCCTTGGGTGTCAGGCCAGGGACATCTCTGATGCTGGGGCTCCCCCCGCTAGGGTCAGGGGCTGCCGGGCTATCGCCTTGGGGTTCTGCAGAGAAAACCTGAAGCCCAGCTGGGTCTTCACTTTCCTCCAGGTCACCGTGCCCCGCTACTCCAACTCCGTGGGACTTTGGAATGCACCTTCTGGGCATTTAATTCTTATCCAAGTGCCTCTTAAGTTATACTTCTTTGCTACCAGTGTGTCCTTTGGATGGAGGGGAGGAGAGGTGGTAGGGGCCGGGTGGGGTGGACCCCAGGGACTCCTGCTGCTCCTGCTGGACACCCAGCCCGGGGTACAGGAGCAGGTGGGGACCAGCAGAGGCGGGGCGGAGCAGGAGCCCACACCCAAAGGCTGTAGACTCCTGCCAAGGCTCTGCCTTGATCTTGTACACCATGGGAGGACCAGAAGGGAGGCGTTGAGGTGTCCAGACCTTTGCTGTGGAGCTGGGGGTGCTGTGGCATGGGGAGACTGACAGACGGGGAGCTGTATAGGGCCAGATTCCGGTCCATGGTGGTAACCCCATCCCCCACCACTGCAGATGCGGCACAAAGCCAGCTGCCACAGGAGGTGCACTGCCCCACGGGCAGCTGTGCTCACCTGCGTGGCGTCCGCAGGAAGCCCTCAGACCCTGGCCAGCCTGGTCTCTGCTTCTCACTCCAGGCTCAAGGCTGGCTGCTATTCCATTCACCCCATTCCCTTTCCCTCAGGCCAGAAGCATCACTCACAACTCCAGACCCTTGCACACCAATCTCCTCACTCAGTTCACCCTCAGATGTCCAACTCCACATGGCCAAAACCGAGACCAGTCTCACTCCAAGCTCATCCACCCGCCTAGCTGCCCAAGCTGAAATCCACAGTTGCCCTGTACGACCCCCCGACCCCCCACCTCACCCCCCAGCTCACCTCAAACCTCATCAGTCCCTCTGCTCACAGCCTGCACAGCCACCACCCAGTCTGGGCACCATACCTCTCTGGGCAACCCCCATGGCCCCCAGCCAGTCTTCCAGCTCCCACCCTGACTCCAGTGAGCTGCCAGAGGGATCCTTGAAAAATGCTCTGGAAGCCAAGGTGGGCGGATCACGAGGTCAGGAAATGGAAACCATCCTGGCTAACATGGTGAAACTCCGTCTCTACTAAAAATACAAAAAAATTAGCCGGGCGTGGTGGCGGGCGCCTGTAGTCCCAGCTACTCAGGAGGCTGAGGCAGGAGAATGGTGTGAACCCGGGAGGGGGAGCTTGCAGTGAGCCGAGATCGCGCCACTGCACCCCAGGCTGGGCAACAGAGTGAGACTCTGTCTCAAAAAAAAAAAAAAGAAAAAAGAAAAATGCCCTGGCACTGCTCAGCTCAGAACCTTGAAAGGGATCCTTGTTTCGCTCTGGGTCAGGGTCCCATCCTCAAAGCAGTCACTTCCAGAGCCCCATGGAGCCTCATATCCCATGATATCCACCCTTATTCTGTCTCAGGCCCACCAGCTGCCTCCCTGCTGCCTGATTGTCATGTGTGCATTCCTGTTCCAGAGCCTTTGCACTGGCGATGCCATCTGCTGCCTGGATGTCTTCCTGCTGGCTGGTCCCGTTGCATGGTAGCCTTAGGTGTCTCCTCAGAGAGGTCCCTCGCTGACCATCAGGCTCCTCACTCCCTGTCGTATCCCCTTCACCAAAGATTCCCATTCCCTGACGACGCCTGTCCCCTCGGAATGCAGGCCTCGTGGGAATTCAGCCCATCCGCAAGTGCAGTGGCAGGGCGGCCCCCTTCCCCCTTGACGACGCCTGTCCCCTTGGAATGCAGGCCTCGTGGGAATTCAGCCCATCTGCAAGTGCAGTGGCAGGGCGGCCCCCTTCTCCCTTGAGGACGCCTGTCCCCTCGTAATGCAGGCCTCGTGGGAATTCAGCCCATCTGCAAGTGCAGTGGCAGGGCGGCCCCCTTCTCCCTTGAGGACGCCTGTCCCCTCGTAATGCAGGCCTCGTGGGAATTCAGCCCATCTGCAAGTGCAGTGGCAGGGCGGCCCCCTTCTCCCTTGAGGACGCCTGTCCCCTCGGAATGCAGGCCTCGTGGGAATTCAGCCCCATCTGCAAGTGCAGTGGCAGGGCGGCCCCCTTCTCCCTTGACGACGCCTGTCCCCTCGGAATGCAGGCCTCGTGGGAATTCAGCCCCATCGGCAAGTGCAGTGGCAGGGCGGCCCCCTTCACCCTTGACGACGCCTGTCCCCTCGGAATGCAGGCCTCATGGGAATTCAGCCCATCTGCAAGTGCAGTGGCAGGGTGGCCCCCTTCTCCCTTTCCTGTGCACTCATGTTGCCTCTTGGGGTGTGGGAGGGGAAATGGGGCACTCCTGGGCCTCCAGGAGGTGCAGAGAACCAGGGTGAGGTGTCCACCAGGTCCTGCCTGGCTCCTGACCCCTGGCCCCTGCTGCTCGCGACTGGCCTGCCTCGTGCCACTGAGCCTCAGAGCCATTCCGAACCCCCACCCCAAGTTTTCCATCTCTTGATGGTGTAGGGTTGGGGGGTCTCCATGTACAGATACTCTAGTTCATACCAGGCCTTCATAGGGTTATTTTCCAAGGGGAAGGGCCCCTCGGGAAGCCGGGATCGGAGTCCTGTGTGGCACCTTGCAGGCTCCCACATGCTCCGTTGTGGCCACGGTTCCAGCCTGGAGCATGGAGCTGTGTGGGCACCCTGCTTCCTGACGCTGACCGTCCTTCTGCAGGGGGTCCACTGGACGGGGCCTGAGCTACAACTTCACCCACCTGGACGGGTACCTGGACCTTCTCAGGGAGAACCAGCTCCTCCCAGGTGAGCTGTGGGCTCTGCCCTCCCAGCCCGCCTGCACCCCCTTGCCCTGCCCACCCTCTCCCTCACCCAGCCCCTCTGAGTCCTTGGATGTCCATTCAGGGCTGGCCTTGGTGCCGGAGCACAGGCCTGGCAGAGCATGGGTGTGGTGTGTGGTGGGCGGTGGGGCAGCCCTCCTGTGTTCCAGGGTTTGAGCTGATGGGCAGCGCCTCGGGCCACTTCACTGACTTTGAGGACAAGCAGCAGGTGTTTGAGTGGAAGGACTTGGTCTCCAGCCTGGCCAGGAGATACATCGGTGGGCGAGCGCAGGCCCTGGGGCCCTGGCCGGGGCGGGGGTACTCCTGGGCAGGTTGCACCCCTATCACGCAGGCTGCTGCCTGGTCAGGAGATACATTGGTGGGCAGGCGCAGGCCCTTGTGGGGGGATGGGGGTGACAAGGGATAGGTTGGTGGTCGGCGCAGGCCCTGGGGCCCCAGGCTGGGGGGTACTCCTGGGCTTGGTGGGTGGGCGAAGGCCCTGGGCCCCTGGGGTGGGGGGTACTCCTGGGCAGGCTGCACCCCTATCACCCAGGCCGCACCCCTATCACCCAGGCCGCCGCCCAGGTCTTGGACCCCCTTGAGCCAGCGCTTCCTGATGTGGGGCGGGAGGCTGGCCTGCATGGAGATGGGGTTCATCTTGAGTCAGACGCCCTTCATCACCTTGCACCCTCCCTCCGTGGGAGTCACTGAGGCGAGATTCACCTGTGCTGGGGGGACAGCAAGGCTCCTCTGCAGGTAGGTACGGACTGGCGCATGTTTCCAAGTGGAACTTCGAGACGTGGAATGAGCCAGACCACCACGACTTTGACAACGTCTCCATGACCATGCAAGGTGTGCACCGCTTCCTGGGGTCCTGCCCGGCTGAAAGGGGGCAGAGGAAGGCAGGAGCAGAGGCTAAGCCGCTCATCCCCAGGGCAGGTGTAGACGCAGTGCTCCCCCGGCCCAGGCTTCCTGAACTACTACGATGCCTGCTCGGAGGGTCTGCGCGCCGCCAGCCCCGCCCTGCGGCTGGGAGGCCCCGGCGACTCCTTCCACACCCCACCGCGATCCCCGCTGAGCTGGGGCCTCCTGCGCCACTGCCACGACGGTACCAACTTCTTCACTGGGGAGGCGGGCGTGCGGCTGGACTACATCTCCCTCCACAGGAAGGTGCGCCCTGCCCCTCCGTCCGCCCCGGTGTTCTGCGCCCTCAGCCGCTGTGCCCCGGGCCGCGCTGACCCTGGTGGTGCTGAGGCGGCCCCGCCCGCAGGGTGCGCGCAGCTCCATCTCCATCCTGGAGCAGGAGAAGGTCGTCGCGCAGCAGATCCGGCAGCTCTTCCCCAAGTTCGCGGACACCCCCATTTACAACGACGAGGCGGACCCGCTGGTGGGCTGGTCCCTGCCACAGCCGTGGAGGGCGGACGTGACCTACGCGGCCATGGTGGTGAAGGTGGGCCGGCCCAACGCCCTGCGCGCCCCCCGGCCACCTTCCTCCCGAGACGGGACAGGCGAGCGGTGGCCGCGCCACCCGGTCCCAGCTGCCCTGGACACCCGCAGGTCATCGCGCAGCATCAGAACCTGCTACTGGCCAACACCACCTCCGCCTTCCCCTACGCGCTCCTGAGCAACGACAATGCCTTCCTGAGCTACCACCCGCACCCCTTCGCGCAGCGCACGCTCACCGCGCGCTTCCAGGTCAACAACACCCGCCCGCCGCACGTGCAGCTGTTGCGCAAGCCGGTGCTCACGGCCATGGGGCTGCTGGCGCTGCTGGGTGAGCCGGGGCCGCTGGGGTGGGCCGGCCAGGGCCCTCCAGGCTGGGGAGCGGCTCCTGCGAAGGCCCCGCTGCGGGGAGCGCACTTCCTCCAGCCGCGCGCTTCCCGGGGTCGGCCTCCGCGTGGCGGGGCCTGGGGACTCCTTCACCAAGGGGAGGGGGAGCGAGTGGTGGGAGGCCCGGCCCTGGGTCGGGGGGCGGCTGGGCAACGACCCCACGCGGCGACGGCCCCCCCCCGCCCCGCAGATGAGGAGCAGCTCTGGGCCGAAGTGTCGCAGGCCGGGACCGTCCTGGACAGCAACCACACGGTGGGCGTCCTGGCCAGCGCCCACCGCCCCCAGGGCCCGGCCGACGCCTGGCGCGCCGCGGTGCTGATCTACGCGAGCGACGACACCCGCGCCCACCCCAACCGCAGCGTCGCGGTGACCCTGCGGCTGCGCGGGGTGCCCCCCGGCCCGGGTAAGCCGGGGTTCCAGGGAGGTCTCTGGCCCCGCTGGGGCTCTGGAGGGGGCGGCCCGGGGAGCCGAGGCCTGAGTGTCAGGCCCCGCAGGCCTGGTCTACGTCACGCGCTACCTGGACAACGGGCTCTGCAGCCCCGACGGCGAGTGGCGGCGCCTGGGCCGGCCCGTCTTCCCCACGGCAGAGCAGTTCCGGCGCATGCGCGCGGCTGAGGTAGGTGGGCCGCGGAGGGGCGAGGGGCCGGGCCGGGCCGGGGTCCCGGGGGGGTGGGGTCCGGGGCGGGGGCTCCGAGGCGGTGTGGGTGGGAGGTGGAGCGGTGGGCCGGGGGCGTTCGCCCTGAGGTCGGGCCGAGCGTCCCCAGCTCCCCTGGAGAACCCTGAGGACCGGCCACTGCGCCCAGGACCCGGTGGCCGCGGCGCCCCGCCCCTTACCCGCCGGCGGCCGCCTGACCCTGCGCCCCGCGCTGCGGCTGCCGTCGCTTTTGCTGGTGCACGTGTGTGCGCGCCCCGAGAAGCCGCCCGGGCAGGCAAGTGGCAGTCCCCTAACCCGCGCCGCGGCCCGGACTCCCCTTCCCCGACGCCATCACAGCCCTTCCCTCCCCCAGGTCACGCGGCTCCGCGCCCTGCCCCTGACCCAAGGGCAGCTGGTTCTGGTCTGGTCGGATGAACACGTGGGCTCCAAGTGCGTGAGTGGGGCCGCCCCTCCCTCTGCCTGGTCCTAGGCAGGTCCCTGGGTCCCGACCCCTTCACCCATGCGGTCACTCGGGCCACTTGCCGTGGCCCATCGGCTCCCTCCCTCGCCGCCCTGCGTCCCTGCCCTTCACCCCACACACTGTGGGCCACGCGCCAGGCCCTGCCAGTGGGGTGTGGGTTCTCCTAGGGGACATGAGATGGACATTCGGGCTCCAGCCCTCTCCTGCCTGGGCAGGAAGAGTGCCCAGGGGCTGGGGAGGTGCCGCCGAGGGGCTTGAGGGAATGAGGCTGTGGGTCCACGCGGCCGTGCCCTGCCTGCTCCCACCTTTGAGGACTGTCTTGACCCCAGCCTTGTTCTTGGCCTGACCTCCCCAGGTGCCTGTGGACATACGAGATCCAGTTCTCTCAGGACGGTAAGGCGTACACCCCGGTCAGCAGGAAGCCATCGACCTTCAACCTCTTTGTGTTCAGCCCAGGTGCGCCCACCACCCGCTGCCCTGGACTCGGCCACCCCATTCTTGGGCCTCAGGGCAGTACTGGGTGGGGGCCTCGAGAAGCCTGGGGTCAGGGGGCTTTCGGGTGGGGGCAGGTTCCGGTTGGCACACATGTCCCCTTGTCTCCAGACACAGGTGCTGTCTCTGGCTCCTACCGAGTTCGAGCCCTGGACTACTGGGCCCGACCAGGCCCCTTCTCGGACCCTGTGCCGTACCTGGAGGTCCCTGTGCCAAGAGGGCCCCCATCCCCGGGCAATCCATGAGCCTGTGCTGAGCCCCAGTGGGTTGCACCTCCACCGGCAGTCAGCGAGCTGGGGCTGCACTGTGCCCATGCTGCCCTCCCATCACCCCCTTTGCAATATATTTTTATATTTTATTATTTTCTTTTATATCTTGGTACCAACGCCCCCTTTAAAGCGGCTTTGCACAGGTCAGTCTCGGGTTGAGGCTCTGTGGCTTGGCCCTGGGCACATTCCAGGGCAGCCTCCAAGGGTAAACCCCGGTGGCTGATGAGGACCCAGCTGGAGCGAGGCCTCTTTCCCCCTCGCTCCCACTCAGACCACCCCCAAGCCTGGACTGGAAGTGTGTTGAGCCCCTGGGTCAGGCTGGCGAGCCAGCTCGGCCCTGCCCACCCAGGGGTTTCCGAGATCACCCCTGGTGAGGCGGCGTGCCAGTCCCTTGCTTTCTTACTTGTTCTGCAGAGCGGGGAGCTGAGGCTGCATGAGGGAAGACTCCCGTACCCCAGCACGGTGGAGGGTGGGATGGGGTCACGCCTGTGCGACCCAGGAGGTGGCCAGCAGAAGGAAACAGTAGTGTCCACCATGGTCTGCGTCTCCCCACCACGGATTGTCTTGGCTCCGGATTTGAGACATGGCAGGGCCAGATGAGGACAACTTGATGACAGTTTACAGAGATGGAGGCAGGGTGCCAGGAAGCCACGGGGGAGCCCCCAGGGCACTCAGCAGTCCAGGCAGGGCTGGGCGTCCTGGCAAGGAGCAGGGACCTTCTGCCCAGGGGTGTGGCCAGCCTGTGGGTGCTGTGTGCAGGACCCCAGGAACCAAGGCCGCAGTCTCTTCCCTCGCTCCAGCATCCTCCCAAGGCCACCCTTGGCTGCACTCAGCCAGAGAGCTGGGGCACAGGGACCCCACAGGTTTCCCTGGAGGCTGTCAGGGGCTCCGGTGGGGGCGGGGGGTGAGCCCGCTGGGTTCACTGCACCTCCCAAAGCCCATGTGCCCTGCCTGCCCCAACCAAAGTGGGCCTCCAAGGTGCTGGGGTGGGACAGAGACCCACGAGGGACCCTCCCCTCACTCCTGGACCTGGGTGTTGTGGCTTTTGGCAAAAATAGCCACATACACTCCAAGTTTCCCCCTCAGCTGGGATTCCTGGTGTGAGCCTGGTCACCAGGGTGGTAGGACAGACCCTCCTCTGGAGGCAAAGTGACGGTCAGCAGGGGGTTCTGAGGCCCCACAGCGCTGGCACCAGTCTTGGCTGAATGGCAAAGCTGCATCTGTCTCCTTCCCCATGAGCTTCCGTTGCCGTCTCCTTCCCTGGCGGCCATCAGCTTACTGACGTGTCCTCACCAGCTTACTGACGCGTCCCCACCCTCCGGTCTTGCTCCTGGGGTCACTTTGGCCTTCGCTGTGAATGGGTCAGGCTTGAGGCCATGCCAAGAGCCAGGGAAGCCAGCACTGGCCGTCAGCTCACACACAGCCTCTGAGATGGAGTCTCGCTCTGTCACCCAGGCTGGAGTGCAGTGGCGTGATCTCGGCTCACTGGAAGCTCCGCCTCCCAGGTTCACGCCATTCTCCTGCCTCAGCCTCCTGAGTAGCTGGGAATACAGGCGCCCACCACCACACCCGGTAATTTTTTTTTGTACTTTTAGTAGAGACGGGGTTTCACTGTGTTAGCCAGGATGGTCTCAATCTCCTGACCTCGTGATCCGCCCGCCTCGGCCTCCCAGAGTGCTGGGATTACAGGCGTGAGCCACCGTGCCCAGCCTCTTTTTTCTTTTTGAGACAGAATCTCACTCTGTCACCCAGGCTAGAGTACAGTGGCGCGATCTCGGCTCGCTGCAACCTCTGCCTCCCAGGTTCAAGCGATTCTTCTGCCTCAGCCCCCCGAGTAGCTGGGACTACAGGCGCCCACCACCACGCCCAGCTAATTTTTGTATTTTTAGTAGAGATGGGGTTTCACTACATTGTCCAGGCTGGTCTCGAACTCCTGACCTCATGATCTATCCGCCTCAGCCTCCCAAAGTGCTGGGATTACAGGCGTGAGACACTGCACCCCGCCTACTATACATTTTTAACTTGTGACTAACTTCAGGTGATATCATATAACCTCATACGTAGTCAAAGAACCTTACAACATTACATTTCCATTTTTCTCTTTCAGCCATTGTGCTATTGTTGTTACATATTTTGATTTCTCATATGATATAAACCCCACAATACATTATTTTTACGTTAATCAGATGATTATCAAGGCAAGTGGATCACCTGAGGTCAGGAGTTCAAGACCAGCCTGGCCAATGTGGTGAAACCCCGCCTCTACTAAAAATTCAAAACTTAGCCAGGTGTGCTGGAGCATGCCTGTAATCCCAGCTACTTGGGAGGCTGAAGCAGGAGAATCGCTTGAACCTGGGAGGCGGCGGTTGCAGTGAGTCGAGATCCTGCCACTGCAGTCCAGTCTGGGCGACAGAGTGAGACTCTGACTCAAAAAAGAAAAACACTCTTTATACTCACTCATTTAGTTGCCGTTTCTGGTGTTCCTCATTTCTTTGTGTAGATTCAGTTTTCCATTGGGTATGACCTTCCTTCTGCTTGAGGGACAGCTTAGACACTCCTGCAGGTGATTCTTTCGCTCTGCTCGATCTAAAAACAGCTTTATTATTTCCCAACCTCTGTCTCCTCTCCTTTGGGGACTCCAATTATACCCATGTTTCACCACCTGAAGGTGAACCACAGTTCACTGATGCTCTTTCCATTTTTCTAGTCATTTTTCTCCGTTTCATTTGGACAGTTTGTATTGCTATGTTTTCAAGTTCACTGATCCTTTTTTTGAGACGGAGTCTTGCTCTGTCACCCAGGCTGGAGTGCAGTGGTGTGATCTGGGCTCACTGCAACCTTCGCCTCTTGGGTTCAAGTGATTCTGCTGTCTCAGCCTCCTGAGTAGCTGGGACTACAGGAACACGCCACCACACCCAGCTAAGTTTTCTATTTTTAGTAGAGATGGGGTTTCACCATGTTGGCCAGGCTGGTCTTGAACTCCTGACCTCAGGTGATCCACCTGCCTTGGTCTCCCAAAGTGCTGGGATTATAGGTGTGAGCCACGGCGCCCAGCCACACTGATCCTTTCTTTTGCAGTGTTCCATTAATCCCATCTCGTGTATTATTTCTCTGACACTACTTTTCATCCCCAGAAGTACGATTTGAGGCTTTTTTCCCCGTCTTTACTTAACATATTGTCTTTCCTTTCCTCCAGCATCTTGAACATATGGAACATGGTCACAGCATAAGCATGTGTGTGCTGTCCTCTACTTGCCCTGTCACCTCCAGCATCTTGAACATATGGAACATGGTCACAGCATAAGCATGTGTGTGCTGTCCTCTACTTGCCCTGTCACCTCCAGCATCTTGAACATATGGAACATGGTCACAGCATAAGCATGTGTGTGCTGTCCTCTACTTGCCCTGTCACCTCCAGCATCTTGAACATATGGAACATGGTCACAGCATAAGCATGTGTGTGCTCTCCTCTACTTGCCCTGTCACCTTTGTCATTTCCAGGTCAGTTACTACAACCTCCACCTCCCGGATTCAAGTGATTCTCCTGCCTCAGCCTTCTGAGTAACTGGGGCTACAGGTTGCCTGCCACCACGCCTGGCTAGTTTTTTTATTTTTAGTAGAGATGGGGTTTCACCATGTTGTCCAGGCTGGTTGTGAACTTCTGGTCTGAAGTGATTCGCCCTCCTCGGCCTCCCAGAGTGCTGGGATTACAGGCGTGAGCCACTGTGCCCGGCCCCAGGTCAATTTTGATTGATTTTTCCCATCTCTCCATATGGGTCATAATGTCCTGCCTCTTTTCATGCCTGTTTTTTTGTTTTTTGTTTTTCCCGGATATTCAATATTTTGTATTCTACCTTGTTTGGTGCTGGATATTTTTGTAAACCTATACATATCTTTGCATTTGTTTCTCGAATGTGATCAAGTTACTTGGAAACTGTGTGGTCCTTTTTTTTCAGGCAGGGTCTCACTGTGTCGCACGGGCTGGAGTGTAGTGGTGTGATCTTGGCTCTCTGCAGTCTCGGCCCCCTGGGCTCAAGTGATTCTCCCACCTCAGCCTCCCCAATAGCTGGGGCCACAGGCACGCATCACCACATTGGCGACTTTTTGGATTTTTGTAGAGATGGGGTTTCACCGTGTTGCTCAGGCTAGTCTCGACCTCCTGGGCTCAACTGGTCTGCCTGCCTTGGCTTCCCAAAGTTCTGGGATTACAGGTGTGAGCCCCCACATCTGGCTCTGGGTCTTCTTATTCAGTGGTGTTTGGTGGGACCTGAACTGTATTTAGTCTCGTGTTGATGCTTCCCTACTACGGGGTGAGAACTTCTTCCTGCTCTAACGATGCTTCCCCACTCTGGCTGCTGAGCACAGGCACTATTCCCAGCCCTGCATGGGCTCTGATCCTGGGTGGGTCTTTCCCTGGCCTTGAGTGTTTTCTTCACGCTCCTGCACTGATCTGTGCTTAGCTGAAGCCTCCAGGCAGACCCTCTGTGGGTGTCTGGGCTTCTCGGTGCAGCCCCCTCCTCTCCAGCACTCTGGAGCACCTGTGAACTCCAGCCCCTGCCTGGCCACCTCTGTCTTCCCAGTTGAGGGAGACGCCGGTGGCTGCCTGGGTTTTCTCTGCACCGGCCTGGGCAGTGGGCGGGACTGTCCTCGCTGCCGGGTCGCTTCCCCTCTCTCCAGCACCACGGTCCTCGGTTTCGTGAGCCCAGTGCCTTACGTGCTGTTTTCACACCTATTTTTTTGGTTGCTGCAGCTGAGAGTGTGTAAGTCACTGTTACTGCATCTCCATTCTCTGCCAAGCCTCCTCCACCCGCCTGTCCTTGTCAGTCCCTACACCTGCTGTTCCTGAGATGCCGCCTCTGTGAGGCCTGCCCGGCTCTCCCCCAGTCCTGCCTCTTCTGCCCCGGGGCAGGTGCTGTCGCGGGCAAGCGAGGATCCGTGCTAGCGAACCTGCGCGCCTGGGGCTCACCGGGGCTGGGTAGGTGGCTACAAGAACCTGTCTTCCCGCGGTCACCCCATGGGGTTGGCTGAGGATGGGGCCTGAGACCCCGAGGGTGGCTGACCGCCCCGTTTCAGTTTTAAGGGGCAGGACGTGCTTGCGCCGGCCCCTCGGCTCCGCGCTGCCTGACCCGAAGGGCCGTGGGAGCGGGGAGGGCCCAGTCCCTGTTCCGGGGGTGGGCGAGGGGCGGGGGGCTGCCTGAGGACGGGGCCTGGGCCGGCCGCGGGCTGGGACGTGGCGGGCGGGGCGGGGCGGGGCGGGGCGGGGCGGGGCGAGGAGACGAGGAAAAACGCCTCGGGAGCTGCCGCGCCGGCGCCGCCGCCACCGCCAGAGGGCAGCGCGTGCCGGCGCGGGAGGCCCGGGCCCCGCCCCCGCCCGGCCAGGCCCCGCCCCCTCCCCGTCCCCGCCCCTGTCCGCCTCGGGCCCCGCCCCGTCTGCCGCTCCGCCCCTGGCCCCGCCCCCCGTCCCGGCCCCGCCCGCCAGGGGCCGCGACGCTGCCCGTGCCCCTCCCACTGCCCGCTCATTCGGGGGCCGGCACCTGCCGGCCTGTCCGCTCCCTGCTTATACTTTGCACGCTCGCAGCCACGTTTCCGCACACCTGTCCCCTTTCCACGCACCTGTGTCCGGCAGCCCGCACATCTGTGGGAGCGCTGCCTCCTCGCCAGCTGTCCGGGAAGTTCAGCGCCGCTCTCCCACGGGCGTGAGACCGCCCCACCCACCTGTCCGTGACTGCAGCTCCGGCCGGGAGGGCGGCAGGTGGGCCCCGGCGCTGCTGGCTCCTTGTGGGACAGGGCCGCGGCGGCGGCGCAGGACGTTCTCCCGCCGGGAGGACCACGCGGCGGTCCCTGGACCCTTCCCCGGGTGCACAGCGGCGGCTGCGCCAGCGGGGGCAGGATGGGCCGTCCGAGCGCACCTCCATCCGCCCTCGCGACGCCCACGCTGGCCCAGACGCGGGATTTGGGGTGGAGGACGCTGGGCTGGGAACCAGCACCTTGGGACGGCCGGGTAGTTCGGGCCTTGAGGAGTCCCACACCCTGACAGCTGGCGCCCCCCACGCCCCGCCTAGCTCTCCTCGGCCTGGGGACACCGGCTGCCAGGCCTCTCCAGTTTCAGCCTTTCCTGGGAGGACTTCCTGGAAGAGGGGGCTTCAGGCCCCAGAAAGAGAGGCTGCTCTGGGGGATGGAGGAGGTGCTGGGATGGTGACTCCGCGGAGTCGAGGGTGTGAGGCGGGATGTGGGCAGGCCGTGAGGTTTGTGTTGCAAGACTGGGAGGCAGGATGAGGGGAGGCCATGGGGCGGCTGGAGGTGCGGCCTGGGAGCCCTGCGTGCTGGGCCCTGGGCAGGGACGGCAGGCGAGGCGTGTGGAGGAAGAGCCGCGAAGAGCTGGGCGCTGTCTTCTCCACGCCTCCGTTTCTTCATCTGCTCCTGGGGCCGCCTGCCCGGTAGCGGAGATTGAATCGCATGTTGACGTCTATTACGATGATTAATGTTCTTGTCATTCCCGTCACTAGCAGGTGAGAGGCTGGGAGGCCTCAGGTGGGAACATACCTTTGGCCAAAGGCACCAGGTAACCCGAACGCCCCGGGGAGGACCCCTGCCTGCATCGCCGCGGCCGTCCCCCCCTACCCCGTCCCCAGCAGCTCCGGCTGGGCGAGGCCCTGCTTCTCCCTTCTGCTCCCGAAGACCCCCCGGGGCGCAGACCTGGAAGCCTCGAAGCTCCCGCGGCCGTCCAGTCCGCCCCCTTCTGAGCAACCAGAGAGCGGTCTGGGCCCGGCCCGGGGCTGCGCAGAGGTCAGACTGCCGCGGGCAGGGCCGGAGCCTGCTCTGGGGGTCGCGGAGGTGTCTCGAGAGTTGAGGACCCGACCCGGGCGCGCGCGGGCGCAGGTATGGGGAGGGCGCGGCGGCTCCTGGCCGGTCCTAGGAGCCTGCGGGGACCAAGGGCGCGCGGGCGGGGCCGGGGGCGCGGCGAGGCTCGGGTTGGGGCGGGGCGGGGGCGGGGGCGGGGCCGGACCCGGGGAAGCCGCCCGCCCGCGGGGACGTCCGCACCGCGAGGGTTAAGGCCGGGAGCCCGGCGGGGCGGGGGCGGTGTGCGCGCGCGGATTGGGGAAAAGTTTGGCGGCGGGGCGGGGCACGGGGGAGGGCTGACGCGCGCGGATTGGCCGGAAGTTGTGCCGGGGGCGGGTCGGGGGTCCGGGCTCGGCGCTCGCTCCGGGAGAGTTGACAAAGCCCCGCAGGGAAGGACGCCTCGCGGCGCGGCGCCCCGGGCCCCTCGCCCCGCCGCCCCGGGATCCCGGCCCCGGCCCCCGGCCCCGCGGACTCGCCCCCGCCGCCTGCCCGGTCCGGGACCCCGCGCCCCGAGCGCCCGAGCCCGGACCCCGACCCGGCCCGAGCCGCCCGCGCCCAGGTAGCGCCGCCCCGCCCCGAGACCGGGCCCGGGGGCGCGGGGCGGCGGGATGCGGCGCCCGGGGCGGCGATGACCGCGGAGCGCACGCCGCGGGCCCGGCCCTGACCCCGCCGCCCGCCCGCTGAGCCCCCCGCCGAGGTGAGCCCCCCGCGCGCGCGGCCGCGACCCCAGGTGGGCACACGGGGGAGGGCGGGGGTCCGGGGCGGGGGCGGGGAGGGGCGGGTTCGGGGCCCCAGCTGGGCACGGGTCATGCGCGCCGCCGCCGCTCCTGCGGGCCCCCGGCCTGCCCCGCCCCCGCCCCCGCGCCCCACGTGGGCCCCCCCCAGCGCAAATTTGTCCGCTAATGGCGCAGGCGATTATCTGCGGGGCGCTGAGTGTTGTGTGTCCTGCGGGCAGGGCCGGAGTTACAAGCGCCAGGAATCCAGACGGTGTTTGGAGAGGGGGGGCGGCGGGGGAGCCCGGTAATTAGTGTAAACCCTTTGTCTGCCTTTGATACCCACAGCTTCTCCCCGCTGCGGCTTCCTCCGCCTGGAGCGCGGGCGGGGAGGGCCTGTGGGGAGGGCGGCCAGACCCCTGATCCCCGCGGCCCGGGACCGGGGAGGGCGGTATCTCCCAGTTCCACGTGTTAGTGACGGCGCCCCCAATGTCCCCAGGTCCGGACAGGCCGAGATGACGCCGAGCCCCCTGTTGCTGCTCCTGCTGCCGCCGCTGCTGCTGGGGGCCTTCCCGCCGGCCGCCGCCGCCCGAGGTGAGTTCTGGCGCCCAGCCCGGCCAGCCTGGCCTCCGCCAGCGCCGCCCCCTTCCCGCCCGGCCCTGAACCCTGCCACAGTGCCCGCCTGGCACGCGCCATGCCCCGCCCCTGCCGCCCCGCTCGCCAGGCCCCCTTCCTTCCAGGGCCCCCTCACCCATGGGCTGTCCACAGCACCCACCGGGGCTCCCCTAGCTGGCTGGAGGGGTTCCCCTCATGCGTGCTTGCTGGCCAGGTGGGCTTTAGTCCTGGCTCCCCAGGACATGCTCCTGGTCTTGCAAACACTTTCATACTCGTACCTGCAGTCCAGGGCAGCTAATCACCTGTGGATTCTTGGGGAGTGGGCGGTTTGTGGCCACAGTGGACCCGATAAGGACTCTGGGAACCTGCAGAGACCCCCACGGAAGGCAGGATGGGCTATGGGAGATATTGGTAATATACTTGGTGTCTGGGACTGAAACTGACCCCCAGACCCCCAGTCCCCCAGCCGACCTAGCCGTGTGCCCTGGGCCTGCCCAGCTCTAGGCAGGCAGTGCCGGGCGGTTGTGTGGACAAGTCCCCAGAGCCGTGACGCACCCCAGGACTGCGTGCCTCTGGGCACACGCTGTGCTGGCCTGGTACGTGCTCATGGCACCGACATCTAAGTGGCAGCCATGCCCTGGGACCCAGCCCCAGCAAGGACATCCGGAGCCGATGGGTGACGTGTGCCCGCAGACTCATGCCCGCCATGTTCCAGGATCCGGGCACAGCGCTGGCTGCCCCCATGGCTAGGCGGGACCTGTGGCCAGGCCGGCCCTTTGGGCGTGTTGACCACTCAGGATTGTCCGCGCTGTGTCCACCAGTCCTGAGGCTTCGCACCCCTCCCCTGCCGCCCAGCAAGCGCGCCGCATCCAACCTGGCCTTATATGGGCACGTTCGGGTGCTGGGTGGCGGGCGGTGACCAGGTGGGCCTTATGCCACAGCACCCCCCCCTACCCCCCGCCTGCCCACATGGGCCTGGCTGAGCGGCTGCTCTGAGGGCCCGGCAGCGTCCTGGGCTGTGTGGGCACTCAGGCCATACTGGGCGAGCCCCTACCATGGCCAGCGGCCTGGACTTGCATTCTCTTTGATCTGTTTGGCCTCCCCAATCCCTACACCTGCCTGTCCTCTGGCCACTCGGCCAGGGAGGCTCTGGAGGCCTCTGTCCTGCCATGTTTCCTGGCTGGGGCTGAAGCTGACTGGTGGATGGCCACGGTCAGCCATGGCAGTGGGCGGCAGAGCCCGCCTCTTCGTGGAGACGCCCCAGCGGCCACCCCCTTCGCCTTCGTCCTCCTCAGCTGCGGCCTTGGGGCTGAGGATATCCAGCCCTGGCTTTGCGTGGCAAAGGCCCTGGCGGCACTGGGGAGCTGGGATCAAGCTGCTTTCCAAGGGCAGGGGCCTCTGTGGTTTGGGTGGAGGTGGGGAGGAGGTTCTTCCGGACTGTGCTGATTTTCCTAGCGTGGACTAGGGCGCGAGGTCCATCCAAGTGTGTTTCTCCTGCTCTGAACAGCCCACTGTGCACCTTCGTTAGGCCAAGGACCAGCATGCAGAGGGCTTGGGTTATTTTTGAAAAGCCATTTCCCGCTGGGTCATAAGTTCTGGAATCGGCACATCGCTACACTCAGATCATATTTTAAAAGTTCCTCTTTTCCCAAACTTTCACAATCTTGGTGGATTTGTCTTAAACTGCTTTTTTTTTTTCCAATTTGAAAAAATATAGGAATTGGCTTTCTCCCTTTCCATTTTATTTCTCACAGTGGGAACTTGAGAGGTTCTGCATGAAATGTCTTTCACAAATAACTCTGAAGGAAGTCGTTTCAGGGCTTTCTGAGAAGTGCCACCTTTGAACTTTTGCAAGCATGGCCTTGGGGGCCAGCTCTGAGTGGCCTGCCTAGGAGGCCACTCCCCTGTCCTCTGCACCCGGCCAGCTGCGGTGGGCAAGCTGAGCCCTGACCCAGGTGGGCAGGGTGCCTGTCCAGGGGTGCCCCATGCCTGGGGGGTAGCGGGGTCAGTGTCGGCTCCCTGTGGGGGCAAGAGTCTGAAGGGTTGTGATTCGGGGAAGCAATAGCCGTGGGTGTACGGTGCTGACCTCGGCCCCCAGCCAGGCCTCAGGGCCTTCCTCCCTCGCCCCAGGCCCTTCCGGGCAGTGGCTGGCCCGTGTGCAGCGGGCTGAGGTGGACGTGTGGGAGCTGGGCCCAGCCCCTGCAAGGTGGGGAATCGGGCCAGCCGCCCCGTTTCCATCTCGGGGCCCCACTCCTGGAAGGGAAAATAAATCACTGTCCCCTTGGGGGGAGGGAGGGAGCCGTGAACAAAGTCGCCTTTGGCTGGGCCTGGAAACGCCGACCGCAGACTCCTTTATCCATTGTGCGGGAATCAATGGGCCTCCGGGCTCCCTTTCAGCCGCAGGCCCCGCGCTGCGGCCCTGTCAGGGGAAATGTTGGTTTTTCCCCAGTCGTGGCCTCCAGCCCCTGGCTTGCCCAGCCCTGGCTTGCCCAGCCCTGGCTCAGGAACTGCGGCCGTGCTGGGAGAGGCGGGCTGTGCCCGCAGACTGGACCCCGGCTGCTGCATGCTGGCCCTCTGTGCGGCCCGGGCTTGCTGCTCGGCCCAGGGTGGACTCCTTTGCCCCATCAGGGCCTCCGCCAGTGACTCCAGGCCTGGTGTGTCCAGGTGACAGCCTCAGCGGGTCAGCACAGGAGGGAGAGGGATACCCACACCCCTCTCCCCAGAGGCCCCCTCCAGGGCTGCACTCCCTGCCTGCCTGCCACTCTCCCTGGCGGCCATCCCTGGAGCTGCTGGTCAAGCCCCAGGGTGCCTGGCTGCCCTCTGCAGGCGGCTCCAAGGTGGGCCGCAGCCCCAGAGCCATGATCCAGGATGGCTGGGGCAGGGGTGAAGCAGGGGATGGGAGAGGAGGGGCTTCACGGGCCAAGGCATACCTAGCAGGAGAGGTGGGTACCAGTCCCCTTGGAGCAAGTCAGCGTGGGTGGGGGTCTCCTTCCAGGTCATTGCCCCTGTGTGGGGCAGGGGGGTGCTGCCCATCTTGGCAGAAGGCTCAATTACTTCTTGCCTGGTGCTGTTAAGGGGCTGAGGGGTGAACATTGGCTGAGCAGTGACAGGAAAGAGGGAGCCGGGCTGTTGCCCTTGTGTGTGGCGTGGGGCCCGCTGGGCACGGTGACACCCTCTGGGCTTCTAAGACTGAGCCCCAGGACAGCCTGGTGGCCCCGTGGAGAGCTTGGGTTCCTTGTCCAGGCCCACCAGCCAGTGGCTTCAAGGCCCTCTACACTCCCTGTAGCCTTCCTGCCCTGTTCCCAGTGGTGACTGCAGGGCTTGGTGTGGAGCGCAGTACCATGCACCAGGGTGCCTGACGCAGGCATCACTGTGTGTCCTGGAGGGTCTGGGCGGCTGTGCCCTGTGGCCTGCAGGGGCCTGGGGAGCTGCAGCGGACAGGCCCGGTGCCCTCCTGTCCCCAGCTCTGTCCTTGAGAAGTCCGCCATGTGAGTGGGAGCAAGGGCCCCTGACCTGGTGGTGCCCGGTGTGCCTGGGCTGCTCCGTGGTTGGGGCAGCCCCACCTGGGGGCCAAGAGCCCTGGCAGGGGACAGAGCATCAGCTCACCCCTGATCTCTGGCCTCAGGGGTTCTGGGCTCAGGAAATGTTCTTGTTGATGCTTCTGAAGTGGGGAAGGGCTGCCAAGGTCTGCAGGCAGAGCCCCTCTGGGGAGTTCCGGGCAGGGGAGGCCTGGGGACTGCAGCCCGGCAGGCTGGGGTTTTGAGGTGGGGGTGGGGGCCACGTGAAGCTGGGTGGGCCTGGTGAGGTCTGGACTGGGATGGGTACGGAGGAATCTTTGCCTGTTTTAGTGCTGTACAAGGTTCTCTCCAGGGCGTGGGACTGCCTGATGATGCTCTGGTGCCCGCTGTGTGCCCTGGTGTGTCGAGGAGGGGGAGCAGTGCCCTGGGGCTGGGGTTGCAGAAGGTTCCCCCGAATGCTTCCAGGGCTGGGCAGCATGGTGGGCCACATGCTGCATGCAGCTTGCTGGGGCACAGCCTGTGGGGTAGCCACCTGTGCTGCAGGCCCCCAGTTCCCCCGCACGTCCTGTGGGTCTGCTCCCCGAGGGCCGCCTCGCTAGCTGGTGACTGTGTGTGCCCTGGGTCTGTGTATGCAGGTGCACATGTATGTGCCTGAGCGTCCCGGGGCTGGGGCAGAGCCTGGCCCTGGCACCTGATGGGCAGCAGGCTGCGTGGCGGTCACCTGTTCTCTGGCTCCTGGGGGCGGCCACTCTTGCACTTGGCTTCCTGAGGAGGGGACTGGGCCCTGGCACTGACTCTGGGGTTTCCCACTCACTCCTGCCCTGGGTGCCCCTGGGGGCCTGGCACAGCCACATAGCGGCCATCTGTGATGGGGGCACTGTGTCTCTTCTCGGTAACCGGGTGGGGGGACCACCGGCTGCAGAAGGCTCAGCACCTGGATTGGCTCTGCACCCCACTAGGGGTTCGACACAGTGTGTCCTGATTCCCCTCCCCTCCCTTCTGGTCAAGGTGAGCCCCCTTCCCCCAGGCCACTCAGCTTCTCCAGGAGGACTTGGGGCCTGGCCACCCCCACCCCGTGGCCAGGTCCTGGGTCAGGCCAGAGAATTCCTCCAGCTGGAAACTTTGGGCCATGCAGGGCCCCCCAGTTCGCAGGCATCCTCACTCCACTCTGGCCTCGTTCGGCTGCCAGGACGCTCTTGGTCCAGCTCCTCCATGCGGGAACTTGGGTAGCCGGTCAGGGTTGGGGTTGAGGGGGCCACACAGCCAGCTCCTCAGCGGTCAGCTCCACCTGCCCCTCCCTCCCCAGCGCACACTGGCTCCGTCTGTCCCCACAGACGCCCCACCCTGCTGTGTTGTTGACCAGCATCAGCCCCTGCCGCAGTGAGTGCTCCTTCCTTGGGAAGCCCCCGTTGTCCCTACTGGGTCAGGAGTCCCGTCCGACCTGGGCAGGTGCTGCCTCGGGCTCTGTAGAGGGGTGGATACCACTGGCCTGGGCTGTAGAGGCGTCCTGGGAGGTGCAGGGTGCACTGGAAAGTTGGAGGAGGCCGTTTCCAGCCAGTGTCCTGGTCCTAGCTCGTGTCTTCTCCCAACAGAGGGGTCATGACGCTGCACGTGTGTCCCTGCCTGGGTGTCTCTCCCTGTGCTGAGGGCTGTGTTCTGGGGAAGCACCCCCTCCTTGCTCCCTGTAGGAGCCAGGCCCCATGGGGAGGAGCCACCTGGCCACAGGAGGGAAGCCGGGCAGCCCCAGCCCTGCATCCTCTGTACCTGCCCTGGCCGGCCCCCACACCCACACCGTTCTCCCTACGAATGTCCACTGAGTATCTGCTGTATGCCAGGCCTCGGGACACCACGAGCACGGGAGAGGGGCTTGGGTGTGGGTTTGGACCACGTGGCCAGGACGGGCCCTTCCAGAAGAGATATTGGAGCCCCCGAGGAGCTACGGGGTGAGGGGTGTCGGAGAGGGCACTTCAGATGGGGCAGGTGTTCGGGGAGCTGATATGAGGGCCTGTGAAGACGGGGAAGGGCAGGCCGCAGGGGGTTCCTGCCTCCGTCCCTCCAGACTGCAGCTTCTTCCCCTCCATCCCAGGGCCTGCCCACCTCCACCCTCCCTGGGCCCTGGGAAAGAGGAGCCTCTGTCTGGGGACAGTGTGTGTGTGACAAAGCGTGTAGGCAGAGCGGCCTCTGGGCCTTGCTGCTGTGGGAAGCCCCTGCTCCTCCTCCTTCCCTAGTTGTGTTTTTTACAGCTGGGCAGGGGTGGGGGGGGCGGCGGGAGGATTTGGAGGCATCCGCCTTCTTGGCGCACTGCCTCCGAGTCTAGTCCTCCATACCTGACAGCAGTGAGGCCCTGTCTCAGACTCAGTTTACTCTCATGTCTCGCTCCCATGTGGCCCTTGGTGTCCTGCCTGTGCTGGGGGCCTCTCGGCTGTGGCTAAGTGTGTGTGCAGGGCAGGGGCTGTGCTGGAGGAGGAGGCTGGGGGGTGTCTTGGCAGGGTGCACGGCCCCGGAGGTGGCACAGTGCTGCTGTCATGCCCCGGCGGGGGTTCCCTGTGTTTCTTCCTGGCTGCAGTGCGAGGCAGCCGGTCTTCCCACCAGGTGCCTGTGCCCTCAGGTCCTGACTCAGTTTCCCCATAGGCTGCGTGGGTTGGACGCCCGTCCAGGTGGCGTGGTGCCCTGGCCGCTGTCCTGGTGTGATCATTCCCCAGGAATCTGGGGGGATGGGCTTCCTCCTGGGCAGGCCCTCCTGCGGGGGGTCTTGGGCCGGCAACAGCAGGGGGTCCGGGGAGCCCAGGTGGGGGTGGGATAGGCCTGGCGAGGGGGAGGGAGGCTGTTTGCTTTAGGATAAGCCTGGCTCCTCTGGCCCAGCTGCCTCTGCCCGTGCCTACAGCGCTTGCAGGCCGGCCCTGGGGGCCACGCTTCCGGCCATCCAGCGGTCATTTGTCTCTGCCCCCTTTCTCAGTGGTGACCACAGGCGGGGGTCCCGCCTCCCTGTCTGTGCCTGTCATCCTGCACCTCCCGCATGCCTTTGGGGACCCTTACCTCACCAAGCCTTGCTTGTATCTGCCTGGGGCAGGGTGGGGGCTGGGAAACCTTCCCGAAGTGTAGCTGGGGCTTTCAGCCTCTGAGGTGGGCTCCCTCCCCAGATGTGGGGGGCTGGGTCAGTGTGCTCCCACCCAGGACAGGGCCAGGCACTCGCTCTCTTGCTTCTTCTGGACAGTTGTGTGGGTGAACACTTGTGTGCACCCATGAACATGCACGTGTGAGGCCTGTGCCCAGGTAGCCAGCCAGGAGGCCCAGGCACCCCTGCAGGCTGTGGGCCACAGGGGCTGGGCTGGCCAGGGGCCTTGGCCACTCCCCCTTGGTCCCGGGAGGCCCTGTGGGTGGTGGGATTTCAGGCAGCGACAGGTGCTGGTGGGGTCAACCTGGGGTGCGTCTGGGACCTGGGCCGGCTGGGAAGGGGTCAGGAGGCCCCAGTGCTGTGGGCCCTGCAGCCGCTTCCTCCCCGGGACAAATTTGCCAGAGCTGCCCCCAGCCCTGGGCAGCTCACAGAACCACACTGAGGGGGTGGTGGGCTGGCAGCCCCCCACAGCCGCCATCTCATTTCCTCTCCGGGGAGCTGCAGGGAGGGTAGGGAAGGAGGGGCTTCAGGGCTGGGGCCCATGGCCTGGGTGGGAGGGTCCTGAGTTGAGGGAGAGACGTGAGTCAGAGAAGAGACCCCCACATGTTTTCTCAGAGAGGCCAAGGACTGGGATGGGCCGGGTGAGCCAGGGCTGAGAAGAATCCCTCCCTCCAGAGCCTCAGCCCACCCTTTGTGTTTCTGGGCACAGCAGGGAGGCGCCGTGTCTCCACTCCCAGCCCCAGCGGCCAATGATGCCTGTGGGCTCAGAACCTAGAGGCCCTGGGCAACGCCCCCTGTGCTATCAGCACTGATTGGGAGGCCTCCAGAGAGGTGATAGGGATTCTCTGTGAGGGTCCCTGTCCCCAGACTTGGGGGTCAGAATGGGAGCTGCTCCCTGAGTGTCTGAAGACGCCAGTGGGAGACGTCACAGGGCCACTGTTAACTGTGTATTGGAGGAACACGCGGCCCCAGGCCCCATCGAGATGGCCTGGAGCAGCTGCTACCTCTTGGTGTTCTGCACGCAGCCTGGACGCTCCCAGACAGCAGTGGCTGCAGTGCGGGATGGACACTGTCACCCATGGGCTGGCGAGAGATGCCCTGGGAACTGTGGGGTGCCTGCGGCCGCCTCTCCGACATGGAGAGCAGTGAGTGGGCTGTGGTCGCCGCTGCAGGACTTGGGAGCAGCACGTGGGGAGTGGGGCACGCAGGGCCCTCCTTTCCCAGGAGCTCCATCCAGGTACAGGCCCTGCGGTGCCCCGAGTTTCTGAGGCCTGCAGGGTCTGTGTGTTCTAGGTTCATCTTCCTGGCCGGCTTGGCACTGCCCACTGGGGCTGGTCACACACACACAGAACCCTGGCCCTGCCTTCCAGCCCAGAGGCACCCAGGCAGGGGATGGGGTGGGGTGGGGACTGAGGCAGGGGATGGGGTGGGGACCCAGGCAGGGGATGGGGTGGGGACCCAGGCAGGGAATGGGGCGATGGGGCGGGGTGGGGACCCAGGCAGGGGAAGGGGCGGGGTGGGGACCCAGGCAGGGGATGGGGTGGGGTGGGGACCCAGGCAGGGGAAGGGGTGGGGCTGGGGTGGGGACCCAGGCAGGGGATGGGGCGGGGTGGGGACCCAGGCAGGGGAAGGGGCGGGGTGGGGACCCAGGCAGGGGATGGGGTGGGGTGGGGACCCAGGCAGGGGAAGGGGCAGGGCTGGGTGGGGACCCAGGCAGGGGATGGGGCGGGGTGGGGACCCAGGCAGGGGAAGGGGCGGGGTGGGGACCCAGGCAGGGGATGGGGCGGGGTGGGGACCCAGGCAGGGGAAGGGGCGGGGTGGGGACCCAGGCAGGGGATGGGGCGGGGTGGGGACCCAGGCAGGGAATGGGGGTGGGGTGGGGACCCAGGCAGGGAATGGGGTGGGGACCCAGGCAGGGGAAGGGGTGAGGTGGGGACCCAGACAGGGGGTGGGGTGGGATGGGGACCCAGGCAGGGGATGGGGTGGGGCGGGGACCCAGGCAGGGGATGGGGTGGGTTCCTTTCTGCCAGGAAAGGAGGCCTCTGCCAGGAAAGGAGGGCTCGGCTTCTCCACATAGGGTGGGATGGTGCAGGTGGCCATGTGGAGCCGCAGCCTTTCTGCTCCTGTGGGTTTCACAGGTGGTGGGAGGACATACTGGCTGCCCCCCAGACAGGAGCGGCAGTGCCCGTGGTCAGCCCGAGCTACGTCTCTCCAGAGGCTTGCTCTCTGACCCCAGGGCCTTGGGGTCATGCCCCCTCAAGGCTAAGGTGCCTGGCAGGGTACGGCCCTTGGGGGTGGGCAGACAGACCTGGGCATCTGTGGTCCCTGAACTCAGGTCTGATATTGACACAGACGTGGGTGCTGCACAGACTCTCATCCACACATTGCACAGGCTCAGGCAGCCCGCCGTGCTCGGTTGCTTGTGGATAGCTGTGGGGTCGCTGGCCCATGCCCAGGCCCGGCTGGGCCCTGGGCTGATGGTTGGGTGGGAATTAGGTGAGGGGCCTGGGGCCTCTTTGGGACCCACCAGGCCCCCCATCCCCCTACTGCCCTTGTCCTTGGGGGGCCACTGTCCCCTCTGACCTCGGGTGTACGGCTGCTTCCTGTATGACCAGAAGGAGACTCTGCCCTTTTGGTTGGTGGTTTTCGAGAGTTACCAAGCGCAGCTGTTTTGCATCCTCTGGGGACCCTGCTCCCTTCTCGTGTCTCAAAGAGCCAGCCTCTGGGGCCACGGGGCTGCCCCGGCCATGAGAGGCTGCTGACGTGGTGTTTGCTGGGCCAGTGCTCAGGGCTTTGGTGCATGTGGGCAGCTGAGGCCTGGGTCAGGGGCACTGCACCTCGGCCCCTCTGCTCATCTTGGGCAGGTGACCCAGGTGGAGCTCAGGCCCGAGGTCTGTGCTGGGCCGTGGGTCCCCTTTTGACCGCCCCCCCGGCTCCGGACCCCAAGCCCCTCCTCGCTGACTGTTCCTCGGTCCCACCCGCAGGCCCCCCAAAGATGGCGGACAAGGTGGTCCCACGGCAGGTGGCCCGGCTGGGCCGCACTGTGCGGCTGCAGTGCCCAGTGGAGGGGGACCCGCCGCCGCTGACCATGTGGACCAAGGATGGCCGCACCATCCACAGCGGCTGGAGCCGCTTCCGCGTGCTGCCGCAGGGGCTGAAGGTGAAGCAGGTGGAGCGGG
Organism: Homo sapiens; assembly: GCF_000001405.40. Taxonomy (NCBI): domain Eukaryota; kingdom Metazoa; phylum Chordata; class Mammalia; order Primates; family Hominidae; genus Homo; species Homo sapiens. Next base: position 1,022,398 of record NC_000004.12, read on the forward strand.
AGGATGCCGGCGTGTACGTGTGCAAGGCCACCAACGGCTTCGGCAGCCTGAGCGTCAACTACACCCTCGTCGTGCTGGGTTAGTCGCTGCTGCGGTCAGAGGTCATGGGCTGGGTTGGAGCCAGGCAGGGGTGTGCAGGAGGGCGGACGGGGACACACCTGGGGCCCGAGAGTCAGCCAGCCCCCGGCAGAAAGCCTTCCTTCGGTGCCCTGCCCCACCTCAGCTGGCTGCACCTCTGCCACCATCCCCCAGGTATCCTGTCCCGTTCCTGTCCCCGTCAGGCTCCAGCCTCGGAGCCTTCCTCCCAGCGGAGGGCGGAGGGTGGAGGGCGGGAGCCGAAGGCAGTGGTCCCACAGAAGGGCTGGGGCCCGAGGCCTTGGCAGGGTGTGCCGGCCGTCGGCTGTGACTTTGAGGCTCGGGTTTCGGAGTTCAGAGGAGCCGCCGGGATGCGTGGCCTTTCTGTTCTCTTCTGCGCCTGGGGCCCGGGCGCTGGGCTTGGACAGGTGTCCAGAGAGACACGCCCTCCATACCTAGGGACCCGGCACCCCGCCTGCTCCGCTGGGCTCCTGGGTGTGGGGCCCTCGGGTGGAGCTCCTGGGAGCTGGGCTGGCCCGTTTCTTTTTTTTTTTTAATTCTACTTTAAGTTTTAGGGTACATGTGCCCGTTTTCTGAATACAGGAGCCTGGCCCAGGCCCCAGCAGGGTCTGGGGGTGCGGCCTGAGACAGCCTGGTCCTGGGCTCAGTGAAGGAGCGGCTGTCACAGGGTGGATGGAGGGGACATTCCACAGCACGCCCTGCCCCTCGGCATTGTGTGGAATGGGAAAACTGGCTGTCCCCCACCCCCACCCCACAGTCCTTTCAAAGGGGACGATGACCGGGTGGTATGAGAGTCTCGTCTGTTCACCAGCCCTCGGCCCCTTGATGTAGGCTAGGGTTACTGCAGCTGCTGGCCGGGCCCGGCTCCCTCCTCCCCCGGGGCCTGCAGACCCCCCGGAGCCAGAATGGGGGCCGGCCCTCCAGCCCCACCCGTGCCCATCAGGGTCACCTGCGCCCAGTGTGGGCCAGCGGCCCTTGCCCAGCTGTCCCTGGGATTCTGGGCTGTGGGTGTGTGGCGCAGCCCCCTGCCTGGGTGTCCAGGGCTGTCCCGGCTGGGGCTGGGGGAGCTAGAGGCCACGGGGGAGTTGGGGGAGCTCCTCAGGGCCCCCCTCACCTGCCCTCCCTGTGCACCTCCGTCTCTCTGCAGATGACATTAGCCCAGGGAAGGAGAGCCTGGGGCCCGACAGCTCCTCTGGGGGTCAAGAGGACCCCGCCAGCCAGCAGTGGGGTGAGCAGGGGGTGACGGGGGTGGGGGGCGTCCGTCTGTCCCGGCCCCTTGGCTGCATCCCCGTCCTCTGACCTCCACGCCACCCCACCCCGCAGCACGACCGCGCTTCACACAGCCCTCCAAGATGAGGCGCCGGGTGATCGCACGGCCCGTGGGTAGCTCCGTGCGGCTCAAGTGCGTGGCCAGCGGGCACCCTCGGCCCGACATCACGTGGATGAAGGACGACCAGGCCTTGACGCGCCCAGAGGCCGCTGAGCCCAGGAAGAAGAAGTGGACACTGAGCCTGAAGAACCTGCGGCCGGAGGACAGCGGCAAATACACCTGCCGCGTGTCGAACCGCGCGGGCGCCATCAACGCCACCTACAAGGTGGATGTGATCCGTGAGTGTGGCCCCGGGCGCTGGCGGGCGGGGGGTGCTGGTGGGCGGGGGCGCTGGCGGGCGGGGGTGCTGGTGGGCGGGGGCGCTGGTGGGCGGGGGCACTGGCAGGGCTTGGGGGTGGTGGGCTGGGGGTGCTGGTGGGCCCAGGGTGCTGGCGGGGTAGAGTCCGGCGCGGCCCAGGAGCCATGCCCGCGTGCCACGTTCCCACAGAGCGGACCCGTTCCAAGCCCGTGCTCACAGGCACGCACCCCGTGAACACGACGGTGGACTTCGGGGGGACCACGTCCTTCCAGTGCAAGGTGCGCAGCGACGTGAAGCCGGTGATCCAGTGGCTGAAGCGCGTGGAGTACGGCGCCGAGGGCCGCCACAACTCCACCATCGATGTGGGCGGCCAGAAGTTTGTGGTGCTGCCCACGGGTGACGTGTGGTCGCGGCCCGACGGCTCCTACCTCAATAAGCTGCTCATCACCCGTGCCCGCCAGGACGATGCGGGCATGTACATCTGCCTTGGCGCCAACACCATGGGCTACAGCTTCCGCAGCGCCTTCCTCACCGTGCTGCCAGGTGCGCGGCTGCCACGCCACGCCACACCATGCTGGTGCCCGGACCCGCCCCCTGGGCCCGGCGTCCCACCCACCGGGTGGGGCCCCACCCTTCCCTCCCGGGCCGTGCTGGCCAGGTCATCTGCCGAGGGAGGGCAGCCCAGGGGCACCGTCTCCACAGCCCCTGGGATGGGTCTGGGGTGCTCTCCTGGTCTTTGTGTCGGCGTTCCCCTCCCTACCTCCTTTCCTCTCGCTCTTGCAGACCCAAAACCGCCAGGGCCACCTGTGGCCTCCTCGTCCTCGGCCACTAGCCTGCCGTGGCCCGTGGTCATCGGCATCCCAGCCGGCGCTGTCTTCATCCTGGGCACCCTGCTCCTGTGGCTTTGCCAGGCCCAGAAGAAGCCGTGCACCCCCGCGCCTGCCCCTCCCCTGCCTGGGCACCGCCCGCCGGGGACGGCCCGCGACCGCAGCGGAGACAAGGACCTTCCCTCGTTGGCCGCCCTCAGCGCTGGCCCTGGTGTGGGGCTGTGTGAGGAGCATGGGTCTCCGGCAGCCCCCCAGCACTTACTGGGCCCAGGCCCAGTTGCTGGCCCTAAGTTGTACCCCAAACTCTACACAGACATCCACACACACACACACACACACTCTCACACACACTCACACGTGGAGGGCAAGGTCCACCAGCACATCCACTATCAGTGCTAGACGGCACCGTATCTGCAGTGGGCACGGGGGGGCCGGCCAGACAGGCAGACTGGGAGGATGGAGGACGGAGCTGCAGACGAAGGCAGGGGACCCATGGCGAGGAGGAATGGCCAGCACCCCAGGCAGTCTGTGTGTGAGGCATAGCCCCTGGACACACACACACAGACACACACACTGCCTGGATGCATGTATGCACACACATGCGCGCACACGTGCTCCCTGAAGGCACACGTACGCACACACGCACATGCACAGATATGCCGCCTGGGCACACAGATAAGCTGCCCAAATGCACGCACACGCACAGAGACATGCCAGAACATACAAGGACATGCTGCCTGAACATACACACGCACACCCATGCGCAGATGTGCTGCCTGGACACACACACACACACGGATATGCTGTCTGGACGCACACACGTGCAGATATGGTATCCGGACACACACGTGCACAGATATGCTGCCTGGACACACAGATAATGCTGCCTTGACACACACATGCACGGATATTGCCTGGACACACACACACACACGTGTGCACAGATATGCTGTCTGGACACGCACACACATGCAGATATGCTGCCTGGACACACACTTCCAGACACACGTGCACAGGCGCAGATATGCTGCCTGGACACACGCAGATATGCTGTCTAGTCACACACACACGCAGACATGCTGTCCGGACACACACACGCATGCACAGATATGCTGTCCGGACACACACACGCACGCAGATATGCTGCCTGGACACACACACAGATAATGCTGCCTCAACACTCACACACGTGCAGATATTGCCTGGACACACACATGTGCACAGATATGCTGTCTGGACATGCACACACGTGCAGATATGCTGTCCGGATACACACGCACGCACACATGCAGATATGCTGCCTGGGCACACACTTCCGGACACACATGCACACACAGGTGCAGATATGCTGCCTGGACACACGCAGACTGACGTGCTTTTGGGAGGGTGTGCCGTGAAGCCTGCAGTACGTGTGCCGTGAGGCTCATAGTTGATGAGGGACTTTCCCTGCTCCACCGTCACTCCCCCAACTCTGCCCGCCTCTGTCCCCGCCTCAGTCCCCGCCTCCATCCCCGCCTCTGTCCCCTGGCCTTGGCGGCTATTTTTGCCACCTGCCTTGGGTGCCCAGGAGTCCCCTACTGCTGTGGGCTGGGGTTGGGGGCACAGCAGCCCCAAGCCTGAGAGGCTGGAGCCCATGGCTAGTGGCTCATCCCCACTGCATTCTCCCCCTGACACAGAGAAGGGGCCTTGGTATTTATATTTAAGAAATGAAGATAATATTAATAATGATGGAAGGAAGACTGGGTTGCAGGGACTGTGGTCTCTCCTGGGGCCCGGGACCCGCCTGGTCTTTCAGCCATGCTGATGACCACACCCCGTCCAGGCCAGACACCACCCCCCACCCCACTGTCGTGGTGGCCCCAGATCTCTGTAATTTTATGTAGAGTTTGAGCTGAAGCCCCGTATATTTAATTTATTTTGTTAAACATGAAAGTGCATCCTTTCCCTCCAGGCTGGTGTTTCTGCCCATGTCTACATGCACGTGTGCATGCTCGTGTGTGCTCACATTTGTGCCTGTGTGTCAGGCCTGGTCTCCAGAACCAGCAGCCTAACCCTCTTGGAGTCCCCTCGCTGGGCCAGAGCCACAGGGGCTGAGAACTGCACCTCCCGGCGGGAGAGTTTGGGTATACTGGGCTTCGGTGGTGTTGGGCGTGAGCACTGCCCACATGCCTGGCCAGGCCTGCGTCCTGCACCCCTGTCCCAGCGGCGCCCTCTCTGTGTCCTGGGGCTGGCACCTATGGCCCTCAGTGCAGGGCCTGGCCACTCCCCAGCCCCTCCTCAGGCTTTGGTGGGTGGCCCTACAGGAGGCAGCAGACTGGCCTCAGAGCTGGGGATGGGGCCAGGCTCAGGTCACCTCTGACCTCAGGGCTCCGTCCGAGTGCCCTCCCAGCCACCCTGCGGTGCTGCGACGGTGGCCGACCCCATCTTACCCGGTCAGCAGGAGGGGTGGGGCTGCCAGCTCCACCCGGGGCCCTTGCCTGCCGGGGGTTCCGTTAGCCTCGTAAGAAAAGGCACCGGGGCCCCTCGTGCATTCAGCAAAGCGTGAGGCCCACTGCGTCCCCGGAGCCTGGTCCTGCTGGCGTGCAGCGCGCTTCCTGACCCGCTCTGGTTCTGAGAGCTTTTCCCTGGAGGAAGCTCACCCTGCCTGGCTTCAAAGACGACAGGTGGGCTCTGGGGAGAGGTGTCAGGGACCTCTCCCCAACTGGAGCTTCTGGGGACCCCATGGCTTTCAAGATGTCCCCTTTTTGTTCTCTGTCCTCCCCAGGGTAGACCCTACTTCTCTCCCCTGAGGAAGTCCTGACTCCTTGGACGGTGACAGCTTCAGGCATGGCCCTGGTAAGGGCTGCGTGTGGCTGATGGGTGCTGTGGGAGGCCTGGCCACCCTGACTGGGGGACAGTGGGGGCTCCACGCGGCCCACAGCTGGCAGCCAAACAGATGTTCCCCAGACAGGACAGGCTGCAGGCCGACGCCTGGTCGGGTTTCAGTCTGGAGTAGGGGAGGGTGGAAGGGAGACCTCAGGCGTCTGGCCACCTTGGGCAGCAGGGAGGCCTCAGGCAGCGGGTCATGGGGTTGCAGAGGACAGGCTGCCCCTCCCCAGGGAGTGGGCGGAGGGATGGGCAGTCCGAGAGGGCTGTCCCCTAGAGCCTCTGAAGGAGACACTGGGACCGCAGACCCCACGCCTGCACCCTGCCTGCTGTGAGGTCCAGGCCCCCACTCAGGGCCACCCTTGACTTGTGGTCCAGCCCATCTTGCGCCTGCCCACAGGAGGTGCTGACTAGTGCTGTGTGGTCCTCAACGGACAGGTCTGGCACAGCCTAGCCTCTGGGTCTTGGGCTCTGGACTTTGTCATGCTGTGGCCACGTTGGATGCCAGGCTGGGCAGGGGGACCCCAAGGAGTCAGGACAGACCCATCTCCTGCCTATGGGGCCCCAGCCACCCCCGGGCCAATAGCCTGGAGCTCAGACCCCTCAGTCCTTCCCTAGCCTTCCTCAGGGGCTGCCTGGAGCCCCTGCTTTCTCCCCTGCGACTTCCAGACCCTTCCCCCTTGGCCGTCCAGTCCCGAGAGCCTTGCTCCCGCCCCCACGCCCCTCTGTTCGGCGGTCTCCAGCCTGAGCCTGCCGGGGCCCTGCCCTGTGGACGCCTGGCCTGTGTTCCTGGCTGTCTCTTGCCTGGCCCTGCCCCGTGGACTCCTGTCCCCGTGGCTCCTGTCCCCCCACCAGCCACACGGCCATCCCGATGCCGTTTCCCGCATCTCCGTCACGGCAGCACGCGTCTGTGCCCTGCGCCGGCTCCCTCGTCACATCTGCACGTCCACACTCCCAAGAACAAAATTGCGTTCCCCTCCCCTCCACGTGCAGGAGGCCTGGGAGCACAGAGGCCCCGTGTGCTTCGAGGACTTGAGGCAGGAGGCGGGCAGAGGCGCCCAGGGCGTGAGTGTGGCCAGCAGGACAGAGGGCAGGACTGCGCTTCTGACAGTGGTCTGCTCCGGCCAAGCACCTGAAAGATGGGGAGCCCTTCACCCCAGGCTCACTGGCCAGGAGGCTCGAAGGGCCGGGTGGGGCTTGTGGGAGGTGGGGGTGCCGCTCTGTGGGCCCCGTCTCACCTGTCCTGCCCGGGTCACCTGCACACCATTGCACCATGGGGGCTCCAGGCCCAGGAAGAGACCGACACACACGCGTCGGGAGGCTCCTTGGGGGCCAGCGGGCTTCTGGGCAATGCCCTTGCAGGGGTGGGGCTGGGGCATGGAATCTGAGGGGCAGGGCGACCGAGGGGGCCCAGGGAGAAGGGAGGAGCCCAGAGTGGCAGCCGTCTCCCCAGGGAGGGGCTGCACCTGGGGCTTCCTGGCTCTTCCACTGTCACCCTTCACGTGGGCAAGACCAGGTCCCATGCCCTTGGCCACCACAGGAAGGTCATGGGGCAGCTCGTGCTGTGGGGACGGGAACAGGGCTGGGCACCCGTCCCTGGCTCTGTCCTGGGCTGCTGGTGGTGTGGGTTGTAGTGGTGGGGGTTGCAGCCCAGGAGTCAACGGAGGGGACCTGGCTGTGTCCTCAGGGCGGCCCCCAGGCCAGGCCCTTTGGGTACGAGATGGTGGTGCCCGGGGGAGGCTCAGCATGGCGGGGCAGGGTGTGGGCACGGGGCCAGGCCCATGGTCCTCCCTGGCCCTGTCCTGGTGGTGATAAGCTGCTTCCCTGTAAAGCCCGGCTAACTTGAAAGTGCTGCCCAGGCTCCAACACCCCCGGGTGTGACCCGCCCCCGCCCGGCCCTCCTGGCTTCAAAGGGGTGCCCATAAGCCGCCTGCAGCTGTCCCGGGGGTGCCTGCGTCTGCTGCCAGGGACAGGGTGGCAGCATGAGGCAGAGATAGGGGATGTGGGCAGCCCCACCCAATGGGCCCGTGGGTCAGAGGACCTGGCCAGAGATCACAGCCTTGTCCCAGGCCGAGGCTGGGGGCTGGGGGACCGGGTCAGGAACGTGGGACGAGGAGCACAGATGGGGCCCAAGCCAGGAAGAGGGGTGCAGGCCAGGAAGAGGGGTCCAGGCTGTGTGCTCGGGGTGCACGATGGGACTCCCCGCACAGCAGAGATCCGGCCCTGGGACACAAGGCTCCAGGACGCAGGGACCAGCCAAGCCTCCCTGGGGCACTGTGTGGGCCCCGGACCTGCTGTGGGGCTGGGGTTTGCCAGGGGTCCCCCAGGATTTGAACATGGGAGCACCTCCTGGAGGCAGAGGCAGGGAGGCCACAGGGCCAAGTGTGTGGGGCACTGGGCCCCTCGGGCTGGGCTGGGACAGTCCCCCTCCCATGGCTGGAGCTAGCTTCTGGTAGGAGAAGCTTCCAGATGTCCCGGGGGACAAGAGTGCTGGGTGGAGCCACGCTGGGTGAGGCGGGGCAGGGACGCGGTGGGCGGGGCCTGGTGGTCTCGGGCTCTCTGTGCCCTGTGCTGGCCTCACAGTGTGCCCGGCCCAGGTGGCTGCCTGGGTTGGGGAAGGGGCTCTCCTGGGGGCTGGTGGGGCCTGGCGGGTCCTGGGCCTCAGCCACACAAGACCCAGGCCTGTGTTCCAGGGCTCTGGGTTGCCGATGAATTTTAGGTTTGCATTGCAGTGCCTGAGGAGAGACGCCAGTCCCTGAGAAACACCGGCTCTGCCCAGGGGCCGCACTCGCCACCGTTGGCCTCCTCTGCTCGGCCTGTCTCTCCCTTGCCTCTGCCTTGGGAGGAGTGTGGCCAGCGAGGGGATGCAGGTGGGTCTCCCCGGAAGGCTCCCGCCACTGTGCTGGCAGCTGCATGCTGGGCCTGAGTGGGTGTGGCCAAGGCTGGGGCTCCCTGTGGGCTCTTGAAGCAGAGGCGGCCTTGGCCCCATGGGAGGGTTTCCCATTCCCTTCCGCAGCCTTGGGCAGGAGCCCAGGTGGGTCTAGGGGCTGGGCCCACCTCTGGCCTCGTGACCCAGGCCGGCTTTGACACACGTGGGAGGTGAGGGTGCCACTCTGTGGGTCCCGATCATGCCCGTTCTACACTAGTCACCTGCAAAGCCTGCTGCTCCCCTGTCCCCCAGTCCCCCAGTGCCACCCAGAGAGCCACCCTCGCGCCACACAGGCTGGTCAGGCAGCCTCTTTGTGACCTGTGCCCTGGCTCCACTGGGGCTGTTCCTCCTGGTCAGCCCCTTCCCCAGTCGCCTGGTCACTGCCTGACTGTATGCAGCTCCTCAGCAGTCCTGACCCCATGGGCAGCTCTGTCCTCAAGCACCAGCTCCACCTGCTAGAGCCCAACCAGGGCAGAGAGAGGTCCTCCTAATTCAAGCCCCCCAGGGCACCCCAGCTCTCTTCAATCCTTGCCTGGGCTCCAAGGCCCCCAGACCCAGGTTCCTGGGCTCGAGGGTCTGTGCAGGGGCAGGGGCCACCCACTCAGGCAGTTTGATTCAGTGACTGGGGAGAAGGGGGGCTGGTGGCCGCAGGGTGGGGCTGGGGGCCCCTGGAGCAGCTGCCATGTTCTGAGGCTTCCTTGTCCCCATGGCAGAGTGCTGGGGTGGCCAGGCTTGGCACGCAGCACCCAACACGGTGGAGAGAGTGCTTAACCTGGGGTCAAAAGGTGGCCTCTCTGGCCCCCTCACCCTGAACCTCAGCCTGGGTCACGGCAGGGCCTCTGCCTGGGGGCCGAATTCAGGGGTCCTGCTGGGAGCATGAGTCCTGAGTACAGTGGGGCTGGGGCACTTGGGGGGCTCCTGCAGCCTGAGAGATGGGGACCAGTGGGCGCCCAGGGACATCCAGCCCTGCAGGATGCTGTGACGGACGCCAGGTCCCACCTGTCTCCCCGTGCCGGTGTGTCGACTGCAGCAGGAACTCCCTGGTGTCCAGCAGAAAGACCGGGACTCGGAGGGTGGCCAGAGTGTCATTTTATTCTCTTTAACAGGAGGTCTGGCCACCAGTCCTGGCCTCTGGTGATTTGGCCAGGGCCACAGCCGACAAAAGGGGTGGTGAAGCTCCACTCTCCACAGAGGGACCCAGGGACCCTGAAAAGACCTCAGATGCCCTGAGACCCCTGAGGAAGGCAGGGCCAAGAGAGTGGGCACGGCCGTCCTGGGAGCCCAGGGCCCAGCTGCTAGGATCCCGGAGCCAGGGGCTGCCGCAGGGCAGCCCTGGATGTGCCCTCCTGGGCACGCAGGCCGACATGGATTCTGTGGCTGAGGCCGTCAGCGTGTGAAAGCCACAGACACAGGCGGGCCCGGAGTGCCTGTCCACCCCGAGGCGCCTGCCCTGGCCCGGCCTCTCCTTCCTGGGTGTCGGAAGACCTTCATCTATGCCCCTGCCCTGTACCCGCTCAGTGGGCTGAGCACGGGCAGGGTGTGGTTCTGAGGGGCAACCCCACCAGCCTGCTTGGGCCCCAGCGTCTTCTCAGCGTCTGCCTCCTGTGAAAACCTTCCACTCAGTAAAGGAGCACAGTAGGTTGGTTGCCGGGCCAGGCTGGGGGCACAGTGGCTGCTGGGGGCCGAGGCGGCTCCTGGGGTGTGTCCTCTGGGAAGATGCTCTCTGCCTCAGGGCTGGGCGCAGCCGTGTGCCTTGTACACGGGCCTCAGATGTGGTGGGAGAGCGAGGGGGAGGGAACTTTGGGACCAGCTAGGGGCGAGATGCCCACTCCGGGGCCCCAGGTGAGGGCTGTGGGAGGAGGAGCCGAGGCAGCTGCAGCCCCGCCTGCTCTCTGTGGCAGCCGCATCTGGCCCAGCCGGCAGGTGGTGACAGCTGCCAGCAGCTGGCTGGGCGAGGGCTGGCCTGAGTCCGGGGTAGCGGTGGAGGCGGGGCTGTGTGCCCGGGTCCTCCAGGAGCCCCTGGAGTTACAGTGGGTAGGCGGTGGTCCAGGGAAGGGAGGACCACCTACCCCAAGCCCTGAAGGACCTTTGGAGACAGAGAGCAGCCCAGAGCATGGGGGACCGGTGGGAATCTGCCCTGATGCCATGTGGGGCTGGGGACTCCAGGATGCTCCGTCTGCCTCTGGGGTCTCCTGGTGTCTGGGGGCTCGCGGTGTCGGGGGCTCCCCTGGTGGGGAGTAGAGCTGCAGAGGACAGAAGAATGAGGGTCGCTGGCTAGAGTTGGGGTCCTAGCCTCTCCCTAAGGCGCAGGTCTTTGCTAGAAAGCAGCGGCCCCATGGTGGGGCCAGGCCAGGTGGGCTGCAGCCAGGAGGCCCTGGGACGAAGAGGCCACAGGCTTGCTGGGGAGAACTCAGCAGAGCCCACCCTAACCTTGACTTTCCTGGAAGGGTCCAGGGTCTCCAGCAAGTAGCTCCTCCCACACCTAGACTAGGGTGAGAGAGGGGTGCAGGGATCGGGACCGTGGCCTCCTCGTCCTCCAGTCCCCACCCACCTGTGCCCAGCTGCATCTCAGCAGCTGTTTTGGGACCGCCTACCCGGGTTAGCCCTGGCGCTGGCTTCTCCTTGGCTGGGATGCTTCACCCTCAGCACCCTGGGGAACAGGTAGGGTGGGTGGGTTTGTGCCTGGAACCCCAGGGGTGCCTGGCTTCAGGCAGCAGCAGCTGTGGAGGGTAGACCGCCTTTGTTGCGGCAAGACCAGCTGGACCCCTCTCCGGCCCGACTCCTGGGCACCTGCCATCTGTGAGCCTCCTTGAGGAATGGGCATCGGGCCGGACACCTTCTGTGGTCCCCTCACAATGCAGCCTGCGCCCGGCCTGGGCTCTGACCCTCTGATGTGTGGCAGGGAGGTGGAGCATCCCGAGGGTGGCCACCCCCATTCCCTCCTGACCCCAGGCTGCAGGGAGCAAGGACCCCAGCCTCCATCCTCATTGTCTGGTGTGGCCTGGTCAGTGCCCTGAGCAGCTCCCCACCCATCGTGCACCTGAACCAAGTCCTCTGGGGCCGGGCGGCCTCTCTGCACTGTCAGACCCCAGGCAACCACCTGGCCCCTCTGGCCCTCGGTGTCCTCATCTGTGACAGGGAGGAGCCACCGGCGACTGAGTAGATGGGAGGTGAGTCCAAGTCGCCCCGGAGCCCGCAGAGCTCAGGCCAGGCCCAGGCTCGGGGAGGGGCGGGGCGGTCAGGGTGGCGCCGGCCTTCACAGAGGCGAATTCCTTCTCTGTTCACAGCTTTTTCCTCCGTTTTTTTTCCTCTCTCTTCTTACTCCATTCCTTCCTGGAGCCCCTCCAAGACAATCGGCACCCGGCTCCACTTGGCGGCCACAAAGCCTCTTTGACGGCCCAGGTCCAACAGCGGGCGGCGGGGGTGGAGGCTGGGGCGGCAGACGCTGGAGGCCGGCAGGGCCCCGGCTGGGTCCGGCTGGCTGGGACGGGACAGAGGGAGTCTTCTGCTGGGGCTGGTGAGGCCTGAATCAGCCCCGGGGGTGTTGGGGTGGGGGTGTCTCTTGTACACGGGTGTCAGACCCAGACTTCCCTGCCAAAGGCTCTGCCCAGATGAGCCTGCTGTGAAATCGGTGCTCCCTGCCCGGCCAGCTGGGAGCTGCGTGCCCAGAGCTCAGCACCTCCCAGCTCCTCTGGTGGAAGAACAGATGGCTAGAGCCTGCTCGGGGCCATCCCTTGTGCCCCAGGTCGTTTTGGGGCAGGCTTACCTCACCGGCACCTCCTGGCCCAAGGCCTTGGAGCACCGTTCCCCTGACCCCGCGTCTCTCCTCAGAGCTGGGTTCTGAGTGTGGGCGTCCAGCCAGCCAGGGACCAGGCCTTGCTGGGGGCCCAGGCCCACCTGGGACGGGATGGTGCTTGCCATGGAGGATGGTGCTTGCCCGTGGATTGCCTGTCCACCTCCAAGGGCTTGGGTGGGCTTGCAAACAGTGGTGCTCATTAAATGCTTGGTTGGGGCCAGGTGCGGTGGCTCACACCTGTAATCCCAGCACTTTGGGAGGCCGAGGCAGGTGGATCACAAGGTCAGGAGATTGAGACCATCCTGGCCAACATGGTGAAACCCCGTCTCTACTAAAAATACAACAAATTAGCCGGGCATGGTGGCATGCGCCTGTAATTCCAGCTACTCGGGAAGCTGAGGTAAGAGAATCGCTTGAACCCAGAAGGTGGACGTTGCAGTGAGCCGAGATCGCGCCACTCTACTCCAGCCTGGGCGACAGAGGAAGACTCCATCTCAAAAAAAAAAAGAAAAAAAAGCTTGGTCGGAGGAGCTGCTGGACTTACGCTGTTGAGGCCTGTGGTGCAGGGCAGTGTTGGTGAGGCTTGGCCACTCTCCCCTCCTGGGAGCAGAAACCTGACTCCCTTTGACTTCCAAAAGCCAACCCTGCACATGGGCACCCCAGGGACCTGGGGTCAGGGAGGCCTGGCCACAGAGGGACGGCAGAGCCACTCATTCCTGGCCTGGCATGGTAGACGGGCAGTGGCAGACATTGCCAGACACAGGGGCGGGGGTACAGGCAGGGTGGGGGAGCAGGTAGGGTGGGCCAGGGCCAGACACCCTTGAGCCAGGGGTTATGGCACTAAGTGGCCACACAGAGGGAGGTGCCCATGGGCACAGGCGAGAGGCCGCCCGCTGCCCCAGACCACGGGAAGGAGTCGTGGTCCACGCAGCACAGGACTGGTGGCCGGGCTCCTGGCCCGTGGTCGGTGCTGCCGTGCTATCCCGGCTGGCAGGACTTACGAGGGTCGGCCTGGCCAGGGCAGCCTTGCTTGGCTGGAAGCACAAACGTTGTCTGCAGAGCCCTGCTGGGGCAGCAACCAGGCGGAGTGAGCATCGGGCCGGGACAGCGAGTGGCCCCAGAGTGAGGCACAATCCAGCCTTTGTTCCAAGGCAGCCCGGCCTGCAGGCCAAGAGGAAACGAGAGGCGCGCCAGGCAGCACCCCCGCCCGCCGGGCAGCACTCGGCCGCCAGGGCCCGGCCCTGCAGAGGAGCTGCGGGGGCCTTAGTCCGGAGGAGCAGGCACGGCCTCAGGCTGGCATCGGGACGTGGGTCCTGGAGCACAGCCCCGGGGCCATCCTGCCAGGAGTACGGAAGGTTCTGGAATTTGGAAAGCCATGCAAGGCCTGGGGTGGGGTGGGCCCAGGGAGACCCCCAGGGGAAGAGACAGTGCTGGGCCCACTAAGGGCCCTGAGAGGGTGGCCCTGGGTGAGGGTCCCAACTGTGTGGGTCGGGAAGCTCCATCCCCAGCTGCTCCCCCAGCCTGTGACCCAGCCTCCCACCCCAGGAGGCTCTGGCACCCCTCCCTCCACCCCACACCCTCCCGGCCCTCCCTTTCCCTGCCCCGGCCCTCACTCCTCCTCCACCCTCCCCGCCCCTCCGCTACCATGCCCCAGCCGTGCGCTGACCTTTTGGGTAACTGTGCTGGGGCACCCATGGGGGATTGGCCTGGCCTAGACCTGCAGGGTGCGTGTGGCCGCGGCTTGTGCGCCCAGTGCTGGCTGCAGGCGGGTCTGAGGTGCAGGTCCGCACAGACCCAGCTCCCCACTCGGCAGCCCACATTCCTCTGCCCTCTCGCCCCTCTGGGCCCAGCCCTTTCCTGGCTGCAGTGGAAGGCAGGGTCAACACAGTGCCCAGCCTGGTGGTCTGGAGGGCTCTGCTCTTCTTGCCATTCCCCAGGGCCCTCAGATGTGGCGGAGGGGCCTGCCACACACAGCACAGCTCCCCTGTCCCTCCATCCTCGCTGCAAAAGGGCAACCAGGGGCCCCCACCGGGCAGCTCTGCGGGGAAGTGTCCCCGGCCACCTCAGAGTCCCACCCTCTGCCCCGATGGGGGTACCAGTGTGTGCTCGTGTGTGTGGGGTGTGCATTGAGACCCTGTCTGCCCCCTTCCTCACCCCTTCCTTCACACCCCTTCCCTGGTGAGGCCGGGGCCAGGGAATTCGGGGGCTGGGGATCAGGTCCCAGTGCTCCCTGGCAGGCAGCTGCCCTGGGCCCCACACCCCACAGGCTACCCGAGGGGTCTCCTGGCCCAGGGCTGAGCGGGGACAGCTGGGAGGCCCTTCTCAGGAGGCATTTCAGCCTCCCCTGTGCCCAGCGGAAAGGTGGTCCCTGCACCCCCCCTGCTGGGCCAGATCCTTATCTCGGCCTCAGCTCCTTCCCAGCCAACTCGGCTGCAGGGGCCTGGCTGTGACCTCTGTAGACAGAGGTCCCCACGGAAGCCTGGACTCCCCGGGGGGCACACCTGACTTTCCCGTCGGCAGCCACGCGCTCCTGCGTAGGCCCTGGGCTCAGCCCTCAGTTGTGCTGGACCTACTGGACAGCTGGATACAGCCCACCCTGAAAGGGAGGGCCCTGGGAGGGGCAGTGGGGCCTGTTGGGGGCTGGGGGTTGTCACTATGTTCCCGAAGTGGTGCCGGGCAGACAGGGGCCGTCCGACTCCCAGGACTGCCGTGTGGGCCAGAGCGGAGTCCCCGGGGATGAGGGTCCCTGCCCAGGGAGGGCAAAGGGGCTGCTGTGGAGCCCCCTCCAGTGGGGCCTCAGCCTCGGCCGCCCAGCCTGGAGGGACTGAAGGCCTGAGGCCCTGTGAGCCAGAGAGAGTAGGGCCCCTAAGGTCTGGGACCCCAGCTCCCTGCCTGAGGGAGGGGGAGGGTCTGCCCAGGCCCGAATGGCCTGACCTCCTGGCTGTGAGTGTGTGGCCCTGGAGGCAGCTGTCCCCGACCAGCCTCCTGCAGGCAGCCCTGAGGAATGGCCTGACCTCCTGGCTGTGAGTGTGTGGCCCTGGAGGCAGCTGTCCCCGACCAGCCTCCTGCAGGCAGCCCTGAGGCCCGGGCCGCGGTGCGGGTGGCTGCTGCTACACACCTGAGGGACCACACGGCAGAGCCCTCCCCAGGCCCCGCCCGCCCCTGGTTTCAGCAGTGACCCCTGGCCCACCTGGCTGCTCTGGGTCCCTGAGGCCTCTTCCTGCCTACCCCCACCCCCCCACAGCCCAGGCCTTGGACCACAGCCAGCCTGGGTGGCCTTCTGGCTGGGAGACCCCAGGGCTGGGAGTCCCGGCCCACCCCCCTCCCCTGCGATGCTCCCCACTCAGTCCGTGTGGCTGGAGCTTCTGTGACATCACTCGGCAAGGGGCCTGAGCTTGCAGCCCCAGCTCTGCCACGATCACCGAGTCCCCGTGACAGGCCTACTTCCTGTGACCCCAGACGAGGCCCCAGCCCACCCTCTGCCCTGGCACCCCAAGGCAGAGCCAAGCTGAGCAGGGTGCAGACCCTGGTGGCCGCCGACTAACAGGTGACCCTCCTGGGCTGTGGGAGGGCTGACAATGCCCCCCTTCACTACATGGCAGGAAGGGCCAGGGGTGCTACACACTCAGTATAAAGAGGATCTGCAGAGAAGGTGCCAGGAAAGCCCCTGCCCACCCCCGGGCTGGTCCTACAACCCATCCACAGGCACTGCCTACTTTAAAGGAGGCTCCTGTGGCATCGGCCAAGGGTGAGTCAAGATGGCTGAGCTGCCAGGGTGGGGCTGTACGGAGGGACCTCCTGTCCCTGACACCCCACGAGGCTGGGGGGCAGTGGTTTTTCTCTGGCAGGAATAGATGGAGAGCTGGGAACTTTCATGCCACGGAATCGTAAATACTTCCCAAGGTCAGGGCCATGGCAACCAGGGTGGCAGGCTGGGGTCAGGCCCCACCAGACAGCTTGACCCGCCCTCCCCGGGGCCGCCTGCCCACCTGCCCCAGCAGCCCCACCTGCTCCCAGGGTGCGTGTCAGCTCAGATGAGGGCAGTAGCCCTGCTGGGTCAGGGAGGGGCCTCAGCTTCTGCATGGGGCAGGCCTGGGGGCTGGACAGGCGGATGCTATGGGGCACGACCCTCAGGGAAGCTTCTCTGATATTCCTTTTTTTTTTCTTGAGACAGAGTCTTGCTCTGTCCCCCAGGCTGGAGTGCAGTGGCACGATCTTGGCTCACTGCAACCTCCGCCTCCCAGGTTCAAGCAATTCTGCCTCAGCCTCCTGAGTATCTGGGCACGCACCACCACGCCCGGCTAATTTTTGTATTTTTAATAGAGACGGGGTTTCACCATGTTGGCCAGGATGGTCTTAAACTCCTGACCTCAGGTGATCCACCCGCCTCGGCCTCCCAAAGTGCTGGGATTCCAGGCGTGAGCCCTGCACCCGGGCCTTCTCTGATGTTCTGCCCAGCACCGCAGCTGAGGTCTCAAAGGGCCACCATTTATTTGATCTTCTCCACAAACATCCACAAAGCACTGGGCGCGCTGCCTTCGGGAAGCTCTTCCCGGGTGTCAGGAGAGGCTGCAGTCACAGCTGTTGTCTTCTGTGTTTGTTGCTGAAGCTGGTGGCAGGGTGATGTCCTCCTTCCAGGAGGATGAGCAGTCACAGGTTTACCCAGCCTGGTGGGCACAGCCCCTCTGAGGCGGGAAGGTCACAGCGGCTGTCCCAGCTGCCCCAGGAGTGTGGGAGCAACGGGGTCCCACCATGTCGGGTAGCACCTGGGCCCACAGACCCCAGAGGCAACCTCACTCCTGCTGGCTTCGTCCAGGGTGTGTCGGCCATGGGGGCCCCGTGGAGGGGAAGGGTCTGCCCTGTGGTTGCCGGGTTCTCTGTGGCACCTGGGGGGCAGAGGGGCCTGGCTGTATGAGGCCAAGCGGCCCTTGATTTGATTGAACACCCCTGAGACAGAGCCTACCCAGCCATGGCGGGGGGTCTTCAGGGCCTTCTGCCTGCCCCTTGCGCCCTTGTCTGCCCTGGGCAGCTGCCCTCAGCCTCTCCTGCACACTGGTCTGAAGGCTTCAGGTGTGTGGGGGGGTGGCGGGTGCTGGGCCGGGGCCGCAGGAGCTGGCCAGGCTTGGCCCTGAGTAAAGCCCTGGCCCAGGCGTGGCGGTGGTGGTGGGGGCGGGCCTCTGTGTGAGCGGGAGTGGTTCTGGGCTCATGTTACATTTTCCACTGGAAAAACAGCCCCATTTTGAATGTTGGCTCTGAGCGTTTTAAAAATTGCAAATATATCCAGTTTCCCAAACGAGTGCTCACCAGGCCAATGTGGTTGTTCCTGCCGGCCCTGTGGAGGGTGGGCACCCGGCCCAGTGGGAGTGAGGGGCTGGGGGCCTTGGGAGGGGAGGGTTGGTGCTGCAGTTCTGGGGAGCAGCCCTGTTGTCACAGCCTAGGGACACTGGGCCCCTGCCACCTAGATGGGCAACTGGGGCCCAAGCCCAGGTCCAGGGAGGTGGGGAAACTGAGGTCCTTGTGGCCTGGAGCCTGTGGGCCTGTCACTGAGGAACCCTCGGTCCTGAAATGGGCAGCACCTGGCCATGGCAGGCTGCAGCCCACACCGTGGTCAGGGAGCCTGGCTGTAGGAGGCCTCATCTCCCAGGTGTGCCCAGGTTCTGCATTCCTGCCGCTCCCTCAGGCACCTCCCCAGCCTGGCAGGGCCTCACTGGCAGGAGGCGAGGGAGCCCGGTGCAGACACAGGCTTCCGGGCTCTGAGTCCTGACTTGGGTCTGAGGCTTCACGATCCCTTTTCTGCAAAGGTGTCACCTGGTGCTGTAGTTGTGTGTGGGGCTGGGGTTTCGTGTGTGTGTGTGTACATGTGCATGAGTGGGGATGTACACGTGTACTGGGGTTTCCATGCACGTGCGTCTGTGCACACTTGAGCAAGTGCACATGTGGGTGCTCTGTGTGTGTGCATGGCGTGTGCGTTCGTGTGTGTGTGTGTGTGTGGATGGCGTGTGTGTTCTCGTGTGTGTGTCCCTCACTTCCCTACTGCCTAGGGTCAGGGCAGTGCTCAGGGTCCTAGCACCCCTTGAACAATGGGGTGACCAGGACTGCAGAGGGGCACGTGGCAAGGGGGTCCCAGGCTGCCTCCGTCTGTCCACCCAGGCAGGGTGGGCTGCGGAGGGTGCTGGCAGGCAGGCTCCTGGTTGGCCTAGTGCCCCTGGGGAGCAGGCTCAGAGGTGCCGTGCACTCTTCCCACTGTGCTAAAGCTTTGGGGCCTGTAAGGATGTTCCTGCCATGCCAGGCCCCTCCCCAAGCTGGGGTCAGGGCCCGTGCCCACTGCCCGGCACAGGCCTCCCGCTGGCTGGCTGCTCTCCTTGGAGGGCAGAGAGCATTCTTCAGAGTGGCATGGTTGCCAGACCAAATGACAAAAGTGCCCACTGGGTAGACCGGAGACCCCAGGCTGGCAGCCCGGCTGCACCCCCAGTTTCACAGGAGGCACTTTAACGCCAAAAACATCTGGAAATTGTTCCAAGGACTGGATTCCAGCCTTCGCCTTTGGAAGCTCAGCTGCCCCTGTGGAGGGTGGGAGGGCCGCTGGTTCCACAGGGCTGGAGCTGGGGCCATGAGTTCCATGAGCAATTCGGCCTCATGGGTGGCAGGCCCACGGCCACCGCAGGGCTGGCGGCACCCGCTCCCCTCCTGCTGCTCCCGCCTGCTGGCGCTGGCCACTCGAGCCGCCGTGCCTCTGAGTGTGGCCCCTCCGATGGCCAGTCTTGAGGTGGTGAGGGTGGTCATTCTAGAACTGTGTGTGCATGTGTGTGTGTCGGTGCACATGTGTGCATGTAGGTGTGTGTGTGTGTGTGCTTAGCTGAGGCTGCACCCCCCGGGGGGAGGCGCTGGCGAGTGCACACACACACACACACACACACACACCCCTGCATGTGTGTGCTGGCGCCTGTCAGCTCCTCCCCCGGAGGTGCAGCCTCAGCTAAGCCACCTCCCCCAGCCCCACCGGAGCAGGCGAGGAGCCACGGAGGGACCTCAGGGGGTGACCCCAGCCCCTGGGGGTCATGTGAATGGGGCTCCACCCAGGCCAGGAATCCGGCAGCACTTTTGTTCCTTTTCACAAAAGGCGAGCACGACGCCCCGTCTTGCTCACCGCTCAGTGAGCGTTACAAACGTTTGCCAACACGCACCTCCCTCTGCGCTGCCTGGCTGCAGCCAGCCAGGAGTGTCCGTCGGCTTCCACAGCTCCACTCTGCAAAGAAAACAAACCCAACAGCAAGGATGTTCTCCTTGAATGCTCTGGGCCGTGCTCTCGAATCAGCAGCCAGCCTGTCCTCAAAGGGGTCTTGGCTCAGAAACATCCTATCGTGCATCGTTTTCTGCCAAGTTTCAGTCTAAGATGTAAAAGTGGAGAAACCAGAAGCACTGCAAGTGAAAATAGAATAAAGGGAGACATCCCGTGTGGGAGCAAAGTAAGAGAAGCAACCAGCACAGCGGGCAGGAGGGACACTGGTGCCGCCACACCCGAAGGAGCCGGGTATCCACACTCCCGCAAGCCCTACCTCCCCTGGGGGCCCCCACCCACCAGGCCACACTCCCCTGCTGGCAGGAAACATGGAGTCAGGACCAAGTCACCTGCACCTGGGGCCATAAGGAGCTGAGCAGCCACCAAAGACCACCGTCCTCCAAACCGTTCTCCAAGTCCAGGGTCCTGCTGCTCTCCTCAACTCCCTCAGCCTCCCCAAATACTGAGTCTGAGAGTGCCCCCCAGCAGGGACTGGGCAGAAGTTTACACACACACACACAGACACACCCACCCCCACACACCAACACACAGACAAATATACACCCACCCCCACCCAACCCCCACCAACCCACTTCCACACCTACACCCACACATGCACACACGCACATCTACACATGCACACCCACACACACACCGACACACACACCGACACACACACCTCCACATACACCCCCGCACACTGACACACCCACACACACACCGACACACACACCTCCACAAACACACCCCCCGCACACTGACACACACCCACCCCCACACACTGACACATCCACCCCCCACACCGACACACACCTACAGTGACACCCGCACACTGACACACACCCACTCCTGCACACTGACACCCACTCCTGCACACTGACACACACCCCCGCACAGACACACACCCACCCCCGCACACCGATACACACACCTACCCACACACCCACCCCACACACCAACACACACCCACCCATCCCCGCACACCGACACACAACCCACCCCCGCACACTGACACACACCCACCCACTCACCTCTGCACACTGACACACACCCACCCCACCGACACACACCCCTGCACACTGACACACCCACCCACCCCCACACTGACACACACACACCTACCCACACACCCACCCCCGCAGACACACACACACCGACCCCCACACACTGACACACACACATCTGCACAAGACACCCACCCACCCACCCCTGCACACTGACACACACATGCACACCCCCAACCCCTGCACACTGACACACACACACCCACACACCCACACCCACACACTGACACACACACCCACCACCGCACACCTACCCACACACGCGTACCCACCCACCCCCGCACACAACACACATGCACACCCCCCACCCCTGCACACTGACATACACACACCCACCCTTACATGCACCCACAGGCACACATATACACCCACATGCACACCCCATATACATGCGTGCACACATATATACACATACACATACACACACCTACATACACCACCTACATACACCTACACGCACACATACATGTACACACCTACATGCACACATATGCATGCATACACACATCTGCACACCAACATGCACGCGCACACACGTGTCCACTGGCACAGAGCAGTGATGCACAGACACATTTCCCAGGCTGCCTGAGACCTGGGTGGCCGCGTGTGGTGCTTTGTGGCTGGGGTGTGCCCTAAGGGGTCAGGAGGGGCTGGGCCACACCCCAAAGGGTCCACATACTGAGGACAAAGGGAGCTGTGGAGGACCTTGTCCAGGAGAGGCAGGCTTCCTGGGTGCGGTGTGCAGGCTGCATGGGGAGCAGGGCGTTGGTTTCCCCGACTGCAGCCACAGACTGAGTGTGTCCATCCCCACAGCTCCTGCCAATTCCAACACTGAGAGTCTGTGTTTGGACGCCTCCAGTGACCACTGGCTCCGCGAGTGATGACTCACACCCATCACTCATCCCCTTCCTGAGTCAGCCGCGGGACCCTCTGCAGGGAGGCGTGCGAGTCATCGAGGTGATGCAACCCCTGCTTGGTCACTTGCTGACTCACGGACACCCCCCGCCCCAGCCCAGGGCCTCCCCTTCCATGCCGGACGGGCCTGGGGTGAGCTGCAGCCGGGCAGGAACGGCAGAGCAGGGGGCAGGGACCTGGGGGCGGGAGAGGCAGCCGGAACGGGGTGGCCGGGAGCAGGGCTGCTCTGAACGCAGACTGCTGGCCCTGGCTCCGCAGTACTCCCTCTGCTCTCTTGCTTGGTTTGAGGGACCCTCTTAAACCCTGCTCTCCAAGCCTCACGTGAATTGAACCAGCCACCACGTGGTCCCCGGAGGCGCTGAGCTGCGCTGAGCCCGGCCCCTCTCATCCTGGTGTTCTGGCGCCAAGCCCCCCAACCCACCCTAGTTGCAGGTCCGAGCCCTCCGGTGCCTGATCGCAGGCAGCCCCGGGCTCCATCGGGCTTAAGGCCACATTTCTCAGTGTTTCTATGAGGGCAGAAAAGACATTTCCTGAGAGTGGATTCCTGAGGTTTCTGAAGGTCCGTAAGTCCAAGAACCACATTCTTTCCAGCCCTCCTGAGTTCCTGCAGCCATGTTTCCCTTCCCTTGGGGAAAACGCAGCTCTGAGGGTCTGGAGCAGATGAAGGTCCCGTAAGTCCTACTCTCCCCAGCTGCCAGGGTAGGTGCCTGGTGCTCTGAAGGTCCTGGGGAGCCCCAGCCCCTTGCCAGGCATGTGAGGCCTTCCCAGCCCACACGTTCCGTGAGGACGGAGCCAGGTCCTGTGTTGCTTTCTGCTGCCTGGATGACTGGGAACGGAGCTGGGGTGTCCTCTGCTCTGCTGGAGCTGGAGCTGCCCTATTTAAGGCAATTCCTGCGCTGTGAGCCCTGGTGGGGCCACCTGGCGGGTTCCGCCAAAGCAACCTCACTGCCATGGGTGTTTTTCTGTTCCTGCGGTCATATGGGCTCTTGTGAAAGCAGTTTTCCAAGTAAATATGGTGATGATTTAAGTCTACTACATTTGGAAAAATGAGGGATGAACCCTGCAGCCCTGGTCCTGTCTCAGAGGCAGCTTTGGAGAACATCTGTTGCTGCCTCCGGAATCACCTGGCCCTGCCTGGGGGCAGCCACTGGCCCAGGCCAGCTCCTGAGCTGCCCTCCTGCCAGACTCGGAGAGGGGCTGTCTGTTCCCAGCCTCAGACCCCTGCCCCATGCCCATCGCCTGAGACTGTGATCAGACCCAGCCATGTGTCTGAATGAGCCTGGCCCGAGGAACAGTGGCCCTGAGAGGCATCTGAGCCCTGAGCCCCTCCCCACAGTGCAGGCCAGGGGTGGCCTCTGCTTCCCCCAAGATTCCAGGCTTTGTCTGATTTCCAATGGCTCTGGTCATCCTCACCCTGGTGCCTGTGGAGACCCTGGTGATAATGGCAATGGCCTCCCTTCCCTACATGGGTGGAAACTGCAGGTCCCGGCCCCTGGGGTCCTGGCTCTGCACTGCTCTCAGCCTGGCGTGGCCAGGAAGGACGCTGCCCAGCAGCCCCAGCCGCTTGAGGCCAGGAGAAAGTCGGGGTGGGAACGTCCGTCTCTGCAGTAGGTACCTGCCCCATCCTGGCATCACGGCCAAGGTGGCCACGCGTCTGTGGCAGGCCAAGAGCAGGGCCAATCCCAGGAACTACCCGAGTCCTGCACATGACTGTGGGTGTGTGCAGCCCGCACAACAAAGCAAACAGACAAGCCATCAACAGTGGGGGAATCCGTGTTAGGGCAGCCGGGTTCTGGCATCAACGCTAATATCGTTAACTTTTCTTTAAGTGTGGAATTCTTTCCCAGCTGAAAGTCACAAAAGGCTCTATTGATGGGGGTGTGGGTGGAGGGGGGCCCTGAGCAGACCCGGTACGAACGGGCACAGCACTCTGGCCAGGGCGGGTGCCAGAGCTGGCTGGGCGCTCTTCCGTGCGCTGCGTCTGCAATACTGGTCATCCCTCTGCGGGGACATGGGGGCCTCTCCAGGGCTTCAGAGAAGGGTGTGCAAAGACAGTGGTGAGATCTGGAGTTCGGAGTCTGGCGGAGGAGGTGCCCGCCGAGCTGCCTCTCGAGGGAGGCTCTCAGGATATCGGCCGCCTCTGCGAGGCTCAGTGCCTGGTGCCCTCCGCCTCCGAGCCCTTCCCCAGCAACCCCCCAGCCCTCCCCGACCCCTTCCCCAGCCCTTCCCGAGCCCACCCCGAGCCCTTCCCGAGTCCTCCCCGAGCCCTCCCCGAACCCTTCCCGAGCCCTCCCCGAACCCTTCCCGAGCCCTTCCGGAACCCTCACCGAGCCTTCCCCGAGCCCTTCCCGAGTCCTCCCCGAGCCCTCCCCGAGCCCTTCCCCAGCCCTCCCCCAGCCCTCCCCGAGCCCTCCCCGAGCCCTCCCAGAGCCCTTCCCCAACACCCACTCCCGAGCCCTCCCCAAGCCTTCCCAGAGCCCTTCCCCAGCACCCCCACCCCGAGCCCTCCCCCAGCCCTCCCCGAGCCCTTCCCCAGCCCTTCCCCAGCCCTCCCCGAGCCCTTCCCGAGCCTTTCCGCAGCCCTCCCCGAGCCCTCCCCGAGCCGTTCCCGAGCCCTTCCCGAGCCCTTCCCGAGCCTTTCCCGAGCCCTCCCCGAGCCCTTCCCGAGCCTTTCCGCAGCCCTCCCGAGCCCTCCCCGAGCCCTTCCCCAGCCATCCCCGAGCCCTTCCCCAGCCCTCCCCGAGCCCTTCCCGAGCCCTTCCCGAGCCATTCCCGAGTCCTTCCAGAGCCCTTCCCGAGCCTTTCCCCAGCCCTCCCCGAGCCCTTCCCGAGCCTTTCCCCAGCCCTTCCCGAGCCCTTCCCGAGCCTTTCCCCAGCCCTCCCCGAGCCCTTCCCGAGCCTTCCCGAGCCCTTCCCGAGCCTTCCCGAGCCCTTCCCGATCCCTTCCCGAGCCATCCCCGAGCCCTTCCCGAGCCCTCCCCGAGCCCTTCCCGAGCCCTCCCCGAGCCCTTCCCGAGCCTTTCCGCAGCCCTCCCGAGCCCTCCCCGAGCCCTTCCCCAGCCATCCCCGAGCCCTTCCCGAGCCCTTCCGGAGCCATGCTTCCCTAGCCCCGCTCCAATGTGAATTCGGTGTGCAGTCTTGGTTTTACCACCGAAGAATTTTAGGAATTTCCTCTTAGTCTGAAAACAAAACGTGTTCAAAACCTTTCTTCGTGTTTATAGTTGCTTGGGTTTGAACGCATTTTCATCCTCTCCAGAGCCGCAGCAGAGGCTTCCTGGCAACCAAGCTCGTGCTTGGGGAGGGGGCTCTGCGCCTTCAGGCTGCCCGGCCCCAACTCCCCTTGATTTGGGGGTCCAGGTCAGGTCAGTGTCAGGGTGCCACCCGGGAGCTGGCGAGGTGCACGCGGCTCCTCCCGCCTTGCAGTGGGTGGGCACACCTGCCTGGAGGTCCATGCGGAGGCGCGGGAACCGCTGAGGCGACTCAGGCCCGGGTGCGGGGATTTGGGTGTCTCTCGGAGGTCGCGAGCATCCAGGCGGAGCCCAGGCTGCAGGGGCAGGTCCTGCACCTGCACACCACCGTGACAGGTCCGCAGGTGTGGCCGGACCCATCTCCTTCCAGCCTGCCCACTTCCTGAGCCTGGCTTCTCCCTGGCCTTCCTGTCAGTTCTGGGGGCTTTCTGGATTGTTCTTTCAATAAAATTCTGTCTGTCGCGGCTGGCGGTGGAAGCCCAGGGCTCTCTACTCCCTCCAGGCAGCCTGTTTGCTGCACCACCCACCTCCAAACCTAGGACACCTCACCTGCTCCTGGGTTCCCAACGCCAGGCCCAGGGCAGGGCAGCCCCACTGCAGATGCTGTGTCCTGGCAGCGCCAACTTCGCGAAGGTCAAATTGTCACCCCCTCTCGGCAGCCTGCCGGTGTTGACTTTGCTGCAGTTGGGAAAATAGTGCTAGCTGGAAATTCTTTCACTTTCGATAAACACATCTAGCTATTGTAAACCAATACTTTGCTTTACACTATTCATCCATGGAGATTTTAAAGCTAAGAATGACTTCGGCCGGATGCCAGCCAGTTGCACTCCTCGAGGTGGCTGCCAAGGAAGGCCAGGCCCAGCCGGCCGCCACAGTGTGCAGTGGGCACTCGGCCTCGGGAAAGCCACCTGATCCGATGCGGAGCGAGACCCTCACTCAGGAAGGCCGGTCTCTTTCCAAGAAGTACCCAGTATGCTTTGATGATGATTTAGGTGAAGAAGGCTGGAAAGGGTGGTGGTGGTGAAAACTGTTC
Source organism: Homo sapiens (assembly GCF_000001405.40). NCBI lineage: Eukaryota > Metazoa > Chordata > Mammalia > Primates > Hominidae > Homo > Homo sapiens. Next base: position 1,048,078 of record NC_000004.12, read on the forward strand.
AGGGGGAGGAAAGGGAAGGCCATCCCGAGGGCGGGGCCCCAGCGTCCGTGGGGAGCATCTGTTACCCCTGGGGCTTCGTGCCGGCCCGAGCGACCTGAATATGAACTCGCTCCTATTAGAAATGGAAGCACACCCAGAGTGCTCCGGACAGACGCCCAGCCTGCTGTAGGAGCTCCTGTGGGCTCATCTGCCTTCGGAGCATGCACCTGCATCAGGCGACTGCAGCACAGTGAGACTGATGGGCTGCCCTGAGCACAGGGCACGAGGAACCTTGCGCTTCTCCGCGTATCCGGTGGGAGGCGCCCACACAGGGGCCTCCTGGAGGGTCCCTGTGGGAGGCTGTATGTGGGGCAGAGGTTCGGATGTGGCCGGATACCCACTCTCCCATACCGGGGGCCCTGCGCTGGCCACTCCAGCCACATGTGGCTGCTTCTGCTTTGTAGTGAGTGACTTTCTCAACCAAGCCTGGCCATGGCTCTCCACACGCCAGTCTCTTGAGCTGCAGGAGAGACCCCCCCAGAGGTCCTAGCCCAGTGGCACTGGCTACTGTCCCCTTCTGTGCCTGTCCCTGACTTGCCCCCAACTCGGCTCCGACTCTGCCCCTCCCCTCAGCCTCTCACCTGCCGCCCTTCCCCATCTTGGCTGGGCCGAGGAATCACTCACGCCCTTCCTCGGCGTATTAGTCCGTTCCCACGCTGCTATAAAGAACTGCCCAAGACTGGGTAATTTATACAAGAAAGAGGTTTAATTGACTCACAGTTGAGCATGGCTGAGGAGGCCTCAGGAAACTTAGTCATGGTGGAAGGCAAAGGAGAAGCAGGTCCCAGGGCGGCGGGACGGAGTGAGTGCAAGCAGGGGAAGTACCAGACGTTGATGAAACCATCAGATCTCATGAGACTCACGCAGTATTGCAAGAACAGCATGGGGGAGCCACCCCATGATCCAGGCACCTCCACCTGCTCCCGCCCTTGATACGTGGGTACTATGGAGAGTACAATTCAAGGTGAGATTTGTGTGGGGACACAGCCAAACCCTGTCACTCAGCTTCCCTCGGGTTTCCTGCCCTCTTCTCCATCACTGCCCCCCAGCACAGCCAGCAGCTCCTGCCCAGGGTCCCGGGGCCCGGCCTCCCCTGTGGCCACAGATCCTGGCTCTCTGTCCCACCACTCAGGCAGGCGATGCTCAAATCCATCTCCTCACTGACGCCCTCCTCTGTGGCAGCTCTGAGCCTTGAACCTCCAACACCGTCCTGTCGGGACTGGCAGAACTCATCAGGGGAATCATTGGAACGCTAGTCACCCTTGCCCCTCCAGACCTCCCAACCTCTCCTCTCCCCTCCCTAGCACCCCCTCACCCCAGGCTGCCTGGGTCCTACACAGTCCCCAGCACTGAGACTGGCCTTCTGCTCCCCTCCCTCAGCCTTGCTCACCTCCTGGCTGTCCTGGGACAGCGTCTTAGGGTGCTGCCTGCTCATGACTTGCTCAGGGTCTTAGTCCCCTGCCTCCCCCTGCACCTGTGTCCTCGGTCACGTGTTCCGTCAGGGTGCTGGGCATGGCGCCGACATGGAAGCGCTGCCTGTCTGCTCCTCAGTGTGCCCCTTGCAGCTTGGCTGGCGAGTGCCGAAGGGGCGGAGGAAGCTGGTGCCCGGCAGGAGATGCAGCCCAGGAGGACCCCCGGGCCTGGCTCGTCGCCAAGGACGATGCAGTGGTGCTCATGGCTGCACTGTCTGTGACGGGAAGAGAGGAAGCCGCGGTGCCTCTCAGAGCGGAACACGCAGTCGTGGTTCACTTCTGTGAGTGAGCTACAAGAGCTCACGCCAAACAAAGGGGCCAGTCCATGGAACAACCTCAAGTGTGACCCCCCCTTTTTTTTTGAGACAGAGTCTTACTCTGTTGCCCAGGCTGGAGTGCAGTGGCGTGATCTTGGCTCACTGCAACCTCTGCCTCCCAGGTTCAAGTGATTCTCCCATCTTAGCCTCTCAAGTAGCTGGGATTCCAGGTGTGTGCCACCCACGCCTGGCTAATTTTTGTATTTTTAGTAGAGACGGGGTTTTGCCATGTTGGTCAGGCTAAGTGTGACCCCATTTTTATTAAAATCAAAACAAAGGACCTCAGTCCAACAAAATAGGAATTCTGAAAGACCAGAAACAGGTCTAGAAGGTGCTGTGCTATGAGTGGGGGAGCGCCTGAAGGTGGAGGCTGGGCCCAGCAGCTGGGGAGAGGCCTGGGGACGCCCCTCAGCCACTCCATCTCCAGGTGTCTGCCACAGTTGGGGCCACGAGGAATCGGGAGCCATGATGGTGGAGAGAAATAGTCAAATATTGATTTAGTACCTACTGGAGTAAAATGCTGATTACCCGTCAATGGATTAGGTGCAAATCACATCATTGGGCACCTTTGAATACAATGCATCGTAAGGCACAGCCCAGGCTGTGAAGCCACCCTGAGAAGTTCACAGTTGGTCTCATCGTTTTATGTCCACGCTGTGCATTTGCTTCTGAAGGACCATGGTGGGGGTCTGCACTACTTGTAGAAACAAGAATCCAGTCTAAAGACTTACCCTATGGCTCCGCGTGATCTCTAAATACGGCAGTTTCTGAGCGCCGCGGCCTCCGCCTCTGCGTGCTTTCCTCGCATGCTGAGTGTCTAACCTCGGCTTCTGGGTTTGCTGCTGCTGTTTCACAGACAGCACCCCACACAGGGCAGCTTGAGGATGCCCCGCTGCTTCCCTGGTTGTGGATAAGCCAGGCAGCTGGCGGATGGCGCGGCACGAGCGCTGGCTGTGCCTGCTGGGCACTGCCTTCACGCGCTCCCAATCCTGCCTCATCAGCCCAGGTCGTCGCTTTGCTGAGTTGCTCAACGCTTTCACACTCGGCGGGCGGCACTAAACAGACGCTTTCCTGGGGCAACAAACCCAGCCGGGCGCGGGCACCGCTCAGGCTCCCTTGGTCTAGCGCCCTCCAGTGTTGCCGGCCAGCACTGCTGCAGAGGCCGCGGGTCGCTCGGACGGGAATGGATGGAAATGTGGCTGAGGCCACTGTTGACCCGGAAGTGTTTTGCCTTTGTTTGTTAACCAGCTATGAAACTAAACATTCTCACACTGCCAGCAAAATGACCATTTTTTCATTTAATTTGCAGAGAACAGCATTATTAGTGGCAAACATCTTGAAGCAAACAAAATGTGGTCAAGTTGAGCTAACATCACATTATTTTCCTGAAGAATGCTGTGTGAACTCACGGAGTCCGTCTGCACTAATCAGTCCAGTGAACGGCTTCCTTCCTTCTGGCAGAGTTCCTTCTCCAGCATTTCCTCCAAATCCCACCCAGCATTAATGACATCTGTCTATAAACATTAGTTTTAGTCTCAAATATTTTTTCCCTCAAAACTCAGAAGCTTAGTGAGAAAATAAAAATCACAATGAGCAACGTGTCCACTCCCCTGGCACTTCTGGACTTCCCGTAACACACACAGAGAGCTCGAACCACATGTCTTGTTGGCATCTGCCTCCCTATGCTGTCACCACGAGGGCCTTGCTGTGCTGGTTGATGAGATGGACGTGGTGCTTAGACAGGCAGGTGATGTGGTTTGGCTGTGTCCCCACTCAAATCTCATCTTGAACTGTGGACGTGGTGCTTGGATGGGCAGGTGATGTGGTTTGGCTGTGTCCTCACCCAATCTCATCTTGAACTGTGGCTCCCACAATTCCCACATTGTGGAAGGGACCCGATGGGAGGTAACTGAATCATGTGGGCGGGTCTTTCCCATGCTGGTCTCACGAGAGTGAATAAGTCTCATGAGATCTGATGGTTTTATAGGAGCAGTTCCCTGCACACACTCTCTGCCTGCCACCATGTAAGATGTGCCTTTGCTCCTTCTTTGCCTTCCACCATGACTATGAGGCCTCCCCAGCCATGTGGGGCTGTGAGTCCATTTGACCTTTTTCCTTTATAAACTATCCCGTCTCAGTCGGGTATGTCAGCGTTAGAACAGACTAATACAGCAGGGAACCATTTTTTTCACCAAAAAAGGCAAAATTTAGTAAAACATCCAGACAGTGGCACAAAGCTATTCTGTGGATAGAGCCGATGGATAGCACTGCCGAGGCGGAACTCCCACCTGTCCTCACAGCAGCGCAGGGCCTGAGGGATGATGCCTGAGGCTGCACAGCGGTGGGGGACTCAGCCCAAGGTTATGTCTTGGCCCTGAATCACAGCTGCACCGTGAGTGGTGGAGGCAGCCCCCCACTGCCTGCAGCACAGCCCACGAGACACCACCGGGCAGGACAACTCACAGCAGGCGGTGGGGGGTGGGGGAAAGGCTTGGCTGCTGTACACCCACACGTGGGAGTGGCAGAGCCTGCAGAAAAGGTGCCGCCCACTTCTAGCCCAGGACGCGCATGAAGAGCTGAGGGCACTGCCCCTCCGTGGTCCTGCCCCCCTGCCAGTCTCTGCTGCTCCATTATGACCCCACGGCTGGCCCTGGGCTTTCACAGTCTTGTTTCACACAGCTCGTGCCTTCACACATCATCCCTCAGGCCCTGCGCTGCTGTTCCTGGGCTGAACGTGGGCTTTCATGCACTGCATGAGGACAGGCGGGAGTTCCGCCTCGGCAGTGCTGTCACCTCCATCCACGGAGTAAGCTTGTGCCACTGTCTGGATGTTTTACTAAATTGTGACTTTTCTGGTGACAATCACTGGAAAACAAAGAAAGGTGTGCTGAGGTGGGCCAGTGGCAAATCGAGGCGCAAGGGCTGCCCCTAGCGAATGTCTGGACAGAACCAGGTGCTGCAGGGTGGACCCTGGCCAAATGCAGGCTCAACTGTGAAAAACAACAACAATAAAGAACAGGAAATGCTACAAGTATGGCTTCAAGTTTATGTCTAGAAAGGTGAAGTGATGGAAGAAATTGCAATTTTAAAATCAGGGACCACTCATCAGCCCCCAGACAGAAGGGCCCGGGGCTGCCTGGAGAGAGGGTGAGGCAGTGGCGGGCAGCCCCGGGGCAATATTTCTTGGCAAAGTTTTCAAAGAAGTCCCCTAAGGAACACCACAGGCATGAGGACAGCCCCGGCCACGTTCCTTTGCAGGATCAGCTCCAGCAAGTCCACCTGCGAGAACCAAGGCGGCCGCTGCAGACTGAGCTGAGCCCTGCGAGGTAAACCGTGAGAACGGCAGCTGCGGTAAGAGAAGCGATTCCTACCGCCTGTATTTCACATGTAGCCTGCAGCTGGACGTGTGAAGCCCTCATGCGCATATCACATAGCACATACAGGGAATGCAGCACCAGTGCCATAATTCCATTCATGATTTTACGATTTGAAATTTCTGGGAATGAAACCAACTTAGAACATGCACGCTACTACAAGATTTTTGCATATCTGATTTCAGCACGAGTTTCTGGAGCATAGTCAGCTCCCGGAGGGGACAGTCAGTTCCCGGTAGAGCGGACAGTCAGCTCCCGGAGGGGAGAGTCAGCTCCCGGAGGGGAGCGTCAGCTCATAGAGGGGACAGTCAGCTCCCAGAAGGGTAGTCAGCTCCCAGAGGGGACAGTCAACTCCCGGAGGGGACAGTCAGCTCCCGGAGGGGAGAGTCAGCTCCCAGAAGGGATAGTCAGCTCATAGAGGGGACAGTCAGCTCCCGGAGGGGAAAGTCAGCTCCCGGAGGGGACAGTCAGCTCCCGGACGGGACAGTCAGCTCCCAGAGGGGATAGTCAGCTCATAGAGGGGACAGTCAGCTCCCGGAGGGGAAAGTCAGCTCCCGGAGGGGAAAGTCAGCTCCCAGAGGGGATAGTCAGCTCATAGAGGGGACAGTCAGCTCCCAGCAGAGGGGACAGTCAGCTCCCGGCAGAGGGGACAGTCAGCTCCCAGAGGGGAAAGTCAGCTCCCGGAGGGGACAGTCAACTCACAGAGGGGACAGCCAGCTCCCAGCAGAGGGGATAGTCAGCTCCTGGCAGAGGGGACAGTCAGCTCCCGGAGGGGACAGTCAGCTGCCGGAGGGGACAGTCAGCTCCAGGCAGAGGGGACAGTCAGCTCCCAGAGGCGAAAGTCAGCTCCCGGAGGGGACAGTCAACTCACAGAGGGGACAGCCAGCTCCCAGCAGAGGGGATAGTCAGCTCCTGGCAGAGGGGACAGTCAGCTCCCGGAGGGGACAGTCAGCTCCCAGAAGGGATAGTCAGCTCATAGAGGGGAAAGTCAGCTCCCAGAGGGGATAGTCAGCTCCCGGAGGGGACAGTCAGCTCCCAGAAGGGATAGTCAGCTCATAGAGGGGACAGTCAGCTCCCAGCAGAGGGGACAGTCAGCTCCCGGCAGAGGGGACAGTCAGCTCCCGGAGGGGAAAGTCAGCTCCCGGAGGGGACAGTCAACTCACAGAGAGGACAGCCAGCTCCCAGCAGAGGGGACAGTCAGCTCCTGGCAGAGGGGACAGTCAGCTCCCGGAGGGGACAGTCAGCTGCCAGAGGGGACAGTCAGCTCCCGGAGGGGACAGTCAGCTCCCAGAGGGGATAGTCAGCTCATAGAGGGGAAAGTCAGCTCCCAGAGGGGATAGTCAGCTCCCGGAGGGGACAGTCAGCTCCCAGAAGGGATAGTCAGCTCATAGAGGGGACAGTCAGCTCCCAGCAGAGGGGACAGTCAGCTCCCGGCAGAGGGGACAGTCAGCTCCCGGAGGGGAAAGTCAGCTCCCGGAGGGGACAGTCAACTCACAGAGAGGACAGCCAGCTCCCAGCAGAGGGGACAGTCAGCTCCTGGCAGAGGGGACAGTCAGCTCCCAGAGGGGACAGTCAGCTGCCAGAGGGGACAGTCAGCTCCCGGAGGGGAAAGTCAGCTCCCGGAAGGGACAGTCAGCTCCCGGAGGGAACAGTCAGCTCCTGGAGGGGACAGTCAGCTCCCGGAGGGGACAGTCAACTCACAGAGGGGACAGCCAGCTCCCAGCAGAGGGGACAGTCAGCTCCTGGCAGAGGGGACAGTCAGCTCCCAGAGGGAACAGTCAGCTCCTGGAGGGGACAGTCAGCTCCCGGCAGAGGGGACAGTCAGCTCCCGGAGGGGATAGTCAGCTCCCGGAAGGGACAGTCAACTCACAGAGAGGACAGCCAGCTCCCAGCAGAGGGGACAGTCAGCTCCTGGCAGAGGGGACAGTCAGCTCCCGGAGGGGACAGTCAGCTGCCAGAGGGGACAGTCAGCTCCCGGAGGGGAAAGTCAGCTCCCGGAAGGGATAGTCAGCTCCCGGAGGGGAAAGTCAGCTCCCGGAGGGGACAGTCAACTCACAGAGGGGACAGCCAGCTCCCAGCAGAGGGGACAGTCAGCTCCTGGCAGAGGGGACAGTCAGCTCCTGGAGGGGACAGTCAGCTCCCGGCAGAGGGGACAGTCAGCTCCCGGAGGGGATAGTCAGCTCCCAGAGGGGACAGTCAATCCGGGACAGCCATGAATGCCATGACTTCCAGAAGGACATGGGCACCCTCTGTCCAGCAGCCCAGGCATCCTGGCATCTGGAGGGCCCAGGGGAGGCGCCTGGGAGGCTGCTGTGAAGGCAGGGACGCCTCACCTGAAATAAAGTCTCTGTGTGCAGCCCGGCAGTGCCTCAGCTCCGCCTGCAGTGAAGGTGAGGATTCTCCTGCTTCACGTGGTGGTCGGCTGCTGTTAACTCGGTTAACTCGAGTGAGATAACAAAGTTCTTTGACACTTTTTAGGTAAATGCAAACTAAAAGATTAGAACTAACCCCATAAGCCTCTTTTCCAACCCTGTGTGGTCCCGGCTGGCGGGAGAGACCTGGGCTCTGAGACTCTCTGGGAGCCACGTGCACGGGGGCGTCTCCTGCAGGAGACCCCACCCTCCTGACGGATGAGGAGGCTCCACCCACGCAGGCCGCATCTGCAGGGTGAGCTCAGGCCCGGAATTCATCTCTGGACCTGACGGAGATTCACCCGCTGAAGCCGGCATCACAGGCCCGCTGTGAGTACTGTGTGACCAGAATGCGTAGTAATCACCTAACGCAGGATGTGGCGGCGCCGACCCACGCTGCGTGCGCACCCCACAGCAGCCCTGTCTCCCCCGCGAGCTGCAGCCGGAACCTTCTAACAGGAACTCAACAGGCAGGTGTTCGTTTTGCCTCCAGCATCAACATTTTAAGGAAGTTCCAAGTTAAGAGTAAAGTTGCAAACATATCACATGTATGCTCGTCCTGATAATCAGAAAAATACTTTATTCCACTACATTACTTAATTATTTCAACAAGAGGGAAAGTACAGTCGCACTGGCTGTCTAACGTACACATGCTGGTGGGCACGAAGGCTGGAGGACTGGAAGGGGGCAGAGCGGGTGGCTGGGTGCTCATCTTTCAGGTGTCACTGCCCCAAGGTGAGCAGGTCCCGCAGGAGGCATGGAAGTCGCGGTAAAAACACAACTTTGTCTTTGAAATGACTTCAAAACTTCACACTGTTGAGGAAAATGAGGGTGCACATGTTACATACAAAAAATAAGGTGGGGAGAAGAGTTTATTCACTAAAATGTGTATTTTAAAAAATTCAGATGTCATCTTAGTATTTTCAGAGTATTATCAATATGTTTAAGTCATAATTTTCGAAATTCACAATGAATATAAAAGTGAACATTACTGCGTTTCTGAACAACTAAGGCAAAACTCAGAAACACAACTCTTGAGAACGTTTAGAGCTCCATGGCTGCCCTTGGCACACACTCAGTTAAAGAGCTTCTTTACACACGCACTTTCCCAAGAGCATTTTCTTCCTGAGGCTGGCTGAGCACTTGCCTAAACACTGCCTCTGCAGCAGGCTGGGGATGCTGATGGGCGGCCGGGGGGGCAGCCTGGCCTGGGAGCCCCCGAAGCTTGGAGAGTCCCCTCTTCCTGCTCTCCCTGGTAACTGTGGTGTTGGCGTTAGTGGGGGTCCCTTGTAGGGAATTTGCAGAGGTGGAATCCTAATAAATTCAAGAAACACAACATCATGAATGCTCGGAGCATCTCTGGTGACACGGTAGTTACAGCACTGGCCGTTTTGTGGTTTTAAAGGCCTGGATTCAAAGGCATCTCTGAGAACCTCGGAGCAGCACGCACACCCCCGCCCGGCGGCCAGCAGAAGATGTGGACCGATGCTGCAGGGCCCGTGGGCACCCAGGAGGGTCGACAACCCAGGCCAGCGGGGACGGGAGGTGGGGGCGTGAGAGAACGCTGAGGCCTGCAGGCAGCCAGGGGTGGACTGGACTGCAGGCATCAAAAGCCACTCAAGGGCTCTGGGGGGCTGACATGGGAGGGTCTGCCTTTTAGCGAGACCACCGGACCTTTGAACACACGAGTTCGGTTGACAGAGACGTCGGTGTGTGCTTAAATATGCAGCAGACGGAGTGGGAGGCCACCCAGAGGTCTGAGAAGAGCAGGGGGAGGTGAACTGTGGTCTGTTCCGGGGCTGGGGCTGAGTCCAGCCTGCCACCTGTTTTTGTAAATAAAGTTTTACTGGAACCCAGCCACACCCATTAATTTACACACTGCCTGCCCCGGCCTTCTCAATACAGAGGTGGAGCTGAGCAGCTGCCCCAAAAACCAAACATATTTACTACCTGCCCTTTATAGAAGACGCCTGCTGACCCACGGCCTATTCCTGTGGTAGAACAGCACGCAGTCACCACGTGGTACTTTTGAAGTTTTTAGCAACAGGGCAAATGCCTACGTTATATCTTAGCTTCAAAAAAGCAAACTCCTGGCTGGGCATGGTGGCTCACGCCTGTAATCCCAGCACCTTGGGAGGCCGAGGCAGGCAGATCACCTGAGGTCGGGAGTTCGAGACCAGCCTGACCAAAATGGTGAAACCCCTCTACTAAAAATACAAAATTAGCCGAGTGTGGTGGCACATGCCTGTAATCCCAGCTACTCGGGAGGCTGAGGCAGGAGAATCACTTGAACCCAGGAGGCGGAGGTTGCGGTGAGCCAAGATGGTGCTACTGCACTCCAGCCTGGGCAACAAAGAGTGAGACTCCGGCTAAAAAAAAAAAAAGCAAACTCTAAAGTGGTATATACAACAAAACCTGACTCAAAGCGTGTAAAAACAGGGATGAAAAGCAACATATTAAATTTTTAGCACTAATTCTCTCTGGTGAGTGGGATGATGAGCAGTTTTATTTTGCTGACAATTTCCTTTAAAACGCTGTGAAGAAGGTGCTTGCGGGGGTTAGAACGCTGTGAAGAAGGTGCTTGCGGGGGTTAGAACGCAGTGAAGAAGGTGCTTGCGGGGGGGCACTACCTGAGAGGCTTTCCCATGCTCCTCTGACTCGTTGTCAGGCCGGGATGCTCGGGGCCCAGGGAGGAGACGCTGCCTGTGGTGGAACAAGAATAAAACATGAGTCGTTCATGTTAACACATCACGGTGCTTTGAGGACGACGACCAGGCCAGCCTGCTGAGCTTCTCCGTAGCTGTCACTGCCTCCCTGCCACGAGGGCAGTGGCAGGCAGAGCCACACAGGCACGCGGGGTCCTCTTAGGTTGCGGGCAGCCCTGGTGCCAACACGACACTCTGAGAAGCCCTGGGTCTTCCACATGAGGGCGTAAATATCCTACATTTTAATCTTTCTACCTTTATGCACCTCTGCAGCTTAGAGAATATGTAAGCCATCTGAATCATCAGCAGCTGGATAGCAAGACCTGGAAACGAACTGGCCAGTCCCAGCTGAGTTTCAGCCTCACTGAGGGGCCCTCGGCCCGTGGGCTCTGCGAGGGGAGCCTGCCCGTCACGGGGGCAGCTGTGGGCATGCGGACTGTGCCTGGCATACACAGGTACTCAATGAGCATCTGGAGCACGAGCTTCCTCCCCCGCCTCTCCCAAGCCTTGGCTCCTGCTACCCTGAGAACTGCCGGAAGGGCAAAAGCGCGTCCAGAATTTCTTTCAGTGCCCCACCCGTGTTTGCTTTCTCCAGGCGCCTTGTAACATGAAAGGGGAGATGTGACGACTGAGTTCTCAAGCAACACCTGCTCCTGGACCCCAGGATGGGAAACCCACCCAGTGAGGGAGCCCAAGCATTAGGCTTCCCCAGCGCAGTGACTGTGACTGGCCAGTGCCCTGCCTGCTGCGGCACGTCGGGGGGTTGCCGGCTTGTGGGGCAGGAGGCCCCGAGCACAAGGCAGCCTCCGTGCCCCCGACAGGGGTCTTGTCTTTGCCCCGGGGCTGTGCAGACCTTGTGAGGATGCTGCCTGCGGGAGGCATCGTAACTCCTCAGTCTGCAGGTGACCCTGAGAAGGCTCCAAAGAACAGCTAAGAGCAAGAAGGAAAGCTGTCTTACTAGGCTGTGTGAGTGCTGCCTTCACTTCTGTCTTGTATCACGGTTTGGCATCTGGAGGCTTGTGGACCCTGCAGAGACTGCCCTCCTAGGGACAGCCAGTTCCTAGAGGCAGGAGGCCACGGTGAGCACACTTCTGATATGAAAGCCAACAAATCCAGAGCCCGTGTTCAGAGCCAACCCCAAGCCTGGGCGGCCTGTTCCACTCACCCTGCCTGATCCTCCCATGAGAACCACAACCAAGGTGCTAGGTCTCCCCTCACTCCCTCCCTGGGGGTCTCTGGGGAACTATGAGTGGAAACTCCTTTCCTCATAGCCGTTGCCTCCTCATCCGTCAGCCTCACACCAGTGATTAAAACAAAACCCTGTACATTGAACACACAGAACCACAAATAATAACGATGGCAGGTATCTTTTGTTAAGTAACTTATGCTCAATACTATATGGTCAGTTGAAATTGTAGGCTGGGTGTGGTGGCTCATGCCTGTAATCCCAGCACTTTGGGAGGCCAAGGCGGGTGGATCACCTGAGGTCGGGAGTTCAAGACCAGCCCGACCAACACAGAGAAACCCTGTCTCTACTAAAAATACAAAATTAGCCAGGCGTGGTGGCGCATGCCTGTAATCCCAGCTACTAGGGAGGCTGAGGCAGGAGAATCACTTGAACCTGGGAGGCGGAGGTTAGGTTGCAGTGAGCTGAGATCACACCATTGCACTCCAGCCTGGGCAACAAGAGCGAAACTCCATCAAAAAAAAAAAAAAAAGAAAAAAGAAATTGTTTCCTATTTACTCAATGGAAATTTTTCAAGATAACTATTATCAACAGAGATGAAGAGACTGAGGACCCAAGAGGCCAACAATTCACCCAGGGTCTGGCAAGCAGTGCTCAAGAGAGCCAAGTGTGGGCCATGGGATCTCAGACCCGAAAGACCCCTGCCGATCAGCCCGCTGTGTGTCCCACAGGGCTTGGAGAATCCTGAGGAGTCCTTCAGGTTCTGCTGAGAATCAAGTCACACCAGGCGTCATCCTGAAGAGCAGTAACTCGGAGAAAGGGGCCGCCAGGGATGCTAGAGGAAGGCCCGAAAGCCACCCAGAGCTAGGCCAGCTCTCGAGAGCACCGCAGCCCTGAGGTGGGAGGAGCTCCTCAGGGTGCCAAGGGGGCGCCATGTTTCAGTCCCACTAAGAAGCAGGTGACCAGAGGGATAACCATTCCCACAACATCTTCCAGCGCAGCGGTCTCCGTTCAGGGGAGTAATGCTATTTAATGTGTTTCACAAAGATGTCCATTTGAAAAATTTAACTGAAACATGCTGACATTTGAAGAGAGTAAATTTCACCATCTGGATGCCCAGCAGCCTGTTTCCCTGTGATGCCAGATCCACTGTGCTGTGTTCTGGAGGGGACCGCGTACTGAAGAGTGAGCGCCCTGCGCCCCTGCTGACAGGTCAGACAGCCCCACACACTGCTCAGTGAGTCTGCAGGGCAGACAACGCACAGATGGCCCGCCTGCCACTCCAGCATGTGAGGGGTCCAGGACCTGCCGTTCAACAACTCATTCAATGAGTGCTTGTTGAGGAGGACTGCTGGCTACAGTGGAGTAGAAATCAATGAGTTATCTCTACGAAGCCAAGTGCGAAACTGGACAAAATGGTAGAAACAACCATTCAGGCCTCTGGAAATCAATTCAAGGCAGACAACAAATCAGAAAACATTGACTCCTGAAATCAGAACACACTGACTCCTGAAATCCCGTTGCAGCTTTGGGAGGAGCGGGACTTGGCTTCCCAGCCTGAGGGTGAATACAGACACAAAATTCCTCAATAAAATACCAGCAAACCAAATCCAGCAGCATATAAGCAGCTGCTCCACCTCCCCCTACCCCACTCTACCCAGCAAGAGCACAGCTGCACCAGGGTGGGTAGCTGAGGACCAGCAGCCTTGCTTCCAGAGGGGGTGGGCTCAAGGTGGGAGGGGAACGCTTTCATCAGCCACGAGGGGTCCATCTGCAGGACCTGGAGAGGCCCACAGTCCTGGCTGGGGAGGGGTAAGGAGGGCAGGGACCAGTCAGAAAAATAACGGGGAAATGCTGAGAACAAGAGAGCCAGACAGAGGCAGCTTCCCTGGAACCCTGGCCGACAGAAGCAGCACAGGCCTGTGCAGGGGGATCCAGCGCGGCCACAGAAGTGATGCCACAGGGGACCAGGAACTGACTGGATATCGGCTCCCCACATGCACAGATCATTGGCCATGGGGAGCCTCAGGGATGCGTGGTGTTGGAGCACAACCACAGACAGAGCAGCGGCCAACCGCTGAGCTGTAAAGACAGGCGGACACCCCGGGACATCTCAGCTCAACAAGAAAAGAGCAGAAACCATGAGCGGACACATCTGCGGCTGCCGTGGACACAGATTCTCCAGCTTAGGTCCAGGTAAAATACCCAAGCAAACAAAAACCAATCAAACAACCTTGGATAAAAATACAAGAATCCAGACTTGCTGGGACAAATACAGTACCCAGGTTGTCCAGATTGCAGCCCCAAATTATGGGATAAGCAAAGAAACAGAAGCGTGACCACACTCAGGGAAAAGGGCAGATGGCAGAGGCCCACGCTGTGCGGCCCAGATCGCATTTCCTAAGGACTCCAGAGCGGCTACCGTAAATGAGCCAAAGAATTAAAGGAAAATATGATGATAGTGACTCCAGGCACAGGGCTTTCAACACAAAAACAGAAATGCTAAAGAAAAAAGAACCAAGAAGGGAACATTTTCTAACTCATTCTATGAGGACAGAATGAGGTCCTGACACCAAAAGCAGACAGAAACGTTACAAGGAAAGAAGTGTGCTGACCAGTATCTCTTATGAATACAGACACACAATTCCTCAACAAAATACCAGCAAACAAAATCCAGCAGCGTATAAGAAAGATCATACACCACGACCAACCGGGATTCATCTCAGGAATGCACAGTTCCTTCAACATACAGAAATCAACACCATATTAATATATTCTATCAATGGAAGTAATTACATCTATGAACACATCATGGTAACAGAACAAAACCCAATAATCATCTCAAAAGAGAAAGAGAAAGCACTTGAAAAATTTAACCCTTCTTCATGACAAAAAAGGACTAGAAGGGCACTTCTCAACCCTATAAAGGGCGCCTCCAGGAAACCCTCAGTGAACACCATCCTTCATGGTGAAAGGCTGAAAGTTTCCTCCTAAGATCAGGAACAGAACAAAGACAAGGATGTCTGTTCTTGCCGCTTGTATTCAACACTGTATTGAAAGTTCCAGAGAGGGCGGTTAGGCGAGAAAAACAAATGAAAGTCCTGCAGTGGGACGGGAAGTGAAAAGATAAAAATAAAAGTAAAAGATAAATAAAAGGCATCGTGGTTGGAAAGGAAAAAGTAAAACAACCTCCACTTGCCGATGACATGATTTGCCATATACAGAAAACCCTAGAGAATCCACAAAAAAAATCCCCAGAGCTCATAAACTCAGTAGATTGCAGGATACAAGATCCATCTATAAAAATCAGTTGTATTTCTACATACTAGCAATGAAAACCTGAAAATAAAAGTTACAAAACAATTCTATTTATAGTAGCACCAAAATAACAAAATACTTAGGAATAAATTTTACCAATGAAGTGCAAGATTTCTTCACTGAAAACTGCAAAATACCGTTGAAAGAAATCAAAGACCTAAATAAAGGTAAAGCTATGTCCAACATTCATGGATTGGAAGATGCAGTGTTAGTATTAGATGGCAATACCCCCTACATTGATGTACAAGGTGAATTAAAACTCTACCGAGATTTCAACCTGCTTTGTCAGCAGAAATGGGAAAGTTGATCCTAAAATTCATATGGAAATGCAAGGAACTCAAAATATGCAAAACAATCTCAAAAAAGAACAAAGTTGGAAAACTCACACTTCATAATTTCAAAAGTTACTATAAAGCTTTAGTAAGTGAAAGACAAAAAGAAAAATACTTAAAGCAGCAAGAGAAGAGCAACTCATCACCTACAGGACAATACGATTAACAGCTGACTTCTCATCAGAAATAATGGAAATGGCTGGGTACGGTGGCTCATGCCTGTAATCCCAGCACTTTGGGAGGCCGAGGTGGGCAGATCACCTGAGGTCAGGAGTTTGAGACCAGCCTGGCCAACATGGTGAAACCCCATCTCTACAAAACTAGCCAGGTGTGGTGGTGCGCACCTGTAATCCCAGCTCGTCAGGAGGCTGAGGCAGGAGAATCACTTGAACCCAGAGGTGGAGGTTGCAGTGAGATCACACCATTGCACTCCAGCTTGGGCAACAGAGTGAGACTCAGTCTCAAAAAAAAAAAAAAAAAGAAAAAAGAAAAATTAGCCAGGTGTGGTGGTGCATGCCTACAGTCCCAGATACTCAGGAGGCTGAGGTGGGAGGATTGATTGAGCCCAGGAGGTCCAGGCTGCAGTGAGCCATGGTCAAGACACTGCACTCCAGCCTGGGTGGCAGAGACCCAGTCTCAAAAAAAAAAAAATGAAAAAAACCAATATTAATAATAATGGAAGCCAGAAGACAGAGGAATGACATATATACCAAGTGCTAAAAAGTCAACCAAGAAAATGTATCTTCAGTGAAATTATCCTTCAAAATGAAGACAAAGACATTCAAATATGGAAAAAAAAAATGAAGAGAACTGACTTCTAGCCAATCTTCCCTGCAAGAAAAAACTGGAAATGGTTAATATGTTGTGAATGATGGAATAAAAGATTTTTTTCCTCTTAAGGTCTTTAAGAAACATAAGTTTAATTCAGGAAATAATGACAACACCATATTGTTAGATTTATAACACATAGATCCCATATATATGTACATAAATACATATGACAAAGCAGGTGGGAGGAAGCGGAGCTATATGGAGCAATGTGGTTACGTTCCACTGGAATTCAGTCGGTGTTCACCTCAGTGAGTGTTCACTGTGGTGAGTTCAAGATGCATGTTGTAATCTCTAGAGGAATCACTGAAATAATAAAGCACACAGATAAAGTATCAACAGGAGAACTAAAACGTGTATTAGTCTGCTTGGGCTTCTGTAATAAAATACCACAGACTGGGTGGCTTACACAACAGAAGTTTATTTCTCGCAGTTCTGGAGACTGGCAAGTCCATCAAGATGCTGGCTGATGGGGGTCCTGGCTTGCAGACAGCAGCCTTCTCACTCTGTCTTCATACGGCCTCTTTTGTGTGTGTGCAGAGTTAGTAAGCAAGCTCCCTGGTGTCTCTTTTGTTTTTTGAAAATTTATGATGATACAGTTTCCTACCTTAACCATTTTCAGTGTACAGTTCACTGGTATTAAATACATTCCTGATGCTGTGCAACCATCACACCACCCATCTCTATAACTGTTTTCATTTTGTGAAACTGAAATTTTGTGAAACTCCCATTAAACGAGAGCTTCCCACCCCTCCATCCCACAGCCGCTGGCAGCCACCATCCTACTTTCCGTCTCTACGATCTTGACTACTTCACACACATGGACTCACACAGCATTTGTGTTTCTGCGACTGGCTTATGCACTTAGCATAGCGTCCTCAATGTTCATCCACGCGGTAGCGTGTGCCAGAGTTTCCTTCCATTTTAAGGCTGAATCATAGCCCACTGTACGGAGACACACATTGTGCCTATCCATTCATCTGATGGATACTTAGATGGCTCCCATGTTTTAGACACTGTGAATAATACTGCTACGATCTTGGGTATACAAGCATCTCTTAGAGACCCTGCTTTCAATCCTTTTGAGTACTGAATTGAAATGCAGCATCATCTGGGAATTGTGTTTTTAAGTTTTGGAGGAAAGGCCACACTGTTTTCCACAGCAGCCACACCATTTCACATTCTCACCAACAGTGCACATGCTTCCAATTCCTCCGCGTCCTTAACAACACTTGTTATTTTGGGTTTTTAAAAATGATTACAATAAACATTTATTTAAAGGAAAACATCTGCAGACCAAATAATTCTGAAGTTTGTTTCAGGTTTAACCATCTTCATAAAAATACTTTGAGGAAAGCTGCATCCACAGACTTCAACTATGTGATTACTTCTTTGTCCATTCTCCTCTCTCGTTTTCTTTTTTCTTGAGACAGGGTCTCACTCTGTCAACCAGTCTGGGGTGCAGTGGTATGATCACTGCTCACTGCAGCCTTGACCTCCCAGGTTCAGGCAATTCTCCCACCTCAGCATCCTGAGAAGCTGGGACCACAGGTTTACGCCACCAGCCTGGATAATTTTTTGTAGAGAGGGGGTTTTGCCCAGGCTGGTCTGGAACTCCTAGGCTCAGCTCCACCTCGGCCTCTCAGCTTCCCAAGTAGCTGGGACTACAGGTGTGTGCCACCACACCTGGCTAGTTTTGGCATTTTTAGTAGAAACAGGTTTCATCATGTTGGCCAGGCTGGTCTTGAAGTCCTGACCTCAAGTGATCTGTCCACTTCAGCCTCCCAAAGTGCTGGGATTACAGACATCCGTGCCCGGCCTGTTTTTGTTTTTAAGAGACAGGATCTTACTCTGTCGTCCAGGCTGGAGTGCAGTGATGCAATCATAGTTCACTGCAGCCTTGACCTCCTGAGCTCAAGCAATCCTGCCTCTGTGTTCCAAGTAGCTAGGACTACAGGTGCGATTTTTTAAATATATAGTAGCCATCCTAATGGCTGTTTATCTCATCCTAATGAGATACTATCTTGCTGTTTTTTTTTTTTCTCTGTAGATGAGGTCTTGCTATGTTGCCCAGGCTGGACTCCATCTCCTTGGCTCGAGCAATCCTCCCACCTCAGCCTCCTGAACAGCTGGGACTACATGCATGAGCCACTATACCCAGCTCTTGCTATAGTTTTGATTTGCATTTCTCTAACGATGAACGATGAGTATCTTTTCATGTGCTTATTGATCATTTGTGTACTTTGCCTATTCAAGTCATTTGCTGCCCTCCGCTTTTCTTTTTTCTGAGACAGGGTCTCACACTGTCACCCAGGCTGGAGTGCAGTGGCACAATCTCGACTTACTGCAACCTTTGCCCCCCAGGCTCAAGCAATTCGCCCACTTCAGCTTCCTGAGCAGCCGGGACTACAGGTGTGTGCCCCCATGCCTAACTACTTTTTAAGTTTTTTTGTAGAGATGGGGGTTTCACCATGTTGCCCAGGCTGGTCTCGAACTCCTGAGCTCAAGCGATCCTTTTGCCTTGGTCTCCCAAAGTGATGGGATGACAAGTGTGCACCACTGCGCCCAGGCTTTGCCCATTTTTGAATCAGGTTGTTCGTTGTTAAGTTTTAGTTCTTTATGTATTCTGGATTGTAATCCCTTATTAGATACATATGATTTGCAAATATTTTCTCTGATTCTGCAAGTTGCCTTTTTACTCTATTGATAGTATCTTTTGATGTGGAAAAATTTAAAATTTTCATGAGGTCAATTTGTTTAATTTTTTTTTTTGTTGCCTGTGCTTTGGTATCATATCCAGGAAATCACTGCCACATCCAACATTGTGAACCTTTTGCTCTATGTTTTCTTAAAAGAGTTTTATATTTTTTAGTTTTAGGTCCTTGATCCATTTTGAATTGACTTTTCTACATAGTGTTAGGAAGGAGTCCAACTTCATTATTCTGCAGGTGGATATCCAGTTTTCCCAACACCATTTCTCAAAAAAACTGTCCTTTCCCCCACTGAATAGTGTCTTTCTCCATTGAATAGTGTGTTTTGTTTTGAGGACATGAATCTTATTGGCTTAGGGCTAATTTAACTTTACCTCCTAAAGGTTCTAACTCAAAATATAGTCACATTGGAGGTTAGGGCTTCAACATATGAATTTTGGGGGGACTCAAATCAGTCTATAGCAAAATGGTATGATAAAAATATTTATTGCAAACAAAGGCAGTTAAGGAGATACCGATAAACTAAAAATCCTGTCATATATAAAACAAAAAACAGCAAGACAGCAGGCACAAATCCAACCACAAAATTAATAATTATATAAAATATCAATGGACTATCAAATCAGAAAGTATAGATTATAATAGATCAAAAAAAGATCTAACCATATGTTGTCTATCAGAGGCACATCATGGATTCAAAGACACAGGCAGGTTGAAAATAAAAGGATGGAAAAAGATATACCATGTGAACTATAACCAATATAAAAATTAAATGAAGAAAATCCCACCGTAAAAAATAATGAAATACCTAGGGCCGGGTGCAATGGCTCACACCTGTAATCCCAGCACTTTGGAAGGCTGAGGTGGATGGATGGCTTGAGGCCAGGGGATCGAGGCCAGCCTCGTCAACATGGTGAACTCCGTCTCTACTAAAATTACAAAAATTAGCCGGGTGAGGTGCTGCACGCCTGTAATTAATCCCAGCTACTTGGGAGGCTGAGGCACAAGAATTGCTTGAACCCAGGAGGTGGAGGTTGCAGTGAGCTTAGATGGCACCACTGCACTCCAGCCTGGGCGACACAGCGAGACTCTGTCTCAAAAAAAAAAAAAAAAAAGAAATACCTAAAGTGTAAGTCTATCAAGAAAGTACAAGGCCTGTACAGTGAAAATTGCTGAGGATTCTTGAGAGAAACTAAAGAAGCTCTAATCAATGGAGAGACATAGCACATCTAAGCACTGAGACAGTTAAAACTGTGAAGATGGCAATTCTCCCCACACCGATGTAGAGATTCAATCAATATCAAAATCCTGGCAGACTTTCTCTGTAGAATTTGACACTATCCTAACATTTATATGGAAATGAAGAGAACCTGGAATAGGCAAAATTATGTTGATAAATTAAGAAAAAGGTTAGAGGGCTATGCCGTCTAATTCCAAAACTTACTGTAAAGCAAAAGTAACCAAGATATTGTGGTATTTCTGAAAGGAGAAAATATACTCATCGACAGGGTCCGGAAGAAAGCCCTCACTGGCCGTTCTGCTATTTATTCTCCAATGCCTCTGTCTCCTTTGTCCTTCTATTGTCTTGATTGTCTTTAACACATGCTTTACAACGTCATGTAAAAATCCCTCTTGATTTTTCAGCTGTGTTTTTAGAGTTATGTTTGCTGTGGTTGCTTTAAACGAGTCTCATCTTCTGCTCTACTGTTGCTCCATCTCCTCGCTCTTCCTTTGTGCTTATTATCCTCTATGTTACATCTATTTGTTATAACTCCAACAATACAGTGTTATCATTGTTGCTTCAATGTTATGTTTTGTAAGGTAATGAGAAGATAAAATAATGAACAACGCAGTCTCTTATTCTCATCCCATATTCACCATTCCCCATGCTCTTCATTCCTTCTAACAGATTGAAGTGACTGTGTGGCATCAACCTAAATGCCTTCCTTTACATTTCTTGTAGGGCAGGTCTATTAGCAATGAATTCTGTTTCTGTTACTCTGTGAATGTATTTAGTCTTCATTTTAAAATGTTAATTTCATTGGATACAGAATTCCTGGTTGAGGTTTTAAAAATGCATTTTGAACATGACCATGTCTGGGAGGATTTTAGCAGAAAATACAAACCTCTGAACAAAATAGAAATCTATGAATATGGCTGGACGCAATGGCTCACACCTGCAATCCTAGCACTTTGGGAGGCTGAGGCAGGTGGATTGCCTAAGCTCAGGAGTTTGAGACCATCATGGGCAACATGGCGAAACTCCATCTCTACTAAAAATACAAAAACAATTAGCTGGGTGTGGTGGTGCATGCCTATAGTCCCAGCTACTTGGGAGACTGAGGCACAAGAATCGCTTGAACCTGGGAGGCAGAGGTTGCAGTCAGCCGAGATTGCACCACTGCACTCCAGCCTGGGCAACAGAGCAAGATTGTGTCTCAAAAAAAAAAAGAAATCTATGAATCCATATTGTTATAAATTAGTGAATACATAGATACCTGAATTGGGTAAAAGAAAAAGCTCTTCTTTATAGTAGAATGACAATTAATACATATAGAAGGAACTGTGGAAATGGAAAAACTGCTATGAGGCAGTCATTAGGTGGTTGATTGTTGGGGGGTGAGGCCGGATGAGGCAAAAGGTATCAGTGTCATTTGGACTATCTCTCCACAAGACACTCATCCATTATGGGGGACATAGTGGCTGCAGTGAGAAAGCCTGATAGATGCCTGTGTGGTCAGGCGACCAAGGTGAACATCCTCCTGGAGGAATCAGGCGACCAAGGTGAACATCCTCCTGGAGGAATCACGTGACCAAAGTGAAGAGGAATCAATCAGGTGACTAAGGTGAACATCCCTGTGGCAGAACAGGTCACCTCTGTGCTCCGATGTGATGTGCTAAGCAGAGCAGTAGCATTTCTGGGGCATTCCCACCAATAGAGGATGGTCTGGTCTCCGGAGGAAATACCAGACAACCCAGGTTATGGGTCACCCTTCAGAATTTGAGGCCTTTATTCTTCGGAACTGTTGAGGACAAGAAAAAGAAGTATGAAGAAATGTTCCAGTCCAGAGGAGAGAGAAGAGATGTTACAGCTGGATGTAGCTCATCTTTCCATGAGATTCTTGACCAGAGGAGAAGAAAAACTCTGTGGTGACAACTGACGGGATGGTACAGCTGTGTCAGCGTGGACGCCTAGCCTGAATTACGGGTGGTTTTGTAGGATTGCGCTGTGTCAGCGTGGACGCCTGGCCTGAGTTACAGGTGGTTTCGTAGGACTATGCTGTCAGCGTGGACGCCTGGCCTGAGTTACGGGTGGTTTCCTAGGACTGTGCTGTGTCAGCGTGGACGCCTGGCCTGAGTTACGGGTGGTTTCGTAGGACTGCGCTGTGTCAGCGTGGACGCCTGGCCTGAGTTGTGGGTGGTTTTGTAGGGCTGTGCTGTGTCAGCGTGGGTGCCTGGCCTGAGTTGTGGGTGGTTTTGTAGGACTGTGCTGTGTCAGCGTGGACGCCTGGCCTGAGTTACGGGTGGTTTTGTAGGACTGTACTGTGTCAGCGTGGACGCCTGGCCTGAGTTACGGGTGGTTTTGTAGGGCTGTGCTGTGTCAGCGTGGGTGCCTGGCCTGAGTTGTGGGTGGTTTTGTAGGACTGTGCTGTGTCAGCGTGGACGCCTGGCCTGAGTTACGGGTGGTTTCGTAGGACTGTGCTGTGTCAGCGTGGGTGCCTGGCCTGAGTTGTGGGTGGTTTTGTAGGGCTGTGCTGTGTCAGCGTGGACGCCTGGCCTGAGTTACAGGTGGTTTTGTAGGACTGTGCTGTGTCAGCGTGGATGCCTGGCCTGAGTTGTGGGTGGTTTTGTAGGACTGCGCTGTGTCAGCGTGGATGCCTGGTCTGAGTTACAGGTGGTTTTGTAGGACTGTGCTGTGTCAACGTGGGTGCCTGGCCAGAGTTACAGGTGGTTTTGTAAGACTGTGTTCTTGGTTTTTAGCGATGCTAGGGCACCACATCGGTAACATGCTCAGTGGTTCAGAGAAATACCAATGATGACAGATTGGGAGCAAATTAACAAAATGTTAACATTTGGGGAATCTGGACAAGGGAGATGTTGGAGTTTTGTTTTTTTTTTAATACTGTTCTTACAATTTTTTCTGTGTGCTTGAAGTATTTTCGAAATAAATTATTTTAAAAAACTAATTTGTTTTTTTAAATACTGTTCTTACAATTTTTTCTGTGTGCTTGAAGTATTTTCAAAATAAATTATTTTAAAAAACTAATTTTTTTAAATACTGTTATTACAATTTTTTCTGTGTGCTTGAAGTATTTTCAAAATAAATTATTTTAAAAAACTAATTTGTTTTTTTAAATACTGTTCTTACAATTTTTTCTGTGTGCTTGAAGTATTTTCAAAATAAATTATTTTTAAAAACTAAGTTGGTTTTTTAAATACTGTTCTTACAATTTTTTCTGTGCTTGAAATATTTTCAAAATAAATTATTTTAAAAAAACTAACTTGGTTTTTAAAATACTATTCTTACAATTTTTTCTGTGTGCTTGAAGTATTTTCAAAATAAATTATTAAAAAAACTCATCTTACAACATACCTCAAGATAAACTCCAAAGAATTTGGAAGAAGGTAAACATTAAAAACTAGAAGAATTCTGTTCTGTGAAAGATAATGTCAAGAGAACAAAGGACAAGCCACAAAATGGAAGAATATATTTTCAAGATACATATTTATCTGATAAGGAAATGTCATCCAAAAAAAAGACACACAAAAAAGAAATGTCATCCAAAATATACACAGGACTCTTAAAACTCAACAATAAGAAAACAATCCAATTAAAAAATGGGCCAAATACCTTAACAGACACTTCAGCAAAGAAGATATGCAGATGAAAAATCAGCATAAGATGCTCCTAGTCATATGTTATCAATGAAATGCAAAATAAAACAGCAAGATACCACTACATACCTATCAGCTGGCCAAAATCCAGAACACTGACATCATCAAATGTGAGGACGTGGAGCAACAGGAACTCTCATTCGTTGCTAGTGGGAATGCGAAAAGCTGCTGCCACTTTGGAAGGTAGTTTGGCAATTTCTTTCAAAACTAAACACCCTCTCACCATCTGATCCAGCATTCACACTCCTTAGTATTTACCCAAAGGAGCTGAAAACATGTCTACACAAAACCCTGGCACATGGACATCTATAGCAGCTTAATTCATAATTGCCAAAACTTGGAAGCAACCAAGATGCCCTTCAGTAGGTGAATGGATGAACTATGATACATCCAGATAATGGAATATTATTCAGTGACTGAAAAAATGAGCTAGCAAACCATGAGAAGAGATGGGGGAACCATAAGTGTGTATTGCTAAGTGAAAGGAGTCAATCTGAGAAGCCACATACTGTACAATTCCAACTCCAGGAGAGTCTGAAAAAGGGACCGTAAAAAGATCAGTGGCTGTCAAGGGTTGGTGGGAGGTGGGGGAAGGATGAACAGGTGGCGCACAGAGGATTTTTAGGGTGTGGCACTATTCCATATGCTGCTACGATGGGGACACATGTCACTAGATATTTGTTCAAACCCATAGAACATTCGACACCTAGAGTGAACCCTAATGTAAACCATGGACGTTGGGTGATAATGATGTATTCAAGTAGGATCATCAGTTTTAACACATGGACTGCTCTGGTGGAGGATGAGGATGATGGGGGAGCTGTGCGTGTGTGGAGTCATGGTGTATATGGGAAATCTGTACCTTCCTTTCAATTTTTCTGTGAACCTAAAACTGCTCTAAGAAAAAGTTTTAAAAACCACCCAGTTAGAAAAAAATGATTTAAGTATGTGAAAAAAAAACTCCCTAAGCATGAGAACCTATAAAATAAAAGGGATAATAACAATATATATGAGTACATAAAAATATTGTCTCTAAAATTCAAAGGTCAAATATAAAATTACAAAGCAAATTGGGTAAAAGGTTAATATCCTGCACACTGAGGGCTTCCACATAAATGACAAAGGAATAAAGCAGATAATTTGTAGAAAAAACACAGAGGAATAAATTGAAAACACTCAGAATCATTAATAGTCACATAAATGCAAATCAAAATGACTTTTTCCTTTCAAATTGGCAAAGAGGAAACACAACAGACACAGCGGGTGTTCTGAACGTGTCCAGGGTGCCCTCAGCCTGCTGGAACGGAAACAAGACGGCCCTTTGTACCTCAGCATATATTGGAAGTGTTTTAGAGTTGGTGAGTTCCCCGTGCCTTCCAGAACTGAACGCTAGGAGGAGCAGCCAGTGAGGACAGACGTCTATGCAGAAACATGGTGAACCTCTGGAAATGACACACTCTCCGGGCACAGGGGGCTTAGACAAGGTCAACCATGGGATGAAACAGAAAGAAGCTGTTAGATGTGGCCCTGCGGGAAGATGCAGGAGACAGCGTGTGGGGAGATGGCCTGTGTGGGCTGAGGTGGATGTGTGCTGAGGGTGAGGGAGGGATTCACTTTGAAAAGGGACCAGCAATTCAAAGCCAATTACCAGGAAGCAAACCCAGTGACACTATTTTTGTTTAAAACCAAGAGGACATAGAATGCAAAGGAGCCAGTTATCTCCTGTGACTTGTTACACGGTCATCAGGAGCTTCTCCCTGGAAGGACTCAAAAGCTGCACCATTTTGGTGAATATGTAGCCTCCCATGCACCGGGTGGAAGGACAGCACCCCCTTGGGTAGGTTCTGACAGCTTTGATTAAACATGACCTTTCAGGGAATGCATTTTAATCGATGCATGTATCGGTCTGAGGTTACAGGACATTTTACTTACCCATTCGTCCATCTTGAGGTGGACTAATCATGGAGATTCTCGCAGGGCCGGCTGCTATCTCAGACTAAGAATGCAACAAGAAAACAATGGGTAAAATTCCAATATTGCGGCTTACGAGATTCGGACTCCCACTGTCTGTTAGGAACACATTTCCCAGAACCCCATCTCCCTCATCTTTATCGCCCTCTGACAAGTTCCTGTCTAACTTGATTCTGTGTTCACCTCCCGACTCTGCCTGCTGGTGGTAGAGGTGGTGTGGGTGGGTATTACCTGATTACCTGTTTGATTCCCTCTGTTCCACCAGGGCCTAAAACAGTGAACGGATAAAGGGCTCTACTAGGAATTTTAGGTGAAAAAAAACAAAATTTGCAGCTGATGTTAGAGAATGTGAAATTCTGAGTAAATCATTCTTGGGTGCATAATTTTGTCACCTTGAAATCCAGATGCTGATGGACAGGTTGGAGCTAATGCTGCTCAGAGCTGTGTGTGCTGGGCCCTGCTCTGTGCCCACCCTTCACTCTATCCAGCAACCACGAGGCCGCTTCTGCCACCATCCCTCCTCAACCCACAGGAACCTGTGAACCCAGAGCTGCCAGCGCAGGTTCTGAGACTGGTAAGGGAGGCTGCTCTGCTCTGAGCCCCTCCTGCCTCTCAGTGCGACCTGGGGGCATGGCAAGGTGCTACTTCTAGTTGCTGCCCCTTCCTGGGCTCGCTCCTCTGGCTCTCCACTCACTGCTGGCATCTCCTGTTCCCAGGCTCCTTGCCTCACCCCGCTGGTCCTCAGGCTCTGCCGCCATCAACTGTGCCCCGCCAAGACCTCTGCTACCCACTTTCCTGGCTTCTGCCCCCGGCACAGCCACCCCACAGATCCTTTAATCCACAGGCCCTTCCAGTACACCGTGGAAGCCCCTCTGTGTCCT